>NC_000001.11:42281107-42584138 GCF_000001405.40 Homo sapiens
TTATAAGAATCTCAGTAATACAGGTATTTACTATGTGTTATATATTTAACAAGGATGCATAAATTATACATGTGTAAAGAGCTATGTTACAGTAAAAAATAAAATAAAATAAAAATACACACATACCTGTCCTCCAGGAACTTATAATCCAATAAAGAAGTTCAGACACAACAAAGAACTGAATAAAAGTACACAGCTGAGCTGTGGGTGCTATGAAGGTTCAGGAAAAGGAATAAACAACATGGACTAAAGCCTTGAGGGTAAAGAAGGAAGAACTTAGCAAGTCTTCAGCTAAGTGAAGATTGACTTAGCTGAAGAACTTCAGCTAAGTGAAGATTTAAATAGACTGGAAAGAAAAAGGACCCTAGTCTTCAAAGCCATCATGTGTAAAAATTATTCCACTGTGCTTATATTCATCAGTTCCACAAGAGCAAATTTTAAGTACACTATAAAAACATCTCAAATTTAAACTCTAAAAAAGTGGGGCTTCTGTTCTGTTTGCAATTTCTTAAATTTTATATACAGCATTCTTGGTAGTGAAGCAAAAAGTGTCCCCACTGTTGATACTTAGGCTGGTGGCTACTGTGGTTCTCCATCAAGCGTGGAGAGCACAAAAGATGACCATTAGGTTTGGCCAGATCACCAGTAACTTTAGACACAAACTCATTAGGGCGGGTGCGGTGGCTCATGCCTGTAATCCCAACACTTTGGGAGGCCGAGGCAGGCGGATCACCTGAGGTCTGGAGTTTGAGACCAGTCTGACCAACATGGTGAAACCCCGTCTCTACTAAAAATACAAAAATTAGCTGGATGTGGTGGCACATCCCTGTAATCCCAGCTACTTGGGAGGCTGAGGCAGGAGAATCACTTGAACCCAGGAGATGAAGGTTGCAGTGAGCCGAGGTTGCACCACTGCAATCCAGCCTGGGCAACAGAGCGAGACTCAGTCTCAAAAAAGGAGAAAAAAAAAAAAAAGAAACAAACAAACTTATTAGTGGAATGGTGATGACAGAAGTCCACTTGTATACGAGAACAGATGGTGGTAAATTTAAAAACAGCATGGGAGGCTGGGAGAAATCTGGTTATGGAAATCTGGTTAAGAAATGTCAGGCCCTCATTACCTCACCTCATTCCAAAAGCTTCCTAGCTGGCTTCCTGGACTCTGATGTCTCAACCACTCCTCCCTACTAATCATATCCAGTCCATGCATACACTCCAAGAGAAACCTATCAACACTGCTTTCATGTCATTATGCCTAAACACTTTCAATGGCTCCCTAACTCCTACTATACTACATCTAAATTCCTCATTTTCAACTACTTTAGCTTTTACTAATCTTTTATTAATCCTTCTCTAAATTCCTAGAGCAATTACAACCTCAGTTTGGCAACTGACATGTTGTTTCACATGCATAGTTGAATCATATGCTTAAGCTTTCTACCCTCACCTCCTCTCCCCCAACCACTGAGGACAGTGACCATACATTAGTACTTCTGATGCTATCCAATACCGTGCCAGGTACAAATTATCTGAAAAATAACATAGTAACTGGATAAGGAATAAGGGCCTTCTGTTCTGGAATGTCCTTTCCTTCTCTGTCTGCCTGGCTGGCTTCTACTTCAAGACCAAACATCTCCCGCTACAGAAAGCCTGGTCAATCCCCTCTTTCCATCCTCCATCTCCTAAGCTAAAGGAGCTATTATTCCTAAAGCAGAGTATAAATACACCTATCACAGAATTTATATGTAACTGTGATTATCTTTATCTACCTCTCCCCCAGGAGATTCTGATCTCCTTGAAAGAAGAAACTTTCATGACTGAAATAGTAACTATCCAATGAAGGTATGCGTGTGCTCCTCCCCAAACAAGTGAGACTGTAACAAGTTCAAAAGTTAAAGAGGTGAGAGTACTAAGTAGCAGAAAGTAAGGGTACTCATAGGTTTGAAGTCTTTCGTAAGACAGAAAAAAGTATGACTCAGAGCACAGACTGACAGGCAGCTTTATACAGGAAAAGAAACCATTCTACCAGAATAACAAAGAAAAATGAGAATATGGGAGTAAGATGAAAAGCATATACTGTTACCTGTGGGAGAAAGCAAAGCACAGAGAAGAATTTGTCTGCAGTTCTTAGATCTATGATGGTAACTATTACTTAAAAGAAGTTCCATACAGAATTTTTTTCTTCATAAAATTAAAGGATAAGGAGCACCAGGTTCAGGCTATAACAACTCAAAACTGAGTCATAACACGGGGGTTTTAATCCCACTTTATGAAACAGGGACACTCATATGATCCCATGTATGCTTTTTAGCTACTTTAGTACACTGCGTGGCCTACCTCTGCAACTTTCCTAATTCCCAAAGTGTAGCAAAGGCTTACTCAGAAAGTTTTTCAAGTTTCAACCGTATCAAAAAGGGGGGCAAATGGGTACAGATAAAAGAAAATAAAAAGAATAAGAATAATGAGGGTAACAATGTTGTGACCCAAATATTACTGAATCCTCCCACTTCATTCCCGGCACATGGCATTTCATCTTAAGACCTGCGGCACATAACAAAACTGAGCAACTTAGAACTCAGGAGAAATTCTTGTTATTACCACAGGACTGATTCTTGAATTATTCCGATCTCATGCATCTCTTTGGGTCAATATGTGCTACCACTCCTATTACAGTGTTTCAACACCCAAAGCAACCAGAAGCAGGGACTATGGCAGAGACTCCTATTGCCACTTAATATCTGTTCTTACCTTTTACCTTAGGAATAAATCCCAATTTTATTCAGGATGGTATTGCACCTTTTGCCCTGCCTGCCCTCTGGAATGCGGACAGAATTAACTATTGCTCTAGCGTCATCTTGGATCGTAAGATGATCCTGAACATGGAAGCCAGATACTGAGCATATGGAAACAGAGAAAAAGTCTGGGTCCCTGATTTTTTTTGTGAAGTAGATTGTGAAGCTGCCATCCCAGCCGCAGACTGCCTACCCTACAGAATTTTAACGTATGTAACGACTATAAAAGAGTCTCTATTAGCAGATGAATGTAGTTCCTAACATAGAGAATTTAGGACATGGCAGTGTGGTGATACAAGTAACATAACCTAAACTAGCACACTCTCTTAAAGATGAATTAATGAGTTAATAAATTCCGATACTGACGGTTGGAAAGCTGATTACAAAGAATTTGGTCGAACTGTTATCTGTGGAATTTGAAAAGCAAGCCATATGCCAACTGAGGCTAGTGCAAAAACAGAAATGCAGGAAAAATTTAGAATGTTGGCATGTGTTGGCTCTTTCTCGCCATTTAAAGTGAAGTCCTAAAAGAGAAATAAACTTTGATTAGAGTTACAAGAAGAGACAGAGAAAGTACAGATTTGCTAAGATAGGTACTGCCTACCCTTGTCCTGCAATTTCAGCTAAGAGTCCTATAATCTGAAGTCTTTCTTGCAAGGCTGAAAAAACCAAGTGCTTCTGAAGTCCCAACTGAGGTAGGTGAGTGTACCTACAAAACTACAGCATTAGCAGTAGAGAAGACTGATACCTTACCACACAAAGGTAATGTTAAGGTGTTGTCTTTCCACCCAGACTATTGTTTCAGAAGGCCTCACGAAAGCCACCTTTTCCTTAGGAGCTAAAAGAGGTCAAATAACTTGGATGAAGGAAAATATCTTCTTTATTTCCACTAACTTGTGACTGAAATTTAGCATTTCCTTTAACTGTGACAGCAGACAACAAATCACAGTAACATTAATAGTATCTGTAACTCTGCCACCAATAAAAATCACAAATATAACCAATGAGAAATGTTGCAGAAATCTAAAATTTTTATTTAAACTCATCAACTACTTCAAAACTGACTTTCTTAGATTTGTCACTAGATCTTTTGTTTAATGTGTTATTTTAAAAGTATATATTACTATGTCACAAAGTTAGTATTTTGATAACTGTATTTTGATATAATTAACTGGTTTATTTTCAATCTTTTGTATTTTATGATTTTTTTCCTTCAATTTTTATTATAAGTTCAGGGGTACATTTGCAGGATGTGCAGGTTTGTTACATAGGTAAACGTGTGCCATGGTGGTTTGCTGCACAGATCAAACCATCATCTATGTATTAAGCCTGGCATCCATTAGCTATTCTTCCTGATGCCCTCCCTCCCCCTACCCCACCCCTGTATTTTATGAATTTTGAAACATTATTCTGAGAAAGATGCACAGGCTTCACCAGACTGTTAAAGATATTCCATGGCACCAAAACAAGGCATCCCTGAGGTAAGTAGAGTACAAATGGCAGTCTTCACATTAAAAAAAAAAAGTGTCTGGGCAGGTCCTTTGGCTCTAATTACTCGAAGGAGCAAAAAGTCTAGAAATTAAAATTTTTAAGCTAACTACATGGGAGGGTGAGAGGTGAAAGAGTCTAAACTGCAAAAGTCTCTTAAGTTTCTAAAATACTCCCCAAGGCTTATCAACGAAGAGAGCTGTAAAAACTGTGCATTTCCCAGAAACGGCATCTTTATCAATACCAATCTAAGATGTGGCCATTGAGGATAGTGGACAAGGTAAGATTCCTTGAAAGACCATAAAGGACAATGAAAATCTTCCCAAAGAGCAGATTAAAAGGACTTATTACTCTGCCAGGGAGTCTCTGCCACTCCTATCCAGCAGGATTTTATGATCAATATGGACTAGTGACTACTGAGTTTCCCATTATCCTCTTTTCTGAATAACACCTTTTATTGTTGTTTTCCTATTCCTTCTCCACCACTGTATTCTGGATATGTAGAGTGCATATAATTCATCTTTGGTTTATATAGGTTTTCAAATCACAAGAAGTCATCCTTGGCTCTGATGAAAGGGACTGTATCCAGAGATCTTATATTTTCCGATATAGTAAATGGTAGAATCTCTGGGTTGTCTCCCTTGAGGAATGGGCAAATGAGTATTAGATATAAGAAGAAAAGTTTATGTGGATGCTTGGGTAGACAAAGGAGTCAACTATGGAAGAAATCTAAAAAGAAATAAAATAATTTACTACAGACTGACTTTATATTTTGTTATCATGTAATGTAAAATAAATTTTTTTAGGTTTGTAAATGAAGAAATAACTTAGGCTATTTCCAAAGGAAAACAGCTGGTGTTAATTTTTTCTAAATTAGTTATATACAACCCAAATCAAAGTTTCTATTCTTAGTATAATTTCCGCAAAATAAGAGTCAATGTCCACATATATGGGAAAAGACATGGCTTTGTGATTAAGAATAGAGGCTCTGGAGCAAGACTGCCTGGATTGGAATCCAAGTTCTTCCCTTCAGCTATGTGGTCCTGAACAAGTAAATTAACCTCCTTATGTCTCAGTTTCCTCATCTGTAAAATGAGGATAAAATAATACCCACCCCAAAGGACTGTTGTAAGATTAAATGAGTTAATACATATAAAGCACTGAGAACACCTTCCAACACATAGTAACTGCTCATATTGTTATCAAGTTAATATTAATATGAAGTTCATACTCTTCAGGGTTTCCTAAATTTTTTTTCTTTTTTGAGACGGAGTTTCACTCCTGTCGCCCAGGCTGGAGTGCAATGGCAGGTCTCAGCTCACTGCAACCTCCACCTCCCATGTTCAAGCGATTCTCTTGCCTCAGCCTCCCGAGTAGCTGGGATTACAGGTGTGTGCCACCACGCCCGGTTAAATTTTCTATTTCTAGTAGAGACGGGGTTTCACCATGTTGACCAGGCTGGTGTCGAACTCCTGACCTCAGGTGATCCGCCTGCTTCGGCCTCCCAAAGTGCTGGGATTACAGGCGTGAGCCACCACGCCCAGCCAAGTCCTGGTATTAATTATTTTGGAGACCAACAATATTTCTTAAAATCTCCAAGGGAAGAAAAATTCACAATATATTCAATCTGTTCTAGGGTATACAATTCATTGTGGTTAAAAGAAAAAGTTGGCTGGGATGCGGTGGCTCACACCTGTAATCCCAACACTTTGGGAGGCCAAAGTGGGCAGATCACGAGGTCAGGAGTTGGAGACCAGCCTGGCCAACATGGTGAAACCCGATCTCTACTAAAAAATACAAAAATTAGCTGGGCATGGTGGCATGCATCTGTAATCCCAGCTACTTGGGAGGCTGAGGCAGGAGAATCGCATGAACCCAGGAGGTGGAGGCTGCAGTGAGCCAAGATCCCACCACTGCACTCCAGCCTGGGTGACAGAGTGAGACTCCATCTTAAAAAAAAATAAAAGTTTTAACAAGCTGATCTAAATTACCCTTGCTACAGAGAAGTAAATTTCTATAAATTCTATCTTGGAAAATGAGAACTGGTCAGGGTTCTCTTCATAATGACTGTAACATATTCTACAACAGTAACACTATTTGGGTTCCTTCTTCTCTAAGTTAAAAGTCCAGAACTTCTCCAACTCTTCTCACAAGATCTGTTTTAAGAATCACAATATGTTTATTGCTCTTCTCTAGTCTCTCCAAATCATTCCACAATTATTTAATCTCAGATTCATAAAACTGGGTTCTGAATTTATACAATCTAAAGCCTTCCTTAGAATTCCATTTAGGGCCGGGCATGGTGGTTCACACCTGTAATCCCAGCACTTTGGGAGGAAGAGACGGGCAGATCGCTTGAGCCCAGGAGTTCAAGATCAGCATGGGCAACATGGCGAAACCCCGTCTTTACAAAAAATACAAAAAAAATTAGTCAAGTGTGGTAGTGTGTCCCTGTAGTCCCAGCTACCCAGAAGGCTAAGAGTGGGAGGATCACCTGAGCCCAGGGAAGTCGAGACTGCAGTGAATTGTGATCACACCACTGCACTCCACCCTGGGCAACAGAATGAGACCCTGTCACAAAAAAATAAAATAAAAATAGAACTCCACTTAGAATACAAACCTAAGGATCATATATGGTCAAAGATATTTTATGCTATAATTCTCATCTTCAAAATATTTCACTTTACAATTTAGGGGAGGAAAAAATAAAGACTGTTGAACATTAACCAAATGTTTATTCTGTCATCAAGTAAATATTGTATTTTGCATTTAAATCTCACCCTATTAAAATGTCTATGTCTCTGAGTAGTTGTAAAGATTGATGAACACAACCAGTCTTTCGCATAAGAAGATTCAACATCATCTTTGCAGCCGTAATTTAAAAACTCAGAATCTGCTCCAGAATGTTTCTTATATCCAGTTTAGAACACACACACACATCCTTCAAGTAACATATGTCCACTAATTTTGTTTCATTAAAGTGGTTATCCTGACCTCTGTTTGCAACCATACTACTTCAGCTCACCAGCCAACATTTACTGGATATTCTTTCATCAGTTTTTTTCTCTACTTCTGCTTCCATGGCATTATACAAGTAAGTATGGCATCAATGCTGGCAGAGGGCTAACACGGTGGAAAGTGATCCTGTCTTGTCTTTTAGTGTTAAGTATGATGTACAGAAAATGCTAAAGAAACAGTTTAAGCTGCTATATGTGGTGTTTATGGATCAGCAGTTCTCAAAGTGTGGTCCAGAGACCCTTCAGGCAGTCTGAAGAGTCAAAACTATTTTCATAAAACATTATTTGCCTTTTTTCACTCTTATCCTCTCATACAGTGTATAGTAGAGCTTTTCAGATACTATGTGGTGTGTGATATCACAACAGATTTAATGCAGAGAGAGATGAGAATCCAGCTGTCTTCTATTAAGTCAGATATTTAAAAGATCTGCAAAAATATAATGTAATGCCAATTTTCTCACTAAATTTTGTTTTGGAACATACAGTTACTTTACATAAAACTTGTTATCTATGTTGGCAAAGGGTTTTTTAAAGATCCACAATGTAGAACTGAATTCAATTATATTTGTTATATGCTGTACACTACGGAGACTTTTGTTATTTTTTATGTGAATATTTTAAATTTTTCTTAATTTTAATTTGTAATACAATAAATATTGACAGATATAACCCACATAAACAAAAGCTCTTTAAGCACTAATTTTTTAAGGGACGAAAAATAAGCAACACTGATCTTCAGTCTTTTGGTCTCTTCTTATATTTAGACATGTGTCTTAATATAGTATATACAATATTTATATATGAATATGTTTCTTAATATATATAATTATGTATGTGTGTTTCTTATATATAACAGAAAGAGTAAGGACTTTGAAGTTACTGTGATACCTAGGCTTAAATTCTTACTCTCCCACTTATTAACTATGTATCCTTAAAGAAGTCAAATAAACCTCTAAGCCTCAAAGAAGTGCTCTGAGGAATAAATGACAAGATACATGTGGAATATTTAGCATACAGTGAATGCTTGGCACATAGTAAGCATTCAATAAATGAAAAATATTATAATCAATTTTGTTAGAAACACTTTTAAAAAGACATGCTTATTTTCCCTTTGTCAAAAGTCTCCATAGTGTACAACATATACAAATACAATTCAATTCAGTTCTATGCTGTGGATTTAAAAAGACAAAAATCTTCCCTGCTCATGCACATGTCAGGCTTTGCATGAAATGCACAGCATCTGAAGAGGCCAAAAAATAATCTCTGAATTACCTATAAGTCTTCTCTGATACGCAATCTGACACAAGCTATTTAACAATATAAAATGTCTGAAATAATAAATATTACAGACCTTCCATACTGCTCATTATGATTACCTGAGTTGGAGTTATTTTCAGAGGATCATAAATACATTCTATCTACCTTTAGATTTCTTGTTATAATTTCAAGTGCACTAAGGTTCAAAGAAAAATTAGACTGAGTCTTTTACACAAAACCACTTTAATTTTTATTTAAAAAAGGACAAAAAGATAAAAAGGGGTAAGTAGAGAAAGCTGGGTAAAGAAAATACATTCAACTAGAATTAAAATGTTAGAAGATAGTAAATAAGTACGTTCCCTTGAGCACATGGTAGAATATGAGTAGTTGCATCAAGAAAAGGCTATGATGTTTTAAGGAAAAAGTTCCTATGCTGGAGGAGAAGAAAAAGATAGTTAAAGTCTATGTTAAAATTCACTCAACTCTGAACTTTAAAACAACAGTTATCAAAGAAGAGAAAAATTAGAGGACTACACCACCAGTCAATTCATTGGAGGAATTCATATTCATTGAAGGAGTTCAAAAAAATAAGTAGGAATAAGTTAAGCTAGAATCCCTTAAGGTTATGGATCTCACCATGAGTCAGCTGACCGTTACCTACTACTAGTTAATATCTAAACAAACAGACCTTCTGTTGTAACAGTGCATCAGTCATTATCCACTTACATAAAACATCAACACTGATTATCATTAAAATTCCATGCATGGTATGAAAAGGAGTGAAAAAATGTGAAGATAACTGACTTACATGAAAATCCCAGCACTATTTGGGTTGTTCACTAATAATCCACGTGTAAAGATGCTGCAGCTTATACTTACCCAGACTCTAAGAATCTCTCTGCCTAAAATCCTTCTTATTCTTCTTTATTCTATTATACTGGCTCCTTTTAAAAGATCCCACATTTTTTGTTTCTATTTTTTATTTCTTGCCATCACTTTAAAACATCTGAACTGTGCTGTCTTTATCACAGACTTTATCTTTTTCTTCTTATGAAGTACAGCAATTTCTTCCTTCAAACATCACAATCTTTACTTGATGGAACTACTCAACCCCTCCCATGTGCTCAAAGAAGCCACAGTTATTTACTATCTTTTAAATTTTTATTTGGTAATTTGTAAATATGAATACCCTAATTTTCAACCCTCCACTAAGCAGATATGGGATATCAGGCTCTTTTCTCAATTTCAAAAGCATAAAGGACTTAGACCGTCAGATTTCAAGGTTTACTGTAAAATTCCAATGACCAAGTTTTGGAGAAAGGACAGACATAGATCAACAGAACAGAGTCCAAGAAAAGACCCATATAGATAGATAGATAGATAGATAGATAGATAGATAGATAGATAGATAGATAGATAGATAGACAGACAGACAGACAGATAGATCCACAGTCACTTAATTTTTGATGAAGGCATCAGACAAGTCAGTGGGGAAAGGAAAGACTTTTCAAAAAATTATGTTGAAACAATTGTCTGCATGGGAGAAAAATTAACAATGACCCTTACATCACATCATACATAAAAATCTGAAAAATGAACAACAAACCTAGATGTAAAAGCTAAATCTATAAAACCTGCAGGAGAAATCATAAGAGAAAATCTGGTTAGGCAAATATTTCTTAGATATGACACCAAAAGCAATCACAGTTCATAAAACAACTAATAAACTGGACTTTATCAAAATTTAAAACTTTTGTTCTTCAAAGACAGTGTTAGGAGAATGAAAAGGCAAGCCACAGACTGGCAGAAACCATTTGCAAAGCATATATCTTAAAAAGGACTTGTGCAGGGCTTAACCCTACAAATTACAGGGCTCACATCTGTAATCCCAGCATTTGGGAGGCCAAGGCAGGAGGATCACTTGAGGCCAGGAGTTTAAGACCAGCCTGGGCAACATCGCAAGAACTCATCTCTAAAGAAAAAAAAAATTTTTGTTTTTGTTTTTGTTTTTGTTTCATCAAGGCAGGAAGATCGCCGGAGCCCAGGAGTTCAAGGCTGCAGTGAGCTATGATCATGCCACTGTACTCCAGCCTGGGCAACAAAGCAAGATCCACCTCACTGTGGGTGGAGGGGATGAACCAACAGGACTTGTATCCAGAAAATATAAAGAACTCTCAAAACTCAATGAGATGAGAAAACCCATTTTTTTAAAGGGCGAAAGACTTGAACAGGTACTTCAACAAATAAAATATAGCAAAGATTCAGAGGAGCCGAGGGCAGGAGCCGGATGGGGCCAGGAGGACGGGAGCAGGCTCAGGGTCCCGATGCCGGTGGGAGGAAAGGCAGGAGTGGGAGCCAGGGGATGGGACCCTGAGGAGGGGGGTGCAAGGCCAGAGGATGGGACCCTGAGGAGGGGGGTGCAAGGCCAGGGGACAGAACCCTAAAGAGGGGTTGCAAAGAAAAAGGATTCATAAGAAAAGATGCTAAACATCATTAGTTATTAGGGAAATGCAAATTAAAACTACACTGAGATATCACTACACACCTACCAAAAAGGCTAATTGAAAGACTGACCATACTAAATGTTCACAAGCATATGGAGCAAATGGAACTCTTACATACTGCTGGTGGGAGTTTAAAAAGGCATAACTGCTTTAAGGACAACGGCTTGGCAGTTTCTTAAACATACACCTACAATATGGCAGTCATTTCACCCCCAGGTATTTAGCCAAAAACTGAAAACAATCCAAATATCCATCAACAGGAGAATGAATAAACAAACTGTTGTGAATATACCCAATGGAATAAAAAGGAATGAACTGCTGATGCATGCAGCAACACAGATAAATCTCAAAATAATGAAACAAAACCCAGATAAAAATAAGAATACATATTGTATGATACCATTTATGTAAAAATCTAGAAAATGCAAATATATAATAAGGAACAGAAAAGCAGATCAGTAGATACCTTGCAGACAGAGGGACAGCAAGGAAGAACTTCACAGAAGCACTTCTGGCAACTGCTGGGAATGACGGGTATGTTCACCACATTGATGTGGTGATGATTTATGTGTGTATGTATTTGTCAGACTTATAAAATTGTACTATGTCAATTACATCTCAGTGAAGCTGTTTTTAAAAAACAAATATTTGTGGGCTCAGCATGGTGGCTCACGCCTGTAATCCCAGCACTTTGGGAGGCTAAGGTGGGCAGATTGCTTGAGCTCAGGATGTCAAGAACAGCCTGGGCAACATGGTGAAATCCATTTCTACAAAAAAATACAAAAATTAGCCAGGTGTGGTGGTGGGCACCTGTAGTCCCAGCTACTCAGGAGGCCGAGACAAGACGATTGCTTGAGCCTGGAAGGTGGAGGCTGCAGTGAACCAAGATCACACCACTGTACTCCAGCCTGGGTGACACAGTGAGACTCTGCCTCCAAAAATAAAATAAAAAACAAGTATTTGTGATTTGGAATAAGTAAAGATTTCTCAGCTTGGACATAAAAAGAGACAAACAAATATTTGTGATTAGGAATAAGTAAATATTTCTCAGCTTGAACAATGAAAGAAAAAATTGGTGGTCAGATGTTACCAAAATTTAAAACTTTCTTGCTCTAACAAAAAAAAAACTTGTATCCAGAGTATTTAGAGAACTCATATAACTCAATAATTAGAAGACAAACTACCCAGTTTTAAAATGTACAAAAAATTTAAACAAGGACATACAAACCCCAATAAACACAAGAAAGATGCTCAACATCACTAGTTATCAGGTAAATGCAAACTTAAAACAACAAGATACTATTCCAAACCCACTAAAATGTCTAAAAAAAATCTGAAAAGCAATAATAATAATCCTCCTTCCTGAATTTATTTTAAGCATACTGGGTTCTTCTTGATATCAATAGCAAAAAAAAATTTGTGCTGCGAGGTAAAGCATGAATGAGTATCTCCATTTCATATGGCTTCCAATCCAGTCTCACGAGCTTCTCTTAGTTTTCTATTTCTTGAATTATCTATAGACCTATCTTGCACTATACTAAGAAGCACTATCTTTTTCTCAGCCTCTATTTACTCAGATAGTCTCGTCTTTCCATAACTCCATGCTTTGTGCTTTTTAACATAGCTGATACATCATTTTGCAAGCTCCATATATATGTGAGACTGGCAAGGTGTTAATAAAACTGTGAAGAAATGGATCCCTACACTAAAAGCCCCATTCAGATCTAACCTTCAAAAGAGACCCAGCCAAACACTTATCCATCAGGTTCTCAAGTAAGCACTAGTAGGGGGTGGAATAATCTTTTTGTTTTCCTTTTCTTTTGTTGCTTTTGTGGACTCTTGAACACTAGTAAGGACGTAAGTATTCAATATATATTTGTCAGATTGAATAGAATTGAGGCAGGAGTCCAATTCCAAATCCACAATTATAAGGATACTCTGGATGTTCTAATACAAAGCTGGGAATCAAGTCTCCCATTCAATACCCAATGATCATAAGGAATCCTAAAATTATCCTCTCTTGAAATCCTTTCTCAACCAAAAGTGGATACATGCTGCTTTGTCTCAAACGCTTTCTGTAGTGTTTTGCCTAGCTCATACCAATGCCCTTTCTCAGAGGTGTCTCCATCCCCAGGGCTCTGAATGTTGTACTATACTTTGTCCGTACCAGTAATACAGGAACAAATTAAAGGATCTGAACCAAGGGTGCTACCTGATTCAAGCTGTTTACCTAAATTTTCTCCCCCAGGATTTAGAATTAGAAGTGAAACAGTTTGGGCTGCTCTCCTGAATAAAGAAGCCATGAACTTGAGGCCAGGCGCGGTGGCTCACGTCCATAATCCCAGTACTTTGGGAAGCCGAGGAAGGCAGATCATCTGGGATCAGGAGTTCGAGACCAGCCTGGCCAACATGGCGAAACCCCATCTCTACTAAAAATAAAAAATAAATTATCCAGCTGTGGTGGCGGGCACCTGTAATCCCAGTTACTTGGGAGGCTGAGGCAGGAGAACTGCTTGAACCCGGGAGGCGGAGGCTGCAGTGAGCAGAGATCACGCCATTGCACTCCAGCCTGGGCAACAAGAGCGAAACTTGGTCTCAAAAAAAAAAAAAAAAGACGCCATGAACTTGAGGGATAGAATGGCTATGTGTAAGAAAATCAAAGAAAGTTGCCTGTAGAAATGAAGAAATAAATTAGATTCAGAGAAATTCAACACAGAAGAGTAAGTACAATGCCTAGGTTTCTAACAGTATTTCATCAATTCTTAGTTCCATTTCAAGAGAATAAACTATCCTTGTATTCTGTAAAATACAACCATGTTTTCTAAATTCATTCCATAAATTCTTTTTATTTTTTGCTTGATGTATCCAGAGTTAGTTTTCTTGAAACCAAGCGAAGCTTTTTTAAAACTTTAGATTCAGGGGGTAAACATACATGTTTGTTACATGGGTATATTGCATATTGGTGGAGACTGGGCTTCTAGTGTACCCACAATCCAAAGAGTGAACATTATACCCAACATGTAATTTTTCAACCCTCATCCTCCTCCCACCCTCCCCCCGGTGGACTCTTCAGTGTCTATTATTTCCATCTTTATGTACATGCATACCTATTATTTAGCTTCCACTTATAAGTGAGAACATGTGGTATTTGATTTTGTTTCTGAGTTATTTCACTTAGGATAATAACCTCCAACTCCATGTTGCTGAAAAGTACATGATTTCATTCTTTTCTATGCTGCATAGTACTCCATGGTATCTGTATACTACACTTTATTCAGTCAACTGCTGATGAACAGTTAGGTTGCTTCCATGACTTTGCTGTTATGAATAGTGTTGAACATGACTACAAGTGTCTTTTTTTTTTTTTTTTTTTTTTTTGGTGAGACACAGTCTCACTCTGTCCCCCAGGCTGGAATGCAGTGGCGCAATCTTGGCTCACTGCAACCTCTGCCTTGCAGGTTCAAGCGATTCTCCTGCCTCTGCCTCTCAATTAGCTGGGATTACAGGTGTGCACCACCTTGTCTGAGTGATTTTTCTATTTTTAGTAGAGACAAGGTTTCACGATGTTGGCCAGGCTGGTCTTGACTCCTGACCTCAGGTGATCCGCTGCCTTGGCCTCCCAAACTGCTGGAATTACAGGCATGACCCACCGCACCTGTCCAGGTGTCTTTTGTATATAGTGATTTATTTTATTTTGGGCAGATACCCCCAGTAGTGTGTTTACTGGATCAAAAGGTAGTTCTATTTTTAGTTCTTTGAGAAATCTCCATAGTTTTCCACAGAGGTTGAACATTCCCGTCAGCAGTGCGTAAGCACTGCCTTTTCTCCACAACCACACCAACATCTGTTATTTTTTGGCTTTTTAACAGCAATTCTGACTGGTATAAGATGGTATCTCATTGTGATTTTAATTTGCATTTCTCTGATGATTAGTAATGTTGAGTATTTTTTTCAAGTGTTTGTTGGCACTTGTATTTCTTCAAGAAATGTCTCATGTCCTCTGCCTAGTTTTTAAAAGAAGCTGTTTTTTCCCCGTTATTAGAGTTCCGTGTAGATTCTGATGTTCATCCTTTCTGAAAGTAATCATTTGCAAACATTTTCTCCCATTCTATAGGCTGTTTAATCTGTTGAGTATTTCTTTTGCTGTGAAGCTTTAGTTTAATTAAGTCTCATTTGTCTATTTTTGTCTTCCTCATAAATTCTTCGCCTAGGCCAACATCCAAGAGTTCTTCCTAAGTTTTCTTCTAGGACTTTTATAGTTTAAGGTCTTATGTTCAAGTCTTTAATCCATCCGTCCTGAGTTAATTTTCATACATGGTGAGACACAAGGGTCCAGTTTCCTTCTTTTGCATATGGCTAGCCAATATCCCAGCACCATCTATTGAATAGAGTGTTAATGTCCTTTCTCCACTGTTTATTTTCATCAACTTTGTCAAAGATCAGTTGGTTGTAGGTATGTGGCTTTATTTCTAGGCTCTCTATTCTGTTCCACTGATCTCTATGCATATTTTTGTACCACTATCATGCTGCTTTAGTTACTATAGCCTTGTAGTATAATTTGAAGTCAGGCAATCTGATGCCTCTGAATTTGTTCCTTTTGCTTAGGATCGCTCTGGCTGAGTGCTTTTTTGATTCCATATGCACTCCAGTGCTGTTTTTCTAATTCTGTGAAAACTGATGTTAGTAATTTGAAAGGAATTTCATTGAATCTGTAGATTGCTTTGAATAGTATGGTCATTTTTGTGATATTGATTCTTCCAATCCAACAGCACAAAATGTTTTGCCATTTGTTTGTGTCATCTGCAATTTCTTCCATTGGTGTTATATAGTTCTCCTCGTAAAGATCTTTCACCTCCTTGGTTAAATGTATTCCTAGGGGTGTGCGGGTGTGGGTGTGTGTGTGTGTCTACTGTAAATGGGATTGGGTTCTTGATTTGGTTATCAGCTTCAAAGTTATTTATAGAAATGCTACTGATCATTGTACATTGATTTTGTATCCTGAAACTTCAACGAAGTCTAGGAGTCTTTAGACTTTTCTAAGTATACAGTCATGTTATCAGGAAACTTCCTCTTTTCCAATTTGGATGCCTTTTATTTCTTTCTCTTGCCTAATTGCTCTGGCTAGGATTTCCAGTACTATGTTGAACAAGAGTGGTGAGAGTGGACATCCTTGTCTTGTTCCTGTTCTTAAGGAGAATGTTTTCAACTTCTCCCTTTCAACATGATGTTGTCTGTAGGTTTGTCATATATAGCTATTATTTTAAGGTACATACCTCCAGTGCCTAGTTTATTGAGGGTTGTTATGAAGCGATGTTGGATTTTATCAAATCACTTTTCTGCATCTATGGAGATAATCATACAGTTTTGGGGTTTGGTTCTATTTATGTGGTGAATCATGTTTATTGATTTGCATATGCTTAAACATTCTTGCATCCCTGGAATAAAACCCACTTGATCATGATTTATTATCTTTTTGATGTGCTGTCGGATTCAGCATTTGTTGAGGATTTTTGCACCTATGTTCATTAGGGATATTGGCCTGTGGTTTTCTTTTCTGGTTGTGTCCTTGCCTGACTTTGGTATCTGGTGTCCTCACCTGACTTTGATACTGGTGTCCTCACCTGACTTTGATACTGGTTTTGTAGAATGAGTTAGAAAGGAATTACTCCTCCTCAATTTTCTGAAATAGTTTCAGTATTCTTTCCTAAATACCAGCTTTTCTTTATATGTCTGGCAAAATTCAGCTACAAATCTATCTGGTCCTGGCCTTTTTTATTGTTAGAAGGTAATAAGGTTTGGCTGTGTCCCTACCCAAATCTCACCTCGTAGTTCCCCTAACTCCCATGTGTCATGGGAGGGTTCAGTGGCAGGTAATTGAATCATGGGGGCAGTTACCCTCATACTGTTCTCTTGATAGTAAGTTCTCACGAGATCTGATGGTTTTACAAGGGGCTTCCCTCCACTTTGCTCAGCACTTCTCCTTCCTGCCGCCATGTGAAGAACATGTCTGCTTCCCCTTCTGCCATGATTATAAGCTTCCTGAGGCTTCCCCAGCCCTGTGGAACTGTGAGTCAACTAAACCTCTTTCCTTTATAAATTACCCAGTCTCAGGTAGTTCTTTATATCAGCATGAGAACAGACTAATACAGAAGTTTTCCTTTATTACTGATTGAATTTTGTTACTTGTTATTGGTCTGTTCAGGATTCACATTTCTTCCTGGTTCAATCTTGCGAGGTTGTATCTTTCCAGGAATTTGTGCATTTCCCCCAGCTATTTCTAGTTTATGAGCACAGAAATGTTCACAGCAGTCTCTGATGATCTTTTGTATTTCTGTGGTGTCAGGTGTAATGCTGTCTTTATCATTTCTGCTTATATTTAAAACTTTTTTTTTTCTTGGTTAACTTAGCTAGCAGGCTGTCAATTTTGTGTATCCTTTCAAAGAACCAACTTTTTGTTTCACTTATCCTTTGTATCATTTTTTTATCTCATTTAGGTCTGCTCTGATCTTTGCTCTTTTCTTCTGCTAGCTTTTTGTGTGGTTTGTTATTTTTCTAGTTCCTTGATGTATGGTGGTAGCTTGAGATCTTCCTATCTTTTTAATGTGGGCATTTAACGCTATAAACTTTCCTCTTAGCACTGTCTTTGCTGTATCCCAGAGGTTTTAGTATGCTGTGTCTCCATTTTCATTTATTTCAAAATTGTTTTCAATTTCCGCCTTAATTGCATGTTTACCCAAAGTTCATTCAGGAGCATGTTGTTTAGTTTCCATCTACTTGAATAGTTTTAAGAGTCCCTCTTGGTATTTGATTTCTAATTTTATTCCACTGTGCTCCAAAAAGATACTTGATCTGATTTCAGTATTTTGGAATGTATTGAGACTTGCTTTAATGGCCAAGCATATGGTCAATTTTGGAGAATGTTCCACGTGCAGATGAGATTAATGTATGTTCTATAAATGTCTATTAGGTCCATCTGGTCTACAGTTTAGGTCCAGAATTTTTCGAATTTCTGCCTCAGTGATCTGAATAGTGATGTCAGTGAGGTGTTGATGTTCTCCACTATTATTGTATTGCTATCAATCTGTTTGCTTTGGCCTAGCAGTATTTATGAATCTGGGTGCTCTGGTGTGGAGTGCATATATATTTAGGATAGTTAAATCTTCTTGTTGTATCAAACCCTTTATCATTATATAATGCTCATCTTTTTTTTTTTTTACTGTTATTGGTTTGAAGTTTATCTGATACGAGAATGGATACTACTGCTGGCATTTGTTTTCCATTTGCATGATAAATCTTTTTTCACCTCTTTGAGTCTGTAACTGTCTTTAACCAGTGTGTGTGGGGGGGTCTCTTGCTGGCAGCAGATGGTTGGGTCTTTTTTTTTTTTTTTTAATTTGCCACTCTGTATGTTTTAAGCGGAGCATTTAGGCCATTTACATTCAAGGTTAATATTGATATGTGGCTGGGTGTGGTGGCTAATGCCCGTAATCCTAGCCCTTTAGAGGCCAAAGTGGGCGGATTACTTGAGGTCAGGAGCTCAAGACCAGCCTGGCCAACATGGCAAAACCTCATCTCTACTAAAAAATACAAAAGTTAGCCAGGTGTGGTGGTACACACCAGTAATCCCAGCTACTTGGGAAGCTGAGGCAGGAGAATTGCTTGGACCCAGGAGGCAGAGGTCGCAGTGAGCCAAGATCATGCCACTGCACTCCAACCTGAGCAAGACAGCAAGACTCCATCTTAAAATATATATATAGGACAGGCACAGTGGCTCACACCGTAATCCGAGCACTTTGGAAGGCCCAGGTGGGCGGATCACGAGGTCAGGAGTTTGAGACCTGCCTGGCCAATATGGTGAAATTCTGTCTCTACTAAAAATGTAAAATTAGCCAGGTGTGGTGGCACACACCTGTAGTCCCAGCCACTAGGGAGGCTGAGGCAGGAGCATCACTTGTACCCGGGAGGCAGAGGCTGCAGTGAGCCGAGATCGTGCCACTACACTCCAGCCTGGGTAATGGAGCAAGACTCTGTCTCAAAAAAAAATAGAGACAGAGATATAGATATGTGAGGTTTTG
Organism: Homo sapiens; assembly: GCF_000001405.40. NCBI lineage: Eukaryota > Metazoa > Chordata > Mammalia > Primates > Hominidae > Homo > Homo sapiens. The sequence continues at coordinate 42,300,241 of NC_000001.11, forward strand.
TTCCTGTCACAGTATTGTTAGCTGCCTTAGAGTTTCAACTATATAACTGCTTTATAGACTCGGTGAGCTTTTTATTTTTATGATGGTAAGTACTGTCCTTTCGTTAACATGCTTAGAACTCCTTTCAGTATTTCTTATACGATCAGTATAGTGATGATGAATTCCCTTCACACTTGTTTGTCTGGGAAAGACTTTATTTCTCCTTCATGTACAAAGCTTATTTTTTTGGCAGGATATAAAATTCTTGGCCGGTGGTTGTGCACGGTGGCTCACACCTGTAATCCCAGTATGTTGAGAGGCCAAGGCGGGTGGATCGCTTGAGCTCAGGAGTTTAAGACCAGTTTGAGCAACACAGCAAAACCTTGTCTCTACAAAAAACACAAGAAAATTAGCCGGGCATGGTGGCATGTGCTTGTAGTCCCAGCTACTTGGGAGGCTGAGCAAGAGGATCACCTGAGCCTAGGAGGTAAAGGCTGTGGTGAGCTGTGATCACGCCACTGTACTCCAGGTCTGGCCAGCAGACTGAGACCCTGTCCAAAAAACAAAATTAATTCTTGGCTGGTAATTTTTTCTTTAAGGCCGCTAAAAATAGGCCCCCAATCTCTTCCAGCTGACTTGCAGGGTTTCTGCTGAGAAGTTTGGTGTTAGTTTGATGGGATTTCCCTTATAGGTAATCCCTTCTCTCTTGCTACTCTTAGAATTTCTTCTTTTTCCTTCACACTGACTTTGAACAGTCTGATGACTATATGCTTAGATGAGGTTCTTCTTGCAATTTATCTTTCAGGAGTTCTCTGAGCTTGTTTCTGGATGTCTAAATCTCTTCCCAGACTAGGGAAGTTTTCCCTAATTACTTCCTGAAATAGCTTTTCTACACTTTTTACTTTTTCTTCTGTAGAATATCTATAACCTGTAAGTTTGGATGCTTTATACAATCCCATATTTCTCCAAGACTTTTTCACTTTTTTTTTCTTTTGAGATGGAGTTTCACTCTGTCACCCAGTCTGGAGTACAGTGGCACCATCTTGGCTCGCCACAACCTCCACCTCCTGGAATCAAGCGATTCTCCTGCCTCAGCCTCCAAAGCAGCTGCAATTACAGTCACACGCCACAATGCCCTGCTAATTTTTTTTTTGTATTTTTAGTAGAGATGGGGTTTTCACCATGTTGGCCAGGCTGGTCTCGAACTCCTGACCCTCAAGTGATCCACCCGCCTCCGCCTCCAAAAGTGTTGGGATTACAGGCATGAGGTACCACACCGGACTTCGTTCACTTATTTTACTTCTTTTTTTCTTTAAATTCATCTGACTGGGTTAATTCAAAAGACCTGTCTTCCAGCTCTGAAATTCTTTCTTCTCCTTTCTCTAGACTAGTATTAAAGCTTTCAACTATATTTTGTAATTCTTTCAATGAATTTTTCATTTCCAAAAGATGTTTGGGTTTATTTTTAGTGATATCTCCTTTCATATCCCAAACTGTTTTTCTGATGTGTGTGTGTTTTCAACTTTCTCTTGGATCTCATTGAGCTTCTTTAAAACCAACATTCTGAATTCTTTATCTTGTATTTCAAAGATTTTAATTTTGGTTAGGATCCATCGCTGAAGAGTTAGTGTGATCCTTCTGGAGCATTGTTAACACACTTTTTTCATAGTTTCAGAGTTGTTCCTCTGGTTGCTTCTCATCTAGATAAGCCGTCTCTCCTTATTTTTTGAATTTGCTTTCATTTGGATGTGATTTTTCTCCCCTTCAGAAGGTGTCTATAATATATGTTGCGTAGGGTCTTTTGGCTTTAGTTCTGGGTGCTTTCAGTGGCAAAGAGTCTGCATTAAGTTCCATGGTTGTAGACAGCCTTTGAATGGTAGTTTTCCCAAATGCTGGTTATATCAGTGATGTACTGGGCACGTGAGCAGGCTTACTGCATCTTGTGGGGCCAGGGTGGTGGAGGTCTCAGGAAGTTTATCTAGATCCCTAGTGCTGCACACTTGTGTCAGCAGATTTTCTACTGTGTCATGCAATTAAACTTCCAGGTCAGTTGGTGGCACTCACAGGTTAAGAGCCAGCTGAAGCCATTGTAGATGGGTATATATGTGATCCTTGTTTACAGAGAAGCTCTCTGTTGCCTCAAGCAATGGGGCTGATCTGCAGAATGCACAGGTGTCTGAGCTCCCTGCCCAGCCCTGGAGCAGGAGACCAAGACAGGTGGGTCCAGACCAGGCAGGCCCACCTACAGGTCTCCCAATAGCAGGGCACAAGCACCAGGTATGGGGGGCAGGGGAGAGCTGGGGTCCAATGGGCAACCACCAGTTACCCAGAGGTATGCCTAGGCATGGAGCTGGGAAATCTCCACTGCCCCAAGTTCTCTGTATGGCAAGTAGAGTACAGCCTAAACCCTAATCTAGAAAAGTGGGTGCTCCAAATGCCTAAAGATACATCTCTGCACTAAGTGCCACTGAACCATAAAGCTTGCCTATGATAAGCTTATTATATCAAATCATTTAATTTTTTTATTTTTCAGTAGTATTATTTTGCACTATATATGCACTGTTAGTAGGCATGTGTTTTATATTTAACTCTTAGTATATTCAGTGATGTTCTTTATTCCCTATTACCTCTGATATATGATTCCCCCTCATAAAAACTCAAAATTTCTCCATCTCCCTGAAATAAAAAAAAAAACCTCCTGTCTTTTGCTAACAAAAGAGCAAAATATTTTATCAATTTTAAACAAGATTTTTTTTTCAATTTTAGTATTCCAAAATTAAAGTGCTGGTTTTCTATTACCTTTTTCCACAGTCTCCTACACTGACATTTCTCTTTTTTACTTATTTTTTATAGTACCCTCAATTAAGAAGAATATTGTTTGGCAGACTTCATTTAAGAAAAAAGCCTGAAATTACAATAAATACTTATAGCCAAGAGGCAGTAGAGTTAAATGGTTAAAGCATGGGCACTGGATAAGGACCTATGTATGAATCCCAGCTCTATCCCTAATTACCTATATATCTTTGAGTTACTTAACTTTACCTCAGTTTCCTCACTTGTGAAGTAAGGATAATAATGGTACTGACCTCATAGAATTGTTGGGGGAACTTAATAAACTTAAAGTGCTTAAATAATGCCTGGTCTAATAGTAAGAAGAGAGAGATGTGAACCTGTATCTACATTATCTTAAGTCTATACACCACATCTGCTTTATCAATACCAGTATGCTTCCAGAAATGAGGCAGCAAGAAGGCTTGAAATAAATCTGCCTCCTTCTGGTAGTTCTAAACAGCAGGGTCATCAATTTCAAGAGGAGGGAAATGAGGAAACAGACGAACGGGAAATTCATCTGGGGCATTCAACTATTTCTATGTGTTCCCTGGCATACGCTAAGTAGACAAATTAGATCAATAATAAAAGGCATCTTTAAGGAAGAAGCGTTAACAAAAATGAGTGATAAAAAGGGATAAATACAGAAAAATGTGAGCAGAAGTGATCTCAGGTAGAAGGCATTAAATATCACCAGAAACTACTACAAGTACTACTGTGTCCCAAGCTGTATACATGTGAGAACCATAAAATAAACCCTCTAATAAATGTTAGGTAATTCAGAAATGCAGAAAGTGTTCCATTTCAACAAGCCCTAAGAAACAGCAAACCTATTTTGCTTTGACCGAACCAAATTAACGGAAGTCCTAGCTCAAGTAATCGGACAAGAGAAAAAAATAAAGGGCACACAAATTAGAAAGGAAGAGGTCCAAATTATCCTTGTTTACAGATGATATGATCTTATATTTGGAAAAACCTAAAGACTCCACTAAAAAACTACTAGAACGGACAGCTGCAGGAGACAAAAATCAACATACAAAAACCAGAGTTTCTATATGCCAAGAGTGAACAATCCGAAAAAGAAATCAAGAAAGTAATCTCATTTACAATAGGTACAAATAAAATAAAATACCTAGGAATTAACCAAAGAAGTGAAAGACCTCCACAATGAAAACCATCAATTATTTATGAAAGAAGCTGAAGAAGACACCAAGAAAAGGAAAGATAGTCCACGTTCATGGAGTAGAAGAACCAATATTGTTAAAATGTACATACTACACAAAGCAAACTAAAGATTCAATGCAATCCCTATCAAAATACCAATGACATTCTTCACAGACATAGAAAAAAAAATCCTAAAATTTATACGAAACCACCAAAGACTCAGAATACCCAAAGCTATCCTGAGCAAAAAGAACAAAACTGGGGGAACCACATTACCTGACTTCAAGTTATACTACAGAGCTATAGTAACCAAAACAGTACGGTACTGGCATAAAAACAGCCATACCAATGGAACAGGATAGAGAACCCAGAAACAAATATATTTATCTACAGTGAACTCATTTTTGTCAAAGGTTCCAAGAGCATACAATGGAAAGGACAGTCTCTTCAACAAGGTGCTGGGAAAACTGGATAACCACATGCAGAAGAATGACATTAGACCCCTATTCCTTGCCATATACAAAAATCAAACCAAAATGGATTAAAGCCTTAAATCTAAGACCTCAAACTAAACTACTAAAAGAAAACATTGGGGAAACTATCCAGGATGTTGGAGTGGGCAAAGATTACTTGAGTTACACCCCACAAGCACAGGCAACCAAAGCGAAAATAGACAAACGGGATCACATCAAGTTAAAAAGCTTCTGCACAGTAAAGGAAACAATCAACAAAGTTAAGAGACAAGCCACAAAATGGCTGAAAATATCTGCAAACTACCCATTCGACAAAGGATTAATAACCAGAATATATAAGGAGCTCAAATAACTGTATAGGAGAAAGTTTAATAAGCTGATTTTTAAAATGGGCAAAAGATCTAAATAGGCATTTCTCAAAAGACATACAAATGGCAAACAGGTGTATGAAAAAGTGCTCAATGTCACTGATCATCAGGGAAATGCAAATCAAAACTATAGTAACATGTCATCTCACCCCAGATAAAATGGCTTTTATCTAAAAGACAGGCAATAACAAATGCTGGAGAGGATGTGGGGAAAAGGGAACACTGGATTTTGTACACTGTTGGTGGGAATGTGTATTAGTACAACCACTATGGTGAACAGTTTGGAAGTTCCTCAAAAAAAACTAAAAGTAGAGCTACCATAAGATCCAACAATCCCACTGCTGGGTATATACCCAAAAGAAGGCAAATCAGTATATTAAAGAGATACCTGTACTCCCATATTGTTTGCAATACTGTTCACAATAGCCAAGATTTGGAAGCATCCTAAGTGTCCATCAACAGATGAACAGATAAAATGTGGTACATATATACACGAGATCCTGTCGTTTTCAACATGGATGGAACTGGGGGTCATTATGCTAAGTGAAATAAGCCAGGCACAAAAATATAAACTGCATGTCCTCACTTATTTGTGAGAGCTAAAAATGAAAACAACTCGGAGATAGAGAGTAGAAGGATCGTTGGTTACCAGAGGCTGGGAAGGGTAAGCGGGGTATCAGGGAGAGTGAGAATGGTTAACGGGTACAAAAAAATAAAAGGAGTGACTAAGACCTTGTGTTTGATTGCACAACAGGGTGACTACAGTCAGTAATAATTTAATTGTACATTTTTAAATAACTAAAAGAGTGTAATTGGATTCTTTGTAACACAAAAGATAAACACTTGAGGTGATGAATATACCCCACTTACGGATGTGATTATGCACTGCATGCCTGTATCAAAATATCTCATGTACCCCATAAATATACATTTTACCCACAAAAATTAAAAACTGAAACAAAAGGAAGTTACAAAAAATAGTCTATTGTTACAATATGTAAAAGAAGTATGTCATATGAGATACATACATATTCACTTGTCTACATAAAGCAAACGATCAAGGAAAGCCTTTGCTTTTTCAGTAAGCTGTTGCTCTTACTGCATCTGTACTTGGAAATAAAATACAGGTACATCTGAGGATTCAAATCCATCTTATCCAAACTCAGGAAACAAAAAGATTCTGCTAAACTTTTAAGATTGTACTGTTTAACAGAAATTACATCCATCACTCTCTGAACTTTTTTCTTTTTTTTTTTTTTTTTTTTTTTGGAGACAGTCTCACTCTGTCACCCAGGCTGGAGTGCAGTGGCACAATCTCAGCTCACTGCAACCTCCACCTCCCAGGTTCAGGCGATTCTCCTGCCTCAGCCTCCCGAGTAGCTGGGACTACAGGCGAGTGCCACCACACCTGGCTAATTTTTTATATTTTTAGTCGAGACGGGGTTTCACCACATTGGCCAGGCTGGTCTCGAACTCCTGACCTCGTGATCCGCCCACCTTGGCCTCCCAAAGTGCTGGGATTACAGGCATGAGCCACGGTGCCCGGTCCCACTCTCTGAACTCTCACTCTTGCTATCCAAAACTCAGGAATTGAACAGATGTGAATGGCCTGCTATCCCTCACTATCCAGACTCTTATCACCCAAACTCAGGATATAAATACAATAGATTCAGACTGCAAATACTTGTGAATCTTAACATAAATTTTTAATATAATTTCACAGTGTTTAAAAAACTTTTGAGGATTTTTTAAGTAATATGCAGTACTCTACTAAATCTCATAAATACTAGCTGTAAAACATCTTAGAAAATATCTTCTTGTACCCTATTTCTCAGCAGTCTGTTGGAACAAGGATGGCAGCTATTTAAGCTGTTGCCCCTCAGCTCCAAACTGCAGCACCCCTACCCGTATTCTGCTTTGTGGTGCTTGCACTAAGACTCTCTGTGAACCACATTCCTGCTTTGCCAGCTGGCTTCCTATAAAGCTCTCCCAAGAAGAGGCACTAAAGATGGACTGAAAGGTTGGAGGAAGAAGAAAAGACTATCTTCCTATCTAATCTTCAGGTTTCATAAGAGCCATTTCCCCAGCAAAGGCTTCTTCAGCCCTATAGCAGCAGGTCCTTCCAACAGCAACAAGTGAATCCAGCTTGCAGTGTTTCCAACACTTGCAGAACTAGCTTCATCATAAACCACTGAGAGACAGCAGCATCAGCCAGCAAGGTCTGGGTCCCAATCTCACAGAACCCCTCTGCCAAGCTCAGATACCATCATCAATCATGCAGCGGCTTCTCAGAGGTCTAAGTGTCATTTCTTTGGGGACTTTCCTCTAAGTTCCTAATGTTTTCTCATTCCCTTTGGTCCCTGAGCCCTATGGGCAGCAGCTGCCGCCTGTTATGTCTATCTTTGTGATACTTTAGTTTTGTTTTTATCCTTTATGTTACTTAGTTAACACATTTATATCTAGTTATCAATTCTATTAAAGTATTATCTCTGTTCAAATACTGGTATGGTTTCAGCCTCCCTAGAGAACCCTGAATGATAAAACAGTCTCATGTAGAATATGATGTTGTTACAGTGACTTTTGTTGAAATGCAATTCTACCTATACCAGCAAGTAAAGTAGACCAAAATGTCAGAGCAATTTGGTTAAAATTACAGAGTATACTTAACTATCACTACAAACTACTTTGCAGCCATTTTTTTAAGGAAAATTTAGAGGGTCTTTTTCTAATTCACATATAATATCTACTGGTATAAAAAAGGCAAGTTCTGTCTTTCCAAATTTTCTACAATATGTACTACTTTTTAATCATAAAAATACAGTAAGTCTAATTTTAACAACAATTCTAACAGAGTCAGGTTAAACAAGGATCCACTATCATCCACAGAAAACAATACTTGTTTACCTTACCCAAAATATTTAGAGAGACTGGGGGAGAGAGTTTTAATTCACTTACTAACTACCCTCTTCTAACCAACAAATTTTTTATACTTTCCTTCTATTCACTACCTTCACTTATACACAAATTGTCCACTCCCACTCATACCTGTGCCTACAAACTCCCACCTGCCTATCCATTTTCTGATTCCCAGCCATATGTCCAGTTCTTCTCCACCAACTCATTTGCTTCCTGTCTTGAGGTTAGCCACTTTCTAGATATACAGATAGTATATACAAGGTAGTATATACGAGAGAGAAGGCAAACAAGCAGTGTTTGTCAGTAGTTTTGAGTTACCTTAAGAGTTCTGGCTCTACTCCTATTGGGTAGTGTAGTGTGCAGGGGCCATTTCTGGTTTGGGGAAGACTCTATGGGAAAGTAGACTAAAATTTATTGTGGTTATTAAGTAATCCAGTTTTTCTTCCCTTCTTCGTCTCAAAACAATACTGGCTTCCACTAAGAAAAATCGGTGACAGACAATGGTCTTCTAAACATACATCTAAGAATGAGATTCCTCTGTTTCAGAGGTGGACCACACAGAATATTAGAGAAATGAAAGACATATATAAGGACACTAAATATCATGACTCCGAATGCCGTAGGGCTTCTCGGTTTATAAATTAAATGCTAGATACCATGATTAAATATCATGACTCAGATGTCACAGGGCTTCTCAGTTTATAAATTAAAGGCTAGATATATAGCTATATCCCAAAAAATTCTGATTCTAGAATATTGTGCAGAGGAATTACAACACAATGAGTAAATTATAACATAACTTACGTTACCTCTTCTCTTTCATCAAACAAAAGTTACACACATATTATTCCTAACCCAATGTCATATAAAGGCTTAACCCAAAGATAAACATAGTATTCACATATAGAGATTTAAAATTTCAGTCAATTACATTAATATATGAGTGTTTCAGCATTTCCCACAACTAAAATATCTTAAGGAAGTCTAATCGGTAGAAAGTGGACACTAAAGAAATAACAACAGTCGTTTTACAAAAAAAAAAAAAAAAATGCTTTTCTACTGAGAAATAGGATAGTCAGCCTTGACTTGTGAAAAGTCAAATATGTAAAAACTACAAACGTAACTTCATTGTTCATTTTGTGTGTGTGTGTGGCATTCTGGAAAATCAGGATTTCTCTCAAGCCTAAGGATTCCCTGACTTCCCAATCATGGCTCTGGCAATTTTGTATCTGTCCTCTCTCTCCTTCTGCCCTCCAAAGCTGGGCAATTGTAACACTTCATCATCTAGGCTGCTCCAACCACACTGACCTCCTCCACTCCTCCTCAAACATACAAGGCAGCCTCCTGCCTTGGACCTTCCTGCACTCCCTCTGTGCCTAAAGAATGCTCGACTACCACTTATCCAATATATGGCTCCCTCCATCATACTTTAAGATCTTCATTCAAATGTCCCCTTTTTCAGTGAAGCCTTCCCTTAGGACTGGCCTGTCTAAAATAACACATACTCCTATTATTTCCTATTCCCCTTCTCTATTTTTCTCCTTAGCCCTTTATCATATCACTAACAAATACTTATACTATTTTGTTTATTAATTGTCCCTCCACCAAAATATAAATTCCATGATTACAGGATTTTTACATGTTATGCTCATTGCTATGCCCCAACATTTAGAATAGTATCTGACAACAGTAGATGCTCAATATGCTAGATGAATAAATGATATGGCTGACTGCACAACCACATGTAACTAGTAGGTCCTGCCATCAACACTTCATATTCTAAGATTTCAATTAGCAGATTAGGTTTAGATTATTTTTCACTCTGGGAACCACGACAATCCCTCAGGGGCCAGTGTGAAGGTAGAACATGGAAGCTTAAACCAGCAAAAAGAAGTCATATGTTTATCTGCTTTACTAATTTGACTTCACATATGAATTGATTGGCAAAACTCATCTGGTGACTTCAAAAATCTGAAACCACTGTGTTGTACACAACACAACAGTTCCTACTTTTTACATTTCTCATGTTTTATTGTAAATGAGAGAAATCTAGATATTATGTTTTTACCATCCCTTAGAAAGAAATTAAAATCAGTATCTTCAGTCTTATTTAATAATCTGCTACAAAGGCAACCAAATTTACTATGTTCTAATTAAATTGAGTAGAAAGCAGGTTTAGGTTTTTTTTTTTTTTTTGAGATGGAGTTTTGCTCATCGCCCAGGATGGAGTGCAATGGCAGATCTCGGCTTACTGCAACCTCCACCTCCCAGGTTCAAGTGATTCTCCTATCTCAGCCTCCCGAGTAGCTGGGATTACAGGCACGTGCAAACATGCCCAGCTAATTTTTGTATTTTTAGTAGAGATGGGGTTTCACCATGTTGGCCAGAATGGTCTCAATTTCTTGACCTCGTGATCCGCCCGCCTTGGCCTCCCAAAGTGCTAGGATTACAGGCATGAGCCACCGCACCTGGGCTTTTTTCTTTTTTTTTTTTTTTAGGACAGAGTCTTGCTCTGTCCCCCAGGCTGGAGTGCAGTGGCACGATCTCAGCTGACTGCAACCTCCGCCTACCAGGTTCAAGCGATTCTCCTGCCTCAACCTCCTGAGCAACTGGGATTACAGGTGTGAGCCACCACACCTGGCTAATTATTTTGTATTTTTAATAGAGACAGGGTTTCGCCATGTTGGCCAGGCTGGTCTCAAACTCCTGACCTCAGGTGATCCACCCGCCTCGGCCTCCCAAAATGCTGGGAGTACAGATGTGAGCCACCGCGCCCAGCCCAGATTAGTCTTTTTAAAAGAAACACAAAAAAGTGTTAATTATGTTGTTTCATTTACAAATTACCACCACACTATACTCAGTTCACTAAATGAAGATTAAAAGCATATCCAAATCCCATTACCACGAAAATTTCAGTAAGCAGAAATATCATTCCATTCCGCCAAATTGCACTACTTGACAAAACAAGCTACAATATTTTATTCTGAATCTCACCTTCAAATTCATTGTAATATGAGGTGACCAGTCTAACTTTTAAAATGTTATATGTTCTAATAAAGAAAAAAAAAAAGAGCACTCACCTTAATGAAGTTACAGATGGACAAGCCTGTCCATACAAACCCATCTGGCCACAAAGAGAATCTGAAAAGCAAAGAAGAGTTAGTTATCAGATACTGCAAAGTAAATTAAACCATAAGTCTCACTTTAGATTTAATTTAAAACACTCTGAAAACAGAAGTAGAATGTTCTACTAAAGAATTCTACTAAAAGAATCACCCCATCAGAACACAAACTTACATGAAAGAAAAATGCTACTGAGTCATAAGAGGGATTACACTCAGACAGACAGACATATCAGGAAGCCTACAGACATATCAGGAAGCGTAACAGAAATAGATACACTATAACTGTAACATCTAAAGAAGCTGAGATTTCATAATATGTAACAAATGATTATGGCTATGTCATAAAGTGTCCAAACTGTTTTAGTAGAGTCCTAGGGATTCTAGAGAGGTGCCCAAAAGCTACCACAGAGTTAAGCATGCAAGGTTCCAACCCCCAAGTAAGTGCCCCACCAAATCTATTCTTCCATCAAAATAGTGCTACCTTTATTGGTTTTAAATATTGGACTTCACAAAGATTTCATCTAAGAAACAAACAGTTCCATTGCTTTAAAAAAAAAGTAGTAGTAGTAGTAGTAGTAGTAGTAAAGAGAAGCACTGAAACAGAAAGAACTTTGAATTCAAATTCTAGATTTTAGGTTCAAATTCTAACTGTGGCACTATAGACACCTTAAAGGATTTATATAACTTCAATGAACCTCAGTTTCTTCATCTGTAACGTGGGGCTAATACCACCCACATAACTTTATTCAGAGGGGATTAAACTGCAAGCTTGTTGTTAGAATTAAATAAATCAACAAATGTAAAAGTGTCTATCAGCACTACTATGGAGCACATGGGAGGGTATCAATATTTTCATTGGGCAGAACGATGATTCACAAATGCCTAATGGTAACACATAAATGGGATAAGGTAAAATGGGTTTAAGTGTATACATACGCATACACTGCACAAGTGGCGGAAACTGTGAGCAACTGAAGAGAGCAAGTTCAGTCTGAAGGGATCAGGGCTATTGCCAGTTCTAGTCAATTGTTGCTAGGCAGGAGTATTATAGACCCAGCATTTTAAGAACTTCCAATTTTTCAAGAGAAACAAAAAAATCCAAAATTTTACCTGCAATCTCTTGATTTTTTAACGTTTTAAAAAAATACAGATGGGGTTTTGCTATGTTGCCCAGGCTGATCTTGAACTCCTGGGCTCAAGTGATCCTCCTTCCTCGGCCTCCCAAAGTGCTGAGCTTACAGGTATAAGCGACTGCACCTGGCCCTGATTTTCATTTCCTAAATACTATGTAGGCCAAACAGAAACTGGATTTTGCTGCAAGTTTGTAACCTTTGGTTTAGAAGGTGATTGAAGTCCCTGCATCTAATAATTATCCCTGCATACACTGAAGAGAGACGCAGATAGACACTTCTATTTCTTCCAGAATGACAGGGTGGATGGCTCAATCTCGTAACCACTGAAAATAACGAAAATGCTGAGTAAAGTATCTTAAAATCTTTACATATAAATCAAAAACTTGACAGAAAATGAGGTATGATCAGAATCCAAAAACTAGGTGAAACAGTGGAAACTAGAAAGGTATGCAGAGTACTGACAATAGCTTTCCTTCACCTTTAGGGCATTATGCCAAGCACTATGAATTCTGGCTTGCAATTCCAAGACCTTGTGGGACACAATGTACAAGATGCAACAACGTTCAGATCTTAACCAAGAGAACTGCCAGGAAAACTGCTTTTTTAACCTTAGCACTTAGGGCTGGTGAGGGGATCCAGGACTATGACAGCAGCAATGTTCAGTTCTTAACCAAGAAAACTGCCAGGAAAACTACTTTTTTAACCACAGCACTTAGTGCTGGGAGGGGATCAGGGACTGTGACAGCAGTGCAAGGGTGTCTTCCCTGATATTTCACAACCACAAGCTGATCTTCCCCTAGATTATGGTTTTAAAACCTTCATACCGGCTGGGCGCAGTGGCTCATACCTGTAATCCCAGCACTTTGGGAGGCCGAGGCGGCCGGATCACCTGAGGTCAGAAGTTTGAGACCAGCCTGACCAATATGATGAAACCCCATCTCTACTGAAAATACAAAAAATTTAGCCGGGCATGGTGGCATGTGCCTGTAATCCCAGCTACTTGGGAGGCTGAGACAGGAGAATCGCTTGAACCTGGGAGGCAGAGGTTGCAGTGAGCCAAGATCACACCACTGCACTCCAGCCTAGGCAATAAGAGCAAAATTCCGTCTCAAAAAAAAAAAAAAAGCTTCATACCTAGAATTGTGTTTAGGGTAGCCCTAGGATGGTTGTATCCCCCACCCAATCTTGACAGAAGCAAATGTACGTTCTCTCTGGAGGAAATCACCTTTGACCTAAGCCTGGAAAAATTCCCACAGGTAAGATCTCAAAATAAATGTATTCATAACTAAAAATCACAAAACCCAGAAGGAAATCAGCCACTCACAGCAAAATACAGCAGAAACATCAGTTAGCACAATAAACCACAAGGAATGCAGATATAGAAGTTACTAGACATCCTTGGGACCAGGGTCCAGTGTGGACTGCCCCTCGTCCTGGGAAATGGGGTGTGGCTAAAAAGGCAGCCGTCCCCTTGCCTGTCACGGAACACACTTTCGTGGGGAACCTGGCGCTAAACCACTCACAGACAACCTGCCTCTGGGTCATGGTTTCGTACACAGCAGAGCAGCTTTCTTTATTTAAAAGAAAAAAAATTACTAGACATACTTCTTTACTGTTTTATGTGTGATTTACCTAGTCTTGTATTTTAATTGCCTGAAGGTAGATAGATCTCAAATCTTCATCTCTAGCAGAGATCAATCTCCTAATCTCCAAACAAATATCTAACATTCCCTCCTGGAAATCCCAAATTTACCATGTTTAAAACTGAATTCATCATCTTCTCTTAATATACTTCCTTCCTGGATAAAATGGCACAGCCTTTTCATCTAAGAATGGCTTTCAGGTTTCTAGCTTAACTCTTACTCTTTGTTAGAGCAGACTAATTTTTTTTCCAACTCTTAGTCTCTATGAGGAATTACTTCAGTAAACACTCCTGGCCTCTTAGCCCATTCCTCTCCAAAGAGGTAAACTGGTTAGTACATAGAGCTAACTTAACAAAAGAACTGAGTACCAGGGACTCAGAATCTTTTTATTTTTCTGAGACGGAGTTTTCACTCTTGCTGCCCAGGCTGGAGGGCAATGGCGCCAACTCGGCTCACTGCAACCTCTGCCTCCTGGGTTCAACCAATTCTCCTGTCTCAGCCTCTCAAGTAGATAGGATTACAGGCATGCACCACCATGTCTGGCTACTTTTCTGTATTTAGTAGAGGGGGTTTCACCATGTTGGTCAGGCTGGTCTTGAACTGCTGACCTCAGGTGATCCACCTGCCTCGGTTAGGATCCCAAAGTGCTGGGATTACAGGCGTGAGGCACCACGCCCAGCCCTCAGTCTCTTTCTTTTCACTCTCCATCCAGGATTCTACAAGGCAATGATCTGAGTGTGTCTGCTCTGCTGACCCAAACATCCTCTAGGGTGCACTGTCCCACTGACAGATGGGCATGAGGGGCTGCAGAAAGTCAGCCAACTCATTTGGCTCTTAAACCTAAGTCACGTTCTACAATATAGGTTTTATCAAAAACAAAGGCAACTCCTTTGAAAGTTAAACACAGAGTTACCATAAAACCCAGCAATTATAAGCATATACATCTCCAAGAGAATTTAAATGTTCCTACAAAAACATGCACACAAATGATCATTTGCACACAAATGTGCAGCACTACTCATAAAGCCAGTAAGTGAAAATAACCCAAATGTTTGTCAACTAATGAACAGATAAACAAAGTATGGTTTATCTAAGTAACAGCCATAAAATATACAATGCAACTTTATTCAGCCATAAAAAGGAATGAAGTACTTTTACATGCTACCACATAAATGAACCTTGAAAGCCTCATGCTAAGTGAAAACGACACAAAAGACCACATGCTGTATGATTCCATTTATACGAAATGTCCAGAACTGGCAAATCTATAGAAATGAAAAGTAGATTGGTGGTTGCCAGGAGATGGGGGAAGAGAGGAAGATTGCAGATGGGAAGTGACTGCTAGGAGGTTTCTTTTTAGAGTGATGAAAATGGCCTAATTGATAGTGGTAATGGTTGCACAACTTTGTGAATACATTAAAAACTACTGAATTGTACACTTTAAAATGGTGAACTTCACAGTATGTGATTTTTACCTGAATAAAAAGCTAATTTTTTTAAAGGTACTGTCTTGCTTCTTCATCTGTAGGTTCTTATTTCTCAATCAGCTCAAAACTCAGGCAAGGGAAAATGATCTCATACTAAACTGTCCAAACACCAACACCCTTAGTACCTCCAATAAGTTACCATTTACTATCAAATTCTAACTTCTAGTTATCTTTCCAATCTGCTCTAGCTTCAATGCTTTAGTTCCAGTGTTATTCATTTTTCCTCTAGATTACCGTCCTTAAATGACGTCCTGAACCCTAGCCTTGTTGACTGAAAGAACAAACATATATCAGTCTTCTCCCTACCCAGGCAACTGAACAGCAACAGGGAAATCTCACAAAAGAAGGCTAAGGTTCACATTGAAGTCAGGAAATTTCAAAGTCCTCCAAGTCACAAACAAATCTCTGTGGCATCAACTGTAGTTGAACAACTATATTAACTCATTCAGTTACATCCATAATTTATTTACATGGTTTTATTTGGTGCCTACAGCATAAATCTCCAAATCTTTTGAAAACTAATATGTATCAAGAAAGAGTAGAATGACACAACCAGAATGAGTACTAAAAGCCAGGCATTAGCTAATGAGTATGCTGCAATACAAGCTATTTACTGTATTATATTCCATTACCAACAGAAAAGCATGGAATTTCTTTTAACATAAGCAGTATTCAAGTGTACATTAAACTGAGTTACAAACTATCCACATTTAGGAAGCAGCCATCGCAACACACTAACAGTTGTATAATAACATATTATCTGGGGGCATGGAGTGAAATAGAACTAAGTATTTTGAAAAAGCTCTGAATAAGTTCGTTTTGTTTTTAAGAGACAGAGTCTTGCTTTGTTGCCCAGGCTGGAGTACAGTGGCCAGATGATAGCTCACTGCAGCCTCGAACTTCTGAGCTCAAGCAAACCTCTTGCTTCAGCCTTCCTAGTACCTGGGACCACAGGTGCACACCACTGCATTGGGCCTTTTTTTTTTTTTTTTCTGTAGAAACAAGGTCTTGCTGTGTTGTCCAAACTGATGTCAAACTCCTGGCCTCAAATGATCCTCTCACCTCAGCCTCCCAAAGCACTGGGATTACAGGCATGAGTCATCACACCCAGCTCGAAATACTTACGAGCTCTCTCCCCTCTCCCACCTACACAGAAATGCAATGCTTTATAATTTACAAAAAACTTACTACCATTCATGACCTTGTAGCTGAAGACTCAAGACTGGAATCCCAACTATTGACAGTTACTGTGTGACCTTGGATATGTTAACTTCCCTAAGGCTTAATTTCCTCCTTCATAAGAATGGAAAAATGCAGTAAATGCCTCAGTTACTATGACAGTAGCTTGAGTGAAAGCATTAGTGTAACACCAGACAAAGGTAAGAATTAAAAATTTGTTAAAACTATTACACTTAGGAATGGAAAACCAAACGATGTATGTTCTCATAAGTGGGAGCTAAGCTATGAGGATGCAAAGGCATAAGAATGATACAATCGACTTTGGGGACTCAGGGGAAAGGGTGGGAGTGGGGTGAAGGATAAAAGACTACACATTGGGTACAGTGTACACTGGTCGGGTGATGGGTGCGCCAAAATCTCAGAAATCACCACTAAAGAACTTATTCATGTAACTAAGCACCACTTGTTCCCCAAAAACCTACTGAAATAAAAAAATTAAAAATTCATTTTTTATTTATTTTATTTATTTAAAAAACTGTCACAGCTCTAGAGGTCAAGAAGCTATTCCCTTTTTTTGCTTCTGAATTCAGCCATATCTTTCCAAAAGACTTGAAAGTATAACATTCACTAACATTCATGAAGAAACAACCCCTTTGATTCAAGAAACTTGACTGAACATTTCAGATTATTATACCATTAGTAACAGGTAATCATTAAAGCAGTCACAAAAATAATCTGTATCCTAATCAACCCAAATAGAAGAACTGTGCCAGAGGAAAGAGTAAAGGGAAAGAATCCTGATGAGTGAGAAGCAATCAGTTGTTCATCCCAGCCACTCTAGCTAAACCTGAAGGCAGAGGTGCATCTTGAGCTAAGAAGTCATCTGCTTTCAGAGAGCAATTAAAATCATGAGGATCTGCAATTCACCACAGAGTATCTATCAGAAGAGAGGCCACACAGATAATTAAGAGAAACCATAAAAAAAAAAAAAAAAAAAAACTTGAGGAAGTTGGACTGCAGATAGCAGCAAGTGATATAAGAGAGAGAAAGGCAATCATGTTCAGTGTAGATCAAGAAGGATAAAAACTGAAAAGAGAATACTGGCTTTTAATAGAAGATAATAATACGACAGTGGGTAAGTTTTGTGGAATAGTGAAGGCAAAAATTAGCATGGATAGGGGTTAAGAATCAGGAGTGAAAGAAAAATAAAAGTTTAGCTACAAGTTGTATTAAATAAAATTAAGTAGAAAATGTAAGAACAGAAGGTATAGATTAAGAATTCAGGAAAGGTAGAGAATGTTAGAATTTTCATCACATTATCTCTATTACCTTATTTTATTCTTCATAAATAGAAATAGAAAACCGAAAAGCTCATCACCATCTGATATGATTTTTATTTCTCCCCCATCAGAATGTGAGCTCCATGTTTCATTCTCTGTTATATTCCCAAAACCTAGTATAAAGCCAGCACTCATATTTATTCAGTGAATGAATAAACCAGATTCTTCAAAAATTGGGGGGAAAAAAGAAACTTAAAATGAGATCTGACAACTCACCAGGTCTTTACTTAATACAGTCTTTTGTATCCATCACTTTATCTCTAAGCAATTTAGGACCAATCTGCAGTTAGAAGACCAAGTTAGGTATCCAGAATATACAAACAACTCTTACAACTCAATAACCAAAAGACTAATAATCCAATTTAATAATGGGCAAGAATCTGAACAGACATTTCTACAAAGAAGATATATGAATGTCCAATAAATACATGAAAAGATGTTCAGCATCATTAATCACCAGGGAAATACAATTTTTTATTTTGGAGATGGAGTTTCGCTCTTGTCACCCAGACTGGAGTGCAGTGGAGTGATCTTGGCTCACTGCAACCTCCACCTCCCAGGTTCAAGCGATTCTCCTGCCTCAGCCTCCCAAGTAGCTGGGATTACAGGCATGCACCACCATGTCTGGCTAATTTTTTTTGTATTTTTAGTAGAGACAGGGTTTCACCATGTTGGTCAAGCTGGTCTCAAATTCCCGACGTCAGGTGATCCGCCCACCTCGGCCTCCCAAAGTGCTAGGATTACAGGCGTGAGCCACTGCACTCAGCCGGGAAATACAAATTAAAACAAGACACCACTTCATACCCACTAACATGGCTATAATCAAAAAGACACAAAGTAACAAGTGTTGCAATGACGTGGAGAAATTCAAACTTTCATGCATTGCTAGTACAAGTGTAAAATAGTGTTGCTACTTTGGGAATGTTTGGCAGTTCATCAAAAAGTTAGACATAAGAGTTACCATATGACCCAGAAATTCTATACCCAAGAAATGAAAACATACATCCACAGACAAATCTGCACAAGAATGTTCATAGCAGTATTAAATCATAATAGCAAAAAAATGAAAATAGGCCACGTGCAGTAGCTCACACCTGTAATCCCAGCACTGTGGGAGGCTGAGGCAGGCAGATGGCTTGAGCCCAGGAATTCAAGACCAGTCTGGGCAACATGGCAAGATCCCATCTCTAAAAAAATACAAAAATTAGCTAGACATGGTGGCTGGTGCCTGTAGTTCCGGCTACTCAGGAGGCTGAGGTGGAAGGATCAATTGGGCCCAAGAGGTGGAGGCTGCAGTGAGCTGTGATCGTGTCACTGCTTTCCAGCTCAGCGACACAGCAAGACCCTGTTTTGTTTTGTTTTGTTTTGTTTAAAAAGTGGAAATAATCCAAATGCCCATCAACTGATGAATGGATGTGTTATATCCACATAATGGAATAACTGTTTGACAATAAAAAGGAATAAATGTTACAACATGTATAACCCTTAACAACATTATGCTAAGTGAAAGAAACCAGTCATAAAAGATTACATATTGTATGATTCCATTTACATCAAACGTCCAAAATAGGCAAATTCATGTGAGTAATTAGATAGCAGTTTCTTAGGGTTAGCAGTAAGAGAAAAAGTAAATGGAGAATAGAGATTGACTGCTATTAGGTATGGAGTTTCTTTTCAAGGCAGGAGAAAAACGTTCTAAAATTAGACTGTAGCAATGGTTGCACAATCCTGTGAATATACTAAAAAACACTGAATTTTACACTGAACTAGATGAACTGTATGGTATGTGAATTATATCTCAACAAAGCAGTTAGGAAAAAAAATAAGTTCAGAACCACCACACACAAATGTTTTTATTCTGTCACATTCCTGCTGCTTCTCTCACTAGTGCCACAGGATCCACCCCCAAACCCCAAAGCTGGAACAGGAAAGGGTGAGTAAAAGTAACTATCTCACCAGAAAACAACTCTAGAAAAAACAATTACTTACAAATCTATAACTCCTTGAACCATTCAATAGTTTTCTGGTGGCCTCCACTATTTTTAAACCATATTGTTTATTCACTAAACACGTTTAATGAAGATACATGTACAGCCAATAAAAAAGTTTCATACACCTGAAAAAATTATCAAGGAAACTACCACTATCTACAAATCGACTACTTCGGCTATACTCCTCTCCTCCTAAAACAAGACCAGGGGCAGGAAGAGACTAATAGAAGATGAAAAAAAATCAGCTTCAGCTTTTAAAGACTGTTTTAACAGTAGGAAATATACGTAACTGCCTCTTTTCCTCCATATTTTAGGACTAGTGTCAATAAAAGAGGTGGTGAGCGTGGGGGAGGGGGGGCTTCCTGGCCAAACATCACAGAGCTATAACTTCTTCCAAACCCCAAACCTTACTTCCTGCAATTTATGTAAACAGATCACAGGCCACCCTCTTCAAACTAAATCATAACCCAAGCAAACAGCACAAGATTCTATTTCTGGGTCTGTCATTAACTCACTAGATAATCCTGAGGCTTCAGTCTCTCTACTTTGCTCAAAAACTTAACTACCTAATATTTGGTCCCAAAATCGTATCATGTGGTCTAATAAAGAACCCTTTCCCAATTTACACATTTATTTTTACAGAAAACCTGAAAAAGGTATATGAAATTAGATCACACCGTATGTTTAAATACTGAAATTATACAGTATATGAAATTAGATCACATTATATGTTTAAAGGTATATGAAATTAGAGGTATACGATATTAGATCACATTATATGTTTAAAGGTATATGAAATTAGATCACATTATATGTTTAAATCACCTTTATTGAATATACATGAAATATGAAAAATTCAAAAGCTAATCTACTGCAAAAATGTTGAACTCTTACATTTTAAGCAACATTTAAAGGTATTCACTAAACAAAGAATGAGTTTTTGGAGGGCTAAAGGCTGTGAGGCTTTAAATTTGAGCTCAGTTATATTTAGAAAACCAAGACGCCACTTCCCTGGATCCTGTATCTTTATCTTGGGCATTTGATTCATGTGCTTTGCCTGGTGGAATTCAAAGCAACAGATCCTACCCATATTGCTGAAAAGTCCACTGAACCTAACAGAACTTACTGGCTGTGAGAGGAATAAAATGCTGTACTGAAACTGAAAAGATAGGAAGCTATAAAGCCTCCGCTGCCAGAGATGTTTAACAAAATAAAAATTACCTGCCTCATTCCCAAAGTCAGTAAACAAACCACTGCTGACTTTATAATCATTTATATCCCATTCCTGGAAATCCTGATTTAGGTGAAACTTGGGAAATCTATTAATTAAAAGTTATCTCAGCTGATTCTGATGTAGTCTGATTCCGGAACTACTGGTTTAGGACAACGGTTTCCTATCATTTGTCAATAATGCTCAATAGGTAGTGGCTGCCTGAAGTGCTACAATGAAAAAATAATGTCTAAACACAAGCAGAAATTAGTAGTCTGCCAAGGACATGGTGATGAGCAATTGGTAACATGAAAATCATTTATCTATCATCCCTGATTCAGTTAGACCACTGAATGGACTGTTTCTAAGAAGACTTCTGAGGTAATTAGAGATCCAGGTCTGGATTATTTACTTTTAACTGGCAGAATCTCCAGCTGACTCTAGAAAGGTAGGAAACAGAAGAACAGACCTGATGTATGTACCAGGACTCTTCAAAAGTACTTATTAAGCACCCAGTATTACAAAGAAAAAGAAGACAGTATGACTTTTGCTCTCCAGATGTTTATAATCTTGTTGGAGAAATGAAAATTCTACATAACATAAACGTGGGTTTTTTAAATAAAGTAAATAAAAAGATTTTTGCGCCACTTTGGATAACAGTGGGAGCCAGTGGAAGAACTGAGTGACAGGCCAAAAACAGTCAAGTATGAACCGACTCAAGAGGAAACCAAACGTGGGTTCCTGATCAGTATATGATTAAAGAGATGTATGAGGAAGATTCCATTGGCATCATTTTCCAGGGAAAAAAAATGGGAGACTTTATCATCAAGGCATGATGCATTGGAGGACAAATAATCCATTTCATGTTGTTTCTGTAAACATCTGTCCCTACCACTGGAATATCGAATTAACTTGTTATCTCCCATAATGCCTAGCACATGTTCTACACATAATACTTCAAAATGATGGCTGAATTGTCATAAAAGAAAAAAAAAATCTAGCAGATATTTCAAAAGGAACAGAATTTGGTACAGATAGAGACGTGAAGGGCCAAAGAGGTCAAATTATCCAAAAGGTGGGGAGAGTGGGAAGTGGCTATGGTTCAGTTAAAGGAGATTTAAGAAATATAACAACCAAATGCAGTCTATATACCTTATCTGGATCTTGAGTCAACTAAAAACCAACTGTAAAGAGATGTTTTTAAAGAATCAGGACATTTTATTATGAACTGGATATTAGATGATACCTAAAAATATTGTCTATTTTGTTAGATACAATGATGGCATGGGTAATATAAGAAAATATTTACATTTTCTTAAAGATGCATACTGACATAGGGGTGAAAAGACAGTGTCTATGATTTTCTTTGAAATACTTAAAAAAAAGGTATTTGAGGCATATGTGGCACCTATCTTAATTTGTTGAATCTCGATGGGTAAAGGGGGATTCTTCATATTTTATATATTTCTAAGTATACTCAAAAGGGCAGTTGGATTAAAGTTGTTTGGTGTTAGTTGCTCAACAATACCAATGGATAATTAATTTTTTTCTTTCTCAGATTTCAGGAAGCTAAGGATGACTAGTACTTCTGAGAAAACAGCCTAGACTCAATCAGAAGAAAATGGGCATTCATTAGTTAGCTCTACTAATAGGAAATCTCTCTGAATCTACTCAAAGAACTTGTTGTAAATTAAGATGAGAACTGAATATGAGCCAAGAGAGTGACTCAGCTGCTAAAAAGAAACAAAATGCAAACTTGGGCTTCATTAGAAGAACAGTATCCAGAAAAGGAGGGTAACAGTACCATGTATTCCTCACTACTTAGTTCACAACTGGAGTATTGTATTCTGAGGGTTTTTCGTTTTGTTTTAATATAGAATTAAAAAATATCACCTATGGAGGGAAACATGTTCTGTTCTGAACACCACATTTTAAGAACACTTACAGGACAGAATCCTTGGAAGGAGGGATATCAAACTAGTGAGGGATCAGAAACCAAATGTCAAGTGTATAATGACTGAAGAAACTGGGTGTGTTTAGCTTGGAGAAGAAAACACTTTCTAGCCTTCCACCTCACCTCTACCATACAGACCAGTGTAATATTTTCCAGAGGATTTCAAGAGTTGTTAATGCACATTCCATAATTAAAGAAGATTGAGATAAACACTTTTTTTCTCTAAATGACTTAAAGTGTTCAATATCCTAAAATGCTTTGTTAATGTCCAAGAAAATGATGATCGGTATTTCTCAAATATGACCATTCATTCATTCATTCAACA
This sequence comes from Homo sapiens, assembly GCF_000001405.40. NCBI lineage: Eukaryota > Metazoa > Chordata > Mammalia > Primates > Hominidae > Homo > Homo sapiens. The sequence goes on from NC_000001.11 coordinate 42,323,357, forward strand.
AATATTTATTAAGCACCAATTATTAGCCAACCACTCCTCCAAGTGCTGGGGATACAACAACGAACAGTTTTAATATCCTGGAGGATAGTGTGGGGAACAGCCAAGCTGGGTCTCTATTCCTCTAACTTGCATTGTGCTTCCTCATTTCTAAGTCTTTGACTATGCTCTCAGCCTAGAATGCTCCATGTCTAATCTTAATCCAAACACTATCTCATCCACGAAGCTTTTGTCATCATCATAAGCAAAAAACACTCCCTCTTCTCAGTAAACCCATAGCTCTTAGTATCTGTACCCATTTCTTGCTAAGAGACTATGCCTCTTAATTACCTTTGGATCTCTCACAATATCCAGGACAGTGTCTTGCATGCACAGGTACTCAAGAGATATATGCTGAATAATCACCTTCAAATAATTGAAGGATTATCTTGTGAAAGAAGGCAGACTAGGTCTCTACTGTTCCACAGGGAAGAACTAAGAAAAAAAGATGACGTTAGATGCATATTTTGCCTCAATTACAACTAACAACAAACAGGTTACCTTATAGCTATGAGTGACCAAAGGTGTTCTAAAAGTAGCCAAATGACTATATATCAAGTGTTTTAGCGATATATTTCACTGACCTGAATGATTAACTCTTAAAATTCTAGGAACTACTAAATATATATAGTATATATATACACACTATATATAGTATATACACTGTATATACACAGTGTATATATAGTATATATACTGTATATATACTGTGTATATACACTGTATATACACAGTGTATATACAGTATATATACTATATATACACTGTGTATATATAGTATATATAAATTCTAGGAATATATATACTATATATATACTATATATATAAATTCTAGGAATATATACACACTATATATACACTATATATACACATATATACACTATATATATTATACACATATATTATATATATACACTATATATACACGAGATATATAACATATACACTATATACTATACATAACATATATACTATATATACTATATATAACATATAAATACTATATATACTATATATAACATATAAATCACTGTTTTAGACAAAACTATCTGTAGTAATATTAAAATTCTCAAAATTAAGTTTAAACACGCAACATCCTTTATTAGTACAGTGATGCATCGCTTAACAACAGGGATACTTTCTAAGAAACGTGTCGTTAGGCGATTTCATCACTGTACAAACGTCAGAGTGTACTTCCACAAACCTAGATGGTAGAGCCTACTACACACCCATGCTATATGGTACAGCCTATTGCTTCTAGGCTACAAGCTTGAATGGCATGTTACTGCACTGAATATGGTAGGCAACTGGAATACAAAAGTATTTGTGTATCTAAACACAGAAAAGGTACAGTAAAAATACTGTATAAAAGATGGTATGCCTGTATAGGACACTTAACAATGAATGGAGCTTGCAGGACTGGCAGTTGCTCAGAGTGAGTGAGTGATGAGTGACTGTGAAGGCCTGGGACATTACTGTACACTACTGTAGACTTTATAAACACTGTACACACAGACTACACTAAATTTTTTTTAATTACACTACAAGATTATGATGGCTTTGAGGTCACTAGGCAATAGAAATTTTTCAGCTCCATTATAACCTTATGGGACCACCACTGTATATATATGCCCCACAGTTGACCAAAATGTCATTATGTGGCACATGACTGTATAATGGCTATATAATAATGTCTATTATGTATCACACACAGTGTTAAGTATAGAGGATAAGAGTCAAAAAGACACTGTCTCCATCCTGGAAGAATCGATACAATGTTGTTTGATTAAGTTCCCAAAGCAAACCTGAATGCCCAGGTCATCTACCTCAGTAACAATTGCTCATTAGATGAGGAAATTCCTTAAATTTTCAGTATTTTGCAATCAGAGAAATAACTATGAAGCCATCAGCTTCCCTTAAAGCCATCTATTCATATCCCTAAATCCATTAAGTTCTTTGAACAAGCTACTCATTCTGCCTTTCTAGTCGAAAAGAAGAAAACAGAAGAAATCACAGGATACTTCCAGATGCCAAGGACATCTCTGATTTTTCTCCCAAACTAAAAGCTGTAGTCTTTGCTGGCAGGGACCCTGCCTTAGTCGTGTCCCCAGTATTCAGTACTGTGCCCAGGACACAGCAAAAGAGGGAACAGATGAGCAAGCGAATGAGTGAGAGAAATGATGAGTCCAATGTACCTGGATGAAAAACACTACCTTAAAGAAGCACTAACAATTTGGTTTTTTATTAGAAATCTGCCAAGGAATGGAAGCTTATAAGTAGATCCTTAAGTTAGTTTTCAGGATTTAAATTGGAGTGCTATTTCTAGATCATTTATTGATAAATAATTACTGTAAGTAAACTTAAGGTCTTGGTTGCTTCCAGGGGACTAAAATTAATTTCTTGATCAGCAGAGCTAAATGACCAACTTCTAATGCAAAGAAAAACCCAAACCACTTAATACACTCACAACTTGACCCATAAGATAATCAATAATTTATCAAACTGATTTGTTAACAAACTGCTTAGAAAGCAAAACAACTTCATAGCATCAAGTGTTTAAACTGCTCTTCAAAAGTCCCAAAATCAGGCTGGGCACTGTGGCTTACACCTGTAATCCCAGCACTTTGGGAGGCGGATCACATGAGGTCTGGAGTTTGAGACCAGCCTGGCCAACATGGTGAAACCTCGTCCCTACTAAAAATACAAAAATTAGCCAGGCGTGATGGCAGGCACCTGTAATCCCAGCTACTTGGGAGGCTGAGGCAGGAGAATCACTTGAACCCAGGAGGTTGAGGTTGCAATGAGCAGAGATCACGCCACTGCACCCCAGCCTGGGAGACGGAGTGAGACTCCAACTCAAAAAAAAGTCCGAAGATCCACATTTTTCCAAATTCTCACTTGAACCATAAAAATCAAACTGTATACGTTTTCTTTGAGTACAAAAATGATATATGGTCACTGTAGAGAGCTTAGAAAATATATACAGGTTCAAAGAAGAAAATTTAAATTACCCATTATGATGCATTCTCTCCCAGTCTTTTTTTTCTATGCAGATATAACTTCTCTATATACTGTTACTCTTCCCAACCACCAGGCAACAGACAACACATCTCCCACTGTGGCAGTAACCTAGGCATCCTTAGTGGAATCATGTTCCAGGGATACTTTTTCAATGTCTAAATTTTATAGATGTATACTTACATAAAACAAGACCAAATCTGCTATTGAGTAATCCTTTAAAGTTTCCCTTAACTCCTGAATTCTACGAAGACAAAGAATGCAGATTCAAGTAAAAATGCTTCCAATGACTAGAAATGGACCTAAATTTAACAAGGGGAGAAACCGCTCCCATTGGTTTTATGTACTCTAAGTCTGATATTATCATATGTTCTGCTCCAAGTAGGCCAGGTCCTTTGGGGTCTATAACCTTCCATTTTTACCTCAAAAATCCAGAGCAAGTTCCTCACCAAAACTTTGTCAGTTTCATACTAAGAGTAAGAAACAAGGAGAATGCAGGGTCTGGGTTCCAGCATCTGTTCCACCACTAAATAACTGAGTGGCACTGAGTCCTACCTAGCTTCTATCTCATCTTCTCCATTTGCCAATAGGAATATCACTATTAACACATATCACTATTAACACATATCACAAGGCTGTTATAAGTCTCCAAAATCCAACAGATCAGATAAAACACTTTTGAAAAAATATTATTCAAATGTAAGGTGGAAATCTTTTGAAAATACACATCCCCTACAATAATATAAAACACGACTTCCTCTGATACACAAAGGTGCCATTTCTGATGGTGACGGCTACCCACGTATACACAGTGGGACAATACCATCACCAGTTCTGTACACAGGGTAGACAAGTAAGGTGTCATAGACTCACAGACCCAACTATCCTAGCAGAAAGAGACGCCATGTATCATTCACCTCCTGCCGTAACAGTCTGCTCCATCCTCATTCAGAAAGGCCAACCTGACCCTGATTGCTGCATGTTTGACTGTTGTGTCTGTAATTACCCAAAATTTGATGGCCAAGCCACAGAAACTTTTTAAAGTTAATTTTAATAATTTAATAAGCACCCATGTACCACCAGCCAAAATCTAGAGTCTTTATGATAACCTACTTCCATCATATTGAATCCCCTCTCTCTGTAAGCAAACAAAATTTGCAACAGTTAGTAAGTTCTAGCAGTCTTTCCTTTATTATCCATTCCTCTCACAAATCTGTTTCAACACAATAGTGCTAATTGGAAACAAGGCTTATTAGTGGTGTCAAAGGTCAGGTCCCAATCTTAAAAAAAAAAGATGATTCCAATTTACAAGGTTTTTAATAAGGTCACACTGGCACCACACTCTACCAATCAATCAGAAGATCAATCTTATTTCCTTAGTAAACACTATACCACTGAGGAGGACTCTAGGTAGGAGAATTCCGTTAGAACTTTTTGTTTTATACTCCAGGTGAAAACTCTGACTGAAAGTCAGTTTACTGGGTAAAGCTCATCCTAGAATAGCTGGCCAACTCTATGGAATCCACAGACTCTACATTGATTTGAAGACAATAAAAATAGATATCATGCAGTTTCTGGAGAGACTCTCTAAAAATTCCCACCCAGGCCAGGCCTGGTGGCTCACGCCTGCAATCCCAGCACTTTGGGGGACCAAGGAGGGAGGAAGAGGCCAAGAGTTCAAGACCAGCCTAGGGAGCCAGCATAGTCAGATCTTGTCTGAATTAAAAATAAATAAATTAGCCAGGTGTGGTGGTACGCACCTCTAGTCCCAGCCACTTGTGGCGCTAAGGCAGGAGGATCGCTTGAGCCCTGCAGTTGGGAGGTTGCAATGAGCTCTCATGGAGTCACTATACTCCAGCCTGGGTGACACAGCAAGATCTTGTCTCAAAAAAATAAAAATTCCTACCCAAAGACCCAGTCATCTTCAAATTATTAGCGTTCAATTCAGAACAGAGTTCTCTAAGTCTGTGTTCTAAAAACAGTTCCTCTTATTGCACTCTAAGTTTGAGTCCCACTCTACAAGTATGAGTCTTGTTACAGACTATTTCATCAATTGATGATGGGAAACAATGGTCAGACAGTGTGGTATTAATGTAGGTCCAATTACATCAAAATCAAATCACTTTAGATTTAGGGTAAAAATTCTTAGAGCAACCAAGTGGCTTAGTAATTATTAGAAACGAGGCCTTTATTAATAGTCTCAAGGTCAGAGCTCTTATTTAATATGGTCCTAATTATCTCATATCACATATTCATACTTATCCTATTTTTTTTTTTTTTTTTTTTTGAGACAATGTCTTACTCCCTTGCCCAGACTAGAATGCAGCGGCATTGCAACCTCGGCCTCCCAGGTTCAAGCGATTCTCCTGCCTCAGCTTCCCAAATAGCTGGGACTGCAGGAACCCACAACCATGCCCAGCTTATTTTTGTATTTTTAGTAGAGACGAGATTTCACTATGTGGACCAGGCTGGTCTCAAACTCCTGACCTCAAGTGATCCGCCTGCCTCGGCCTCCCAAGATGCTAGGTTTACAGGCGTGAGCCACCACACCAGGTCATTTTTCCTATATTTTATCTTGTTATAGCACTAAAGTTTGACACTGTATGAGTCTCATTTCCTTTTTGTTTCATCTGTGTTGTCCTGATCCCACAGAATAATAGCCACTTTGAAAGACATCACATTCTCAGGTTATCAGTTGATATACATGTCAAATAGAATCGCAGCCAAAGGTACCTAACTACAAAAGGTTACTTAAAATAAGTAGAATGTCATTGTTATAAATATAAAAACAACATCTGGTTCCATATAACAAAGCTATTTCCATATTCCAACAGATGGCCCACAGTAATAATGCTCTGCTGATCTGGTTATAACAAATTCTATTAAATCAAAAATCCTGTACAGCAGATGCCTTTTCCAATTTCAGAGTAAGTCAATCTCTTTAACCAAAACACTATGCTTTGGTTCTTATTTGTGCACTAAAATCATGTTATGCCAATTAAGATGGTCAAATTTTGTGACAGTTGTTATAAAACGCCACTGTGGTGTTTTCTGGGTTTTGGAGTGGAAGAGGTAAAGAATAACCCCCTCTAGGACTGAAAGGCTAACTGTTCAAAATGGAAAACAAAAATTCACAGTTAAAGGAAGGCTGAGGAGAGAGGTAAAAGTGAGCTTTAGCTGTCTCAAGCCAAGGTTTCTGAATAGTGGCAATGTGGAAAGCTAAGTGACTAACAAAGCCAACAGTGAAGATCAGTGAAAATAATGTAATTTCTGAGCTGAGAAGTTTTGAGCAGGGACAAACAAAAAAATGTCTAAACAATATGTATCTTTGTACACTGTAGTGTTAAGTCCACTTTTAAAAGAAATGCGGATGCGATGTCAAGTTAAAATTGCTGTTTAACTGTTTCCCCAACTACATTCAAAATCAAATCTTCATATTCTATCATGCCCTTACTTGAAATATTATCCTCTATTAATTCGTAACACAGTAAACAGAACAGTGTAGTGATTAAGAGCCACAGAGTTCTGAAAATAGACTACAAGGGTTCAAATCCTGGCTCTTTCCATTCCTAGCTATGTTCCCTTAGTCAAATCAACCTCTCTGTGCCCATTTCCTCATCTGTAAAACTACCGTATTTATAAAATTTACAACTACAATAAACTTATAAAATCTACGATATATTTATAAAACCTACTTATAAAATTTATAAAATATTAAGGGTTGTAAGATATGGATAATGAATGTAGAGTACTTAGAACACTTTTAGGCCCATAGTAAGGCTTCAAAAAATGTTAGCTATTATTATCATTACATTATCATCACATGAACTCCATGAAAGTTCTGAAAGAAAAGAAATATGAAATGATTTGTCTAAAACACAGAACAAACAAGTGGCAGAATCTAGGGAAAAAAATCTTCATTTTAAGTCCGGAAGAAAATCAGTGGGCTGACTGCAGTGGCTCACGCCTGTAATCCTAGCGCTTTGGGAGGCCAGGGTTGGCGGATCACTTGAGCCCGGGAGTTAGCGACCAGCCTGGGCAACATAGCGAAACCACTTCTCTACAAAAAATACAAAAATTAGCTGAGCATGGTGGCGCGCACCTGTAGTCCCAGCTACTTAGGGGGCTGAGGTGGGAGGATCACTGGGGCCCAGGAGGTTGAGGTTGCAATGAGCCATGATCGTGCCACTGCACTCCAGCCTGGGCAAGAGTGAGACCCTGTCTCAAAAACAAAACAAACAAACAAAAAAAAACAGTGATTCTTTGAGTCAGTACATTTTCCAGTCCCTCTAAGTCTCCAGGAAATTACATGAGAATTTTTAAGTTAAAACAGCAGCACAGAGTAGTGGAAATAGCACAAATATGAACTAAGAAGACCTACCTGCTCCACCAATTACTTAAGTGTACAACCCTAAGCAGGTCACCTAAACTTCAAATTGCTCATCTTTAAGATATTCTGCCTTTATCACAGGGTTGTTGAGATCAAATTAGAGAATGTATGAGAAAATGTATATAAACCAATAAAACACTATATGAATGTTCAAGGGCCATGTCTTATTCATCTTTATATCCCCAATGCTTAGCAAAATGCATGGCAGAGGTTATAATCTAAAAGAAGGCCATGTGAGGGGTTGGCAGGGTGAAGATTCAATGAAAATGGGGAGGAGTTTAAAAGAATTAAGAAACTTGACCAGGCGCGGTGGCTTACACCTGTAGTCTCAGCACTTTGGGAGGCCGAGGCAGGCAGACCACTTGAGGTCAGGAGTTCAAAGACCAGCCTGGCCAACATGGTGAAACCTCGTCTCCACTAAAAACGCAGAAATTAGCGGGGCATGGTGGTGCACGCCTGTAATCCCAGCTACTGTGGAGGGTGAGGTGGGAGAATCGCTTGAACCTGGGAGGCAGAGGTTGCAGCGAGCCGAGATGGCGCCACTGCACTCCAGCCTAGGCGACAGAGAGAAACTCTGTCTCAAATAATAATAATAATAATGAAAGAATAAGAAACTCAAATGTCCATCAACTAAAGCAATGGCTATCAACGTAGTATATACATACAGTGGAATATTATTTGGCAATAAAAAGGAATGAAATACTGATACATGCTACATGGATGGGCCTTGAAACATATGCAAGTGAAAGAAGTCAGACACAAAAGACCGTATGTTGTATGAAATGCCCACAACAGGCATTTGGAATTATCAACATCTCTACAAGATTGTAAGTACATTAGTGGCTGCCTGGAGGTGAGGGTACGGGGAGTGACTGCCAATGGGTACAAGGCTTTTTTTTGAAATGCTGTCCTAAAAATGACTGTGGTGATGGTTGCACAACTCTGTGAATACACTAAAAACCACTGACTTGTATACTTTAAATGTGTGAATGAAATGGTATGTGAATTATACTTCAAGAAAGCTTTTTTAAAAAAAAAAAAGAATAAAAGTTTAAGGAGAGAAGCGTTAAAGTATAAAATCACTGGCTTTGGAACATAAGTTTGTTTCTTTTTTTAAGGAAATACTAATAATTACCATATCAGATACTAATGTCTCTACAAATCCTGTGAAAAACAAATCTGGCATCTATTCTTACCCCTCCTTTCAATTTTCTCTCTAAGTTTACAAATTATCTCTTCTGCTTTAATTCAATTGTCTTTTCATTGTAGTCACTGTTTCTGAACTTCTACACCGCATTTGAAACTGTCAACACCCTGCCCTTGTAGAAAATCTTCCTATCCTGGAAATGATGCACTTTCTGGTTCTTCTCAGAATGCTATTAGCCTATTTCAAGACCCAAAATTCCAAACCTCAAAGCTCTTTCTTCATTATACTACTACCCTCCCAACACACATCTACTGATGTGTTTTACTAGCATCTATATCCCTGGTCAGTGCAAAATCTACCTTTCATCTAACCGTTCATTGTATATGGGAATAATTACATGCATAAGGTTAAGCAACTTGCCCAAAGTCCCTTCTGATTTTAATACCTTATTATGAAGATTTAATGAATTAAACAAACGTAGGCGCTTAGAATACCTGTCATACAGTAAGTAAATGTTAGCTATTATTTTATTCCTACAACCACTATCTTATATCAGACCCTCATCAGCTTATTCCTAAAATTCTCCATAAGCACTCTAATCAGTCTCTCCACTCCCAGGACACTCAGCTGAAACAAAAACCTTCCTCAGGAACAAGATGCATCATCTTACTCTCATTCTTTAGAACCCATTGTGGTACCCTATCAAACTAAACCCTCTATCCTTGAAAGATCCTCCATCAATACCCCCTCACCAATCCTAAACTCATTTATTATTATTCACCAACACAGATGATCTGACAGTCAAGCTCCTTGATATCATTTGTACATTGCCACTTCTCTCGCTTTGCACAGGCCCCTTCACTCTCCTGAAATACACCTCTTTCCCTTTGGAAATTTGTATCTTTCTCAAATGTCCCTTACACTTTTGACCTTGGTTGTACTGTTATCCCAAGGAGAAGTTTGATGCAGTTTGATAATTCTGAATGATGTACATGTTTCCCGAACAGAAAAAGAAACTCTGTTCTTTCGATATAAGTTGAAGCTTTCCAAGAGACCACGTATCTTATTCGTCTCTTCATACAGACTTCACACATAGATAACTCGGTACTTTACAGAAGTACACAAATGCTGACTTACCAAAAAAAAACAAAAAGCCTCAGTATGTATCAGAACAACATTCTCCATTTTCCACTGCCCCACCCATACTTAGCATAATGAAAAAATATAATCTAAAATCTATATTTAAATATTTTCATTCTACATAGAAGGAAAGGGAATATACGAACTGTACCAGATAAAAGGAAAAAAATGTCAAAAATATACTCAAAGAATGTACAATGTGAAAAAGTGAGAATGCAGGCCACTTTGGAATCTAGTAAGTGACTTTGAAACATTAAGTTTTTTTATTTTACCCAAACTAATGAACAAAAAAGAGCCAAAATAAACACGTTCTAGCCTCATCCAAAAAAAATCTAATGAAAGCATGAGAAACTTCCCAGTTTTGTCCTCGGCAGCACAAAACCAAGAAGATTCACCTCAATTCTGAGACACAAAAGCAAAAAGAGAAATCCTCCTATTTATCTAAGAAACTAAAAAACTTAATCACGTCTATATAATATATACCACTCAGAAAAAGAGAGGAGTTACTGCTTTTCTATAAATATTTGCTAGGGACCAGGAGGAATAGGCTTCTCTCACTGTTATTGCGGGAACAATCTGTGGTCTCAAAACAGCAAAACAGAAGATGGAAACCCTAATCTGGAAGAGACATTAAGAAAAAAACTACTCAAACCATGTTTCAAACCAGTTTCAAAAAAAGAGTGTGCAATGGGTACTCAACAGAGTAAGAGGAAAAGTGAAGTAAAAGAGCTTCTACAAAATAAGTGACTAGGTGAAACTAGTGCTGCCTTGTGAGAAAAAGAGCTATGCATATAACGCTCCTATGACATCACGCTTTTTCACTGGGAAACAAAATAGAAGGAAGAAAACACACACAAATAAATCTCAGAAAAAGACCAAAAAGGTGCCCACCAATCTCTAACTCCTTCAGGAATTAGAGTGAATGGCTCTAACTCATTCAGGAATCCAACCAGGGACAACACAGACGTGGAATGCACCAACACGGAATAGTAAAACCTTTGCTAACCAGACACACAAAAAGTAAAACAGAGAAATGAAAACTATACACCTGAATGCATCGGTAGCAAGCGCTTATTCTCTATAATTAAGCAACAGAGAAAAGAATAAGAGCAGCTAATGGAAGAGGAAAAAAGATGTTAATGAAACTAAGCCCTGTTATGTCCCCTACTGGCCTCAATTTCAGAGTACAACTCTCGATTCTTCATCTAACCAACAGCCGGCCTCGGCAAAGCAAACTGACCCTAACACCTTCCACGCCACCCGGAGGAAATCACAGAGGAAAAACCATCCCGTTAACCTCCCTCCTCACCAGCTGCAAAAATGGAGCTGGGAGGGGGGGCGGGAGACACTCTACCACGTGGGCAGGATGCAACACACACAGGACAGCAACACGTCCGCATGGAACGGCTGCCTTTGCCCTAATCCCAGCAAAGGACACAGACACAGGATGGGCGGGAACGCAAGCACCCTCGCATGGGCCTCCTCTCCCCAAAGGGCCACTCCAAGGCGTGAGGTACAGCCCGCCCTGCCGGCAGAAAAGCGCCCCCAAGCTTAAAGGGAAGAAGCCGCAGAGTGCCGGGGTCGGGGGCTAGCCCAGGCCAAGGGACAGGTCATGGAGGGAAGGAGACGGTCGCTGCCCTCGGACTAGGCGCCCCCGGGATCCACGTCTGGTTCCCCGGTGCCCCGCCTGGGGGAGGGGCGGGAGACGCGAAGCCGCTGCTTCCCAGCTGAGGGGCAGCAGCAGCTGAGAAGCGCCGCGGGGGAGGGAAGGACCCAGCCCTCGGCGTCCGCCAGGCCCCAGCCGGGGCCCAGGCCCCCTGCCCCACCCGCCGCCCACCCCGCAACGCGGCTGCGGCTGGAAGAGAGAGGGCGTCTCGCGGAGGACAGCCCCTGCCTCCGTCCCGGGAGATGCCACAGCCCCGCCTCCTCGCCCGCCGCCCAGGCCCGGCCGCCCTGGCGGGGGGCACTTACCTCAGGCTGCGCAGGCCGGGACGGCCCGGCCGAGCCCCCGGCCGCTCCGTGCGTCTCCGCCCCCCCGGGAAAGGTCCCAACGGTGCCTACTGCGAGCGGTCGAGGCCCCGAGCAGCCCCGAGAGCGGCGGCGGCAGCAAGAGCAGCCAACATCCGGGGCCGCGCACCCGGAACTACTTCCCGACCCGCATCCCCCGCCCGCCCTCGCCGCCACCGCCTCCTGCGGCGTCGCTGCGCCGCCGGCCCGGCGTCAGCGGCGTCAAGTCCCTGCGCGGTCACGGTCGCTTCGACGCACGCAGGATCCCTCCGCTGGGACAAGTAGTGCCCTGAGACTCCCGAGGCTCTGCATCGGCGCAGCCGGTGTCATCTAGCGGCCGGCAGTTCCGAGCGACTTGGGGTCCTTGTGCCTCGGAGTGGCGTCTGGGAGCAAAGGCGGCGGAGGCAACCCCGCAGTTGAGGACAGTAGGGATCGGTGGCTTTGGACCCTGCCCACGGATACCTGGGGCCCCATGCCCCGAAGGAATGGTGCCTTCTGCCCTCCCCCGCCCCCCAACATCCGCCACCTCACCGAAGCGCCCGGCACCTTAGCCTCCTCTCCAGGAAAGCGGACGCCTTTTCCGACCTGGCACACCGCGGATTCCGGGACCCCCAACAAAGGCGCCTTGGACCTTCAGGACACCCCTCTTTTCAGAACTTCATGAGTCCCAGGTGCTAGACTCATGTCTGCGGAGGCCTTTCCCGTGCCTGGTCTTTCTTTCTTTCTTAAAGGAGTTGGACCTCTAAAGGCCCTTCTAATTCTCAAGGTAGCTACCCAGGTTATGGTACTACTATCAGTAGGTGGAGCGTTTAGAAGGGTAGTTTGGTCGACGAGTGAACTTTGGAATTTACTTCTACGTCAGTCTTCACTGATTCTTTCTCTAAACTATTAGCACTGATAATCTGCCCTATAATTTCACACTTAATTACATTCCAGTGTAGTATTTGCTGTTGCTTCATTCGCGTTAGTCACATATTCCCCTGCAGCGCCAAACACGCTTTTGAACTCACAATGGGTGGCTCAATATTTGGAGACTTAGATATTTGTTAGATGAATACTAGGCTGATTGGATGAGAGGAAAAGGAGAGGCATGAGTGAATTGGCCCTGGGTACTTTTTTGACATAGTCTCAAAGGGTTCAGATAAAGACCTCCAGCAGATCTGAGCACACAATTCCTTCAGTAAACATTGAACACCTGCCGTTTGGTCAAGCATTTCTAGGCACTGGAGATTCAAAGTATTCACATATTCCTTTTCTTTATAAGACTAGCAAGATTCTGAAGATTCATGTACTCATTCACTCAACAAATATTTGCCAATCACTACTAAGGTTGCCAGACACTATTTTAGTGCTTGGGATGTATCAGTAAACAGAAGAGAGAGAGAAAACAAATACCCTTCCCTGTTGGAGCTTTCATTCTAATATAAGGAGAAAGATGATAAATGTAAGAGAATTATGTAATATGTTAGAAGGCATATGGGGAAAAAAAAATACACCAGGGTAAGGGGTATGAGGAAAACTGGAGGAAGGGGGTTTGCAATTTTTTTTTAAGAGGGAATCCTGCTCTCCCGCCCAGGCTGGAGTGCAGTGGCGCGATCTCAGCTCACTGCAACTCCCGGGTTCAAGTGATTCTCCTGCCTCAGCCTCCTAAGTAGCTGGGATTACAGGCGCGCGCTACCACACCCGGCTAATTTTTGTATTTTTAGTAGAGATGGGGTTTCACCATGTTGGCCAGGCTGGTCTCAAACTCCCGAACTCAAAAGTGATCCGCGCTCTTCGGCCTCCCAAAGTGCTGGCATTACAGGCCTGAGCCACCGCGCCTGGCCTGCAATTTTAAATAGAGCCGTCAGCATGGGCCTCATTTATAAAATGACTTTAAATCGGAGACCTGAAAGAGCTGAGGGAGTCAGCCATGCAGTTGTCTGGGGAAGAGTGTCCCAGGCAGAAGGAACAGCTAGCTGGTGGAAAGGCCTGGAGACAAAAGCCTCGGGAAGTGTTAAAAATAATGAGAAGGCCAGGACGGTTGGAGCCGTGAGCAAATGGGAGCCTAATGAGGAGATAAGATCAGAGAGAGGGGTCTCAAGTAGGGAGCTGTAGGAATCTTGGCTGAAACAGAACCACTGCTGGGCTTTGAACAGAGGAGTGATAGGATCTGACTCGTGCTTTCAAAAGATCACTCTGGCCGCCGTGCTAAGAGCAGAACTAAGAGGACAATGGTGGAAGCCAGAGGCTCCATTACCCAGGTACAGAATGATGGCTTGAACTAGATAGTAGCAATGAGTAAGATAAATAAGATGCAGTCTCAGCCGGGCACAGTGGCGCTTGACTGTAATCCCAGTTATTAAGGAGGCTGAGGCAGGAGGATAGGATCACTTGAGCCCAGGAGTTCAAGTGCAGCCCGGGCAACACAGCAAGCCCCCATCTCTAAAAAATAAATAACGTACAGTCTGTCTATGGTCTCCCAACACTTAGGCAGAGGCGGAAGATTGCGTGAGCACAAGAGTTCAAGACTAGCCTGGGCAACATAAGGAGACTGTCTCTACAAAAATAAAAAAATTAGCCGGCAGGGTGGTGTGCATCCTTGGTCCCAGCTATGTGGGAGGCTGAGATGGGAGGATTGGGCCCAAGAGGTCAAGGCTGCAGTGAGTTGTGACTGCGCCACTGCACTCCAGCCTGGGTAACAGAGTGAGACCCTGTCTTTAAAAAAAAAAAAAGAGAGAGAAACTAGACTTAGCTCCAAGTCTGGAGCTTTTGGGGTTTTCTTCCTTTATAAAAATTTTTTAACTTTATAGAAATGGGATCTCACTATGTTGCTCAGACTTGTCTTGAACTCCTGTTTAGCACCACCTCTTACAAGTGTTGGGCAGCTCCGCTTCTCTCACTTGTCTGGAATTCTAAGGCACTTCCCTGAAGTGCTCATCCTGAGCTAATATGGGATAGGGCTGGAGAGAGAACAGAGGTGGATAGCTGCCAGAATGAGGTGGGAAGGTGGGGATCAGCAGCCTTTGGGAAGGAAAGAAGTATGAGTCCCAGGGTATTAAAAGGTGGAGGGGCAATAAAATTTATTACATATGGGATTCATACTAAATGAGTAGATTTTAGCTTCTCTTGCCACAATAAACAAAAAAAATGGATAACTGTGTGAGATGATGGCTCTGTTAATTTGCTTCACTATAGTGACTTTTTGACTATCCCATAACATCATGTTGTGTACCTTAAATATATAGATTTAAAAAAGTGGAGGAGTATCTCTCCTCAAAAAAAAAAAAAAGAAAAAAAGAAAGAAAGAAAGAATAAAGCAGGCCGGGCATGGTGGCTAACGCCTGTAATCCCAGCACTTTGGGAGGCCCAGGTGGGAGGATCACTTGAGCTCATGAGGTTGAGACCAACCTGGGCAACAAAGTGACACCCTGACTCTAAGAAAAATAAAAAATAAATAAAAAGCTAGGATGGCCAAAGCAGCAGGGGGAATTCTGGAACATTGTGAGGAGGAAAAGCTTAAAGCCTAGATTGAGAAGGCAGACCTAGATTCAAGTCTAATATTCCATAGCTTACTTCCTTTGTGCCTACATCAGTTATTTAGTTTCTCTTAGCCTCTGTTTCCCTGCCTATAATATGGGAACAATAATCATAGCTATGTAGCAAAAGAGACCATGCACAGGCTGCCAAAAATAAAGGTCCCCAAGACAGCTGTTATTATTTATAAGGTCCCAGTGTCAGCACAGAAAAGAGTATAGTAGTTGACTGTCTTGGGAGACGGGAGTGGACTAGAAGGGAGGGTGCAGAGCAGGATAGCCTTCAAAGAGGAGATATTATCCAGCTCAAGGGACAGATCCTTAAAAGACACAGATTGCCCAGAGGAATGAAGTAGTGGTTTTATTGTTTTGTATTGTTTGCAATCTTGTCCTAGCTTCATCTGAATTCTGAATTCTCTGAAAGGAACACAGCCCAGAGCTGGGCTGCAATAGCCCTACAAAAACCTTGATTGGACACTGGCAGTGCTTCAACAGCTGAGTGTTCAACACTTCACATGACCTAGACGCTAAGATAAATGAGCCTTCACCTGATCCTTTTCTCCCTCTGTATTTATTGTAAGAGGAAATCAGAAAATGAGAAATGAATTTAAAATGAGCCAAGACTTGCAAGAGGGAGAGGGAAAAACACGAGAGAGCCCCTTCTATTATTCCTAGCCCGGGAAGAGCCTTCCAGATTTCCTGGGTATCTTTATCTAATATTTTATAATTCTTGAATTAGGTTTTTTAAAAGGCTATATGTAGGCCATCTGAGAGGTCTCAGCACTACTGACTGCTATTTAAGGAAAATGCTTGGGCATTGGTCGCTATGCACACTTAAAGAGCATTCAATAATCATTTAGCAAGCACCTACTCTATACCAGATGTTGTACTAAATACCAAGGAGTCAAAAGAGAATAAAAGAGAAGCAGACATGTAAACAGTTAATCCCAATGCAATTTGGTAGAAATTTATACTTGTGCCATGGAAACAGAAAAGAAGCAAAGCTTAATTCTGTCAAATTGGATGAGGTGGAGGGTGGGGCACAGTCACTGGGGCCAAAGAAAGCTTCATCCTTAAAAGGTAAAGTTAAGGCTAAATTTTAATAAATGAGTAGGAATTTGCCACGCAGAGATAGAAGCAAGACTGGGAGTAGAGAAAGGCAATTGGGGGCAGAGAACAGCTTGTGCAAAGTCAAAGAGGTTGGGTAGATACAAGAAAAGTAGAGGCCACAGAAGTGATAGTCTTATAAGTAGTCATTAAATATTGGTGGCTGATGGCAATAACTAACTCATGCAGCTAGACCACATCACTCTATGTAAACCATCAAGTTCCTGTCCTCTGGTAGCTTGGTGTTAACTTCAGATTATATCAGTAAAGGCAAAATGTGATCCTTCCCAAAGACTCTACTACTTAATCATTATTAGTAGAAAGGAGTAGCTTAGTTTATTTTTTCCCAGTAGAAGGCATTAGCCTAAAATACTTTTTTTTCCTAGGCTGTCAATGATTTTGCACTAGTGCATTCATAACAATCTGCCATCCCCCACCTGCAACCCATCTCCATGTTCCTTGTAACCACCTGGTTCAAACCTTGGCTTACCTCCACTCTTAGAATCAGCCGAGCTAATTAAAAGCACAGTGAAAGACACAAAGGCACCAAGACAGCTGAGCAAACATTAACAAATGCGTAAGTAAATAAAGTACTTGTATTATGTGTAAGCAATGGTGCAGATGAAACTTGGGTGGCACTAGGAAGGGTGAGTCAGAGGATGTTCAAACAGAGTAGGATCAAGGAAAATCTCTCTGCCAGTTAGTTAGCAATATCTTTTGGGATGATAGAAAGGAACCTGGTTAGCAGGAAAAAGTAGCCAAGGTTTGCAGCCCAAAGGAACCTGAAACTCTGGTACAAACTCAGTAGTAAGAAACAATTATTTAAAGTTGCAAAGATAATTGGCTTACTTCATGCCTAATGAGCTAAATAAGAACCATCAAGAAACCCCAATGCTAGATGGAGTTTGGTGGGGGAATAGTTAACATTTACTGTTCTTTGTGTGAGTAGCAACACAATAGGCCCTTTGCATCTGTTTGGTTTTTTTAATCCTTACAGTAAAACTACAAGATGGTCATCGTGTGAAAGAAGAGGAAACAGGCTCAGTACTTTAAGTGTCAGAGGCAGGATTTGAAGCCAAAATTGTCTGATCCTAAGCCCTCTCTCCTGCCTTCAAAGACTCTAAACCAGCAGGATTGTTTACACCAATATGCGAGTCGTAAGGTCCTGGGTGAGGCACTGTGAGAAGGTGTGTTTACATCCAAGTGTCACAAATAAAGGGTAAAGAGACCCTGTGGAAGACTATATAATTGTTCCCAAACACTTACTGTGCCTTCCAGAATTGGATTGTAATTTCCTATTGACAGCAGGCTTGGCTGTGTGACTTGCATTAGCTAATGAAATGTGAGTGGCAGTATGAGCCACTTCTAGCTGGAAGCTCTCAGTCAATGTGCTGCACCATGTTTTCCTTTCCTGCTGTCCTCATGACAAGCAACATTCTGGATAGAGGCTAATCCATCAGCCTCAGTCCCAGAGTGAAGACAATGTGCAGCAAAGCCACAGCTGACCTGGGAAGGACACAGCATAAGCGAGAAAAACAACCTTTGCTGATTAGGCCACTGAGATTTTGGGGTTGATACCATAGCATAACAGAGCCTATAATGACTAATGCAGACACTTTCTGAATCTTGCTCTTTAGTGACACAAATTTCTGGTGTCATCTTCAGGTAGAAAGATTGCTTGGGGATTATGAGAAGATATAGAGAATGGGATGATTGGTGTAGTATAGTGAAAGGCTTTAAAATACAGTATTTGAGGTATTTGAGGCAGCGCATGGTGGCTCACACCTGTAATCCCAGAGCTTTGGGAGGCCAAGGCATGAGGATTGCTTGAGGCTAAGAGTTAGAGACCCGCCGGGAGTGGTGGCTCATACCTATAATCCCAGCACTTTGGGAGACCAAGGCGGGTGAATCACCTGAGGTCAGGAGTTCAAGACCAGCTTGGCCAACATGGTGAAACCCCGTCTCTACTAAAAATACAAAAATTAGCTGAGCGTGGTGGTGCATGCTTGTAATCCCAGCTACTCAGGAGGGTGAGGCAGGAGAATTGCTTGAACCCAGGAGGCAGAGATTGCGGTGAGCCGAGATTGTGCCACCGCACTCCAGTCTGGGCGACAGAGCAAGACTCTGTCTCAAAAAAAATAAAAGAGAGAGAGAGACCCTACCTTGAGCAACATAGTGAGACAGTGCCTCTAAATAAAAATAAAATAAAATAAAATAAAAATACAGAATTTGAAACTCAGTCAGTCTTGATCTGTGGGCTCAGACAACCCTTTATAAATGCCATGGACCATGTCATGCCCCAGAAGGTGGGGAACTTACAAAGAATGTTAAGATATAGCTCCT
This sequence comes from Homo sapiens, assembly GCF_000001405.40. Classification (NCBI taxonomy): domain Eukaryota; kingdom Metazoa; phylum Chordata; class Mammalia; order Primates; family Hominidae; genus Homo; species Homo sapiens. The sequence continues at coordinate 42,342,060 of NC_000001.11, forward strand.
GTTTTTCTTTTCTTTTATTATTATTATTTTTAATAGAGGCAAGATCTCATTATGTTGCCCAGGCTGGTCTCGAAATCCTGGCCTCAAACAATCCTCCTGCCTCAACTTCCCAAAGTGTTGGAATTATAGGTGTGAACTACCATGCCCAGCACAGTCCCTGTTTTTGAGATAAGGGCCATGCTCATTTGCTTCTATACCTAGCAACCCATCACTGTATGTGGCAGCCTCTAGGCCCTAAATAAGTAAATTTTTGTCAAATTAATGCTATGGAATAATCTGGAACTATAACTGAAGTCTCCTAACTCCCCACAAAGGCTCTTCCTGTGTTGTGACATATTGCTAACTTGGGTTAAGGGATTATTAGTAGCTAATTTTTATATAAAATATTATGTGTACCTAATTTATTTGAAATGCCAAATAAATGAAAAATATCTGGAACAATAGGATCTGCAGGCCCTGGAGCATGATAAATATTCAGTAAAGGCACTCAGTCCTCTCTGAAGGAATCACAAAGCATGGAAGACACTGAAGATCCCAAAGGACTTGGCAATGAGAAATCTAGCTTGAAGGGCACTGGGGACCAAGTTTTTAATGGGACCAGATTAAGAGAACATGTAGGTGAAGGTTAAATTTAGGTAAACAGGCTGGGCACAGTGGCTCACACCTGTAATCCCAGCCTTTGGGAGGCAGAGGCGGGTGAATCGCTTGAGCCCAGGAGTTCAAGACCAGCCTGGGCAACGTGGTGAAACTCTGTAGTCCCGGCTGCTTGGGATGCTGAGGTGGGAGGATCACTTGAGCCCGGGAGTTTGAGGCTGCAGTGATTTGTGTTCGTGCCACCGCATTCCAGCCTGAGCAACAGAGAAAGTACCTTGTCTCGACAAAAAAATTTTTTTTTTAAATTAGACAAACATAGGTGCAAAGTCCTAAGTCTTAACACTTTCCAGACATTTCCAAAGCTTACTGGGCAGTAATTGAAAAACCATCTGTGGAATGTCCTTGATGCAAGCATTGAAGAGAGTCCTGAGAACTAATTAGGACTGCTCAGATCTGTGGATCAGTTCTTCAAAACTAGGAAGAGATTCAACCTGTTGTTTCTACTATTCACTTAAGAAGTGACAATACTGCAAACATAACAGGCATCTAATTCTGGAGTATGACAGTGTTGGCATAATTAGAATTTGAGGGCCGGGCACAGTGGCTCACGCCTGTAGTCCCAGCACTTTGGAAGGCTGAAGCAGGTGGATCGCTTGAGTCCAGGAGTTCTCAACCAGCCTGGGCAACGTGGAAAAACCCCATCTCTACAAAAAATACAAAAATTAACTGGACGTGGTAGCACACACCTGTAGTCCCAGCTACAAGGTGGGAGGATCACTTGAACCCAGAGGCTGAGGCTGCAGTGAGCCTGATCATGCCACTGCACTCCAGCCTGGGCAACAGAGATCCTATCTCAAAAAAAAAAGTGTGAGAGAGATGAAACAAGACTGGCAAAATGTTGATGTCTGTAGAAGTTCAGAGGAGGGAACGATGGCTTCCGTCAGAATCAGGAAACAGAAAAAGAAGTAATATTTTATATTAATAAATCCCTGTAATGTAAGAGTTGGAGATTATCCTCCTCATTTTATAGGCAAGGGAAACTGAGGTCACTTTGCTAGTGAATGGCAATATAAAGACTTGAGCATCAATTCATGACTTTGAAATCCCTCCTTTTGCTAACACACCACACAGACTGCTTAAATATGTCATCTCATATTCTATTTCAGTGAAAATGAAGAAGAGTTGCTTTACTACGTAAAGGAAACTTATTTGTAATTCCTATATCTTTCACCTTTCCTAAAGGATCTCATTTCCACCTTTTAGCAACTATTTTGAATACTTACTGACTTATGCTGTTTTCATTATATCTCATCTAAGTTCATGATTCATCCATGGCTTGCCCCCACTTTAATATGGTAGAATAAATAAGAAATGTTTCTTTTTGCAATGATTCTTAAAGCAAAATATGCTAAAAAGGCATGTGCACACACACACACACATGCGCACACAAAGACAAAGTTTCTTTTAATGTACTTAAGTAAAGTATTTCCCTTTTTAACTATTTAGCAGTTAATTTATGGCCTATACTATGTCCACTGCCCCCCATCAGATCTCTTTTTCTGCAGTGTTAAGTATAGCCAAGCTTAACTCTTCTAGTGGGGTTTCTTGTTCCATGCTACCATGAAATATACCACCCTTATTTCTACAAATTTCATCTGGAGTTGATCTTTTTCTAAAATGAAATTTGCTAGAAATGCTGGTGAAATGAATATTTATTTATTCAGTAAATATTTATTAAGTGCTAATTCTAGGTTAGGTATTGTGCTAAGGGCTGGGAGTACAAAGATAAAAGCAGTAGCTAGGGGGCAGTATAGCATAATAGCAATTAAGAGTAAGGGCTCCCCGCCAGCATGGTGGCTCACGTCTGTAATCCCAGCACTTTGGGAGGCTGAGGCAGGCGGATCACTTGAGGTCAGGAGTTCAAGACCAGCCTGGCCAACATGGCAAAACCCTGTCTCTACTAAAAATACAAAAATTAGCCAGGTGTAGTGCCGCGTGCCTGTAATCCCAGCTACTCGGGAGGCTGAGGCAGGAGAATCGCTTGAACCTGGGAGGTGGAGGCTGCAGGGAGGCGGAGGCTGCAGTAAGCCAAGATCACGCCATTGTACTCCAGCCTGGGCAACAAGAGCAAAACTTTGTCTCAAAAAAAAAAAAATGTGGGCTCCCTCGTCTGGGGTTAAATGGCCAGCCCTGCCACTCACTAGTTCAATGATTTTAGTTAGGCAAATTGCTTAATCTCTCTGAGCTTCAGTTTCCTCATCTGTAAATGGGGATAATAATAATACAGACAGTCCCCGACTTAAGATGGTTTGATTTAAAATTTTTTGACTTCACAGTGGTGTGAAAACAATATGCATTCAGTAGAAACTATACTTGAATTTTGAATTTTGATCTTTTCCCAGGCTAGCAATATGTGGCACAATACTCTTCCATGAGAGATTCAACATGTTATTATAAAATAATACATTTATTTTATTATTTATTATTTAGGCTTTATGATCGATGATTTTGCCCAACTGTAGGCTAATGTAATTGTTCTGGACATGTTTAAGATAGGCAAGGCTGATCTATGATGTTTGGTAGATTAGGTGTATTAAATGCATTTTCCACTTAGGATATCTTCAACTTCTGATGAGTTTATCAGGATGTAGTCCCATCCTAAATGAAGGAGCATCTGTACCTACCTGTGTAGGTATGCTGTGAGTTAATTGAAACCACGCACAGGTAGACTGCTTAACACAGTGCTTAGCACATGAGAAGTGCTATAAATGTTAGCTCTTCCTATTCCCCTGTATGGTTCATATAGGAAGGATAGTGGAAGAAGGAATTTGATCTGACTGAGGGTGAGCATTTTTTGTTGGTTTTTTTGGTTGGTTGGTTGTTTTGAGATGGGATTTCATTCTGTCACCCAAGTTGGAGTGCAGTGGCACCATCTCGGCTCCCTGCAACCTCTGCCTCCCAGGCGAGAGTGAGTGTTTTAAGGAAGAGTTTGCAGATACAGAAACACTTGACCACATCCTTGAAAAATGAGTTCAAGTTTGTTGAGGCAAAGTAGGCAGAAGAATGATTCCAAGGATAAAGGCCTGGCTCCATTCTTCAACGTGGGACATATTTGAAAAGCGCCTTCCATCTCTCAAGCTCCCTAGGGGTTGGGTGAGGTGAGATCAGATGAGATAGGTATGGCAACTGTATCACTGCTCAGATCCTTCCTCCGCCCATTCCTATCCACTAGGGTTGAACACAAAATCACACCCCCGCTTTACCCTACCCGACAAAAAACTTCTTGCCCACAAAACTCCCTCTCAGAGTCTTTTTCTCAAGGAATCTAACCTAAGACATCATGAATGATACTAACTATAATTTGCAATAGAAAAATATCATTTATGGCCGGGCGCGGTAGCTCACGCGTGTAATCCCAGCACTTTGGGAGGCTGAGCCAGGGGGATCGCGAGGTCAGGAGACTGAGACCATCCTGGCTAACACGCTGAAACCCCATCTCTACTAAAAATACAAATAATTAGCCAGACATCATGGCACTCGCCTGTAGTCCCAGCTACTCGAGAGGCTGAGGCAGAAGAATCGCTTGACCCCAGGAGGCGGAGGTTGCAGTGAGCTGAGATTGCTACCACTGCACTCCAGCCTGGGCGACAGAGCAAGACTCCATCTCAGAAAAAAAAGAAAGAAAGAAAAATATCATTTATGTATATAATGTAGAAACCTGGCTATGAAGGTCTAGCTAGGGGAAATACACATTAATTTATTCATTAAACCATCACAATGCATTTGTCCAACATTGTATTAAATAATATTCTGTATTTCCTTATATCTAAGTCTTTATTGTTCATATAATCTTGGATAGACGCACTTAATGTTTTAAATATAGAGAAACTTCAGATATGCAAATAATATGATAAATCCTCATATACCCATTTTCCAAAGTCAACAGTTATCAAGTAGTAACTAACCTTATTTTTTTTTTTTTTTTTTTTTTTTTTTTTTTTTTTTTGAGATGGAGTTTCGCTCTGTCACCCAGGCTGGAGTGCAGCAGTGCAATCTCGGCTCACTGCAACCACTGCCTCCCAGGTTCAAGCAATTCTCCTGCCTCAGCCTCCCGAGTAGCTGGGACTTCAGGGACGTGCCACCACACCCAGCTAATTTTTGTATTTTTAGTAGAGATGGGGTTTCGCCATGTTGGCCAGGCTGGTCTCAAACTCCTGACCTCAGGTGATCCACCTGCCTCAGATAACTAACCTTTTTAATCTATATCCCTACCCTCATCCGCACATTGCCCCTTCTGTGTTACTTTGAAGCAAATTCCAGACTTCATACTACATCAATACACACATATTTTAAAAATACATCTCCAAAAGATAAGAACTCTTTTATTAACAAAACATACCATTAACTTATCTAAAAATTAATGAGAATTTTTGAAGTCACTAGTATTAAGATATGTCTTTGTTCCTGTCAGTATTTAAACTTTCAATCACCTTATGAATTTTTTAAAATTTTGTTTGAATCAAAGCTCAAGTAAGATCCACACGTGGAAATTAATAAGTCTCTTAAATCTTTTTTTATTTTGTAAGTTCCTTTTCCATTATTTTTTCTTGCAATGTATTTGTTGAAGAAACCACACCATTTTTCCTGTAGTATTTCTACAGTATGGATTTTGCTAATTGTTTCCCTGTTGTGGTGTTTAACATGTATCTCTGCCCTCCATTTTTTGTTTGTTTTTTGTTGTTGTTGTTGTTGAGATGGAGTCTTGCTCTGTTGCCCAGGCTGGAGTGCAGGGATGCCATCTCCGCTCACTGCAACCTCCACCTCCTGGGCTTAAGCAATTATCCTGCCTCAGCCTCCCGAGTAGCTAGGATTATAGGCGTCCGCCACCAGGCCCAGCTAATTTTTACATTTTTAGTGGAGAGGCGGTTTCACCACGTTGGCCCGGCTGGTTTCGAACTCCTGACCTCAAGTGATTCCGCCTGCCTTGGCCTCCCAAAGTGCTGGGATTACAAATGTGAGCCACCACGCCAGGCCTTTCTGTGTTTTGTGTAAATAAGTACTTGGATCCAGAGGCTGGATCATTCATATGTGATTTTTCTCATGTTTCTCCATCAAGAAGGCACAAAGTATCTGGTTCTCTTTCCTCTCATTTTTCTTAAATACTTAAAAATTTTTCCTCCCAAGAAGTTACAATTAGCATAACTTGGGTTGCAAGTTAAGAATTGCAGCTGGTATATAATTGGGCCACCATAGGACAACTGATCTTTAAGAAACCCTAAAATTAATCTAGTCCTACTGTTACCATGGTATTATTTGTCATCATTATCTTATTGTTCATCAGGTATTGCTAAGTACTGATCATGGCATCCAGGACTGGGCTAGGAACCATGTTGTAATAACTGGCACCATTTATTCAATTCTTGCTGTAGGCCAACTACTTCATTTCGGATATTTCTAATCATCATAACAACCCCACAGTGCAAATTTTAATATCCCCATTTTATAGAAGAAAACTAAATTCAGGAAGATAAAATGACTTTCCTAAGTCCATTAGGAAATATCTAAGGCAAATGGCAAAAGCAGAGGTGGCATGTAACCCAGATATGTCTGGTGCCCAAGGCATGTCTGCTTTTTCCCTCTAACTCCCAGTCCTTTGAAAATACAACTAAATTATAAGAATAATCCCTGCCTTCAGTGGGATTATATCTGTTTAGGAGAAAGAGATTAAAGTACTAAAACAATTAAGGAATGTCAGATAAGAAAGCAGTATGTAGAAGATGAACAATGAAAATGTGTGCATTTTGCATGTGGCTTGACTGCTATAAATGAGCAATAAGGAGAAGGGGACATCAATGTTGATTGAAGTTCCTGAAGGAGGCTTCATCAAGCAATGCAGAAATCATTGCAAATATAAAAGCTTTACCAATGAGTGAAGGGGTCCTTTGCACAAGCATTCTCTCCCTTGGGATCCATGTCACACTGACACAAAGATTTTGTCACCATGGCAACTGGTCATTGGACCAATGAAATAATCAGTTGTCATGGTAACATGATCTCCATCTTACTCCCACCAGGCACCTGTTCTAAATCATCACATCCTCCAACAACCTCAAACCACCTCAATGCTCCTTTCTTCTTTCTCTTAGTCACCTTGCTATCCCCAGCCACCTATGATGGCACCCCTAAATTTATGTTTAGATGGATATATGAGACTGTTAAAAAGCCAGAGCAAATGAAAGTGACTTTGTAGTATAGAGCTGCACTTCAGAGAGGAGGGAAAACCTCTCAAATATAAGAGTTGAATGAGCCAGAGCACTGAAGAAGAGCCTTTGAAATTTTCATCCCTACATTTCCCTAATAAAATTCTTTTGAATTTTGAGACATTGCACTATCTTGACTATCCTCCTATGTCTGTTTCTTTCTTTCTTTCTTTCTTTCTTTCTTTCTTTCTTTCTTTCTTTCTTTTCTTTCTTTTTTTTTTTTTTAAGATGTCTTGCTCTGTCACCCAGGCTGCAGTGCAGTGGCACCATCTCGGCTCACTGCAAACTCCACCTTCTGGGTTCAAGTGATACTCCTGCCTCAGCGTCCTGAGTAGGTGGGATTACAGGCGCATGCCACCACACCCGGCTACTTTTGTATTTTTAGTAGAGATGGGGTTTCGCCATGTTGGTCAGGCTGGTCTCGAACTCCTGACCTCAGGTGATCCGCCCACCTCTGCCTCCCAAAGTGCTGGGATTACAGGCATGAACCACTGTGTCCGGCCCTGTCCACTTCTTTATTGCCTCCTTTTCCTTCTCCCGTCTCCTAAATGCAGGTGTCTCTCAAAGCTCCACCCTTTGTATCTGCTCTTTCTCTAAACTGCACTGCCCAGTACCATAGCCACTAGCCACATGATAGCTATTGAGCCCATGAAATTATTTATAGACATGCTGAACTGAGATGTGCTGTAAGTGTAAAATGCATATCAGATTGTAAAGATTTTGTGTAAAAATGTAAAATATCTAATAATTTTATATTACATGTTGAAAAAACAATTTGGATATGTTTAGTACAATAAAATACATAATTAAAATTTAATTTCACTTGTTTCTTTTTTTAGATTTTTAATATGGTTGCTGAAAATTTTAAATTGCATGTGTAGCTTGCATTCACAGCTTGTGTTATATTTCCATTTGACAGCATTGATCTAAATGTTTTTCCTAAAAACATCTCACCCATGCTCTAGGTGTCAAATATCCCCTTTATGAAATGATTTTAAGGTTCCAAATCCCAGCCTGTTTTCTGATATTCAAACCCACATTTCCACTGTCCTGCTGGCCTTTCACAGACAGGCACTAGCTCTTCAGCTCAACATGAGCAAAGCTATGACCTTTCCTTCCAAACCTGTTTTTATCCTGGTTGGCTTTATTAATCTTTTGTGTTAGTTCTTATTGCTGTTGTAACAACTTACCACAAACTTAATGGCTTAAAATAACATAAATGTATTATTTTACAGCTCTGGAGGTCAGCAGCCTGAAATAGGTTCCACTGGGCTAAAAGCAAGGTTTTGCAAAAGCTGCATTCTTCTGGAGGTTCTAGGAGACAATCTATTTCCTTGATTTATTCAACTTCTAGGAGCTGCCAGCATTCTTTGGCTCATAGCCCACTTCCATCTTCAAAGCCAGCAATGGTCGAGTCTCTCTCATGTCACATCACTCTGACACTCACTCTCCTGCCTCCCTCTTTTATTTCTAAGGACCATTGTGATTGCATTGGGCCAATACAGACAATACAGGATAATCTCTCCATCTCAAGATCAGCTGATTAGCAACCTTAAACTTCATCTTCAATCTTAATTCTCCCTTTCCATGTAAATTAATATATTCACAGGTTCCAAGGATTAGGGGATGGACATCTCACATGAAAGGGCTGGACAGAAAGGGAGAATCTGTGCGCAAGTCCAGCAAGAAAAGAAGTGATCATCAGAACACATCAGATGGGATAGCTCTCATTGCTTTTAAAGTGGATTGCTGAGACTAATAGAGATCAGTTAAAGGGGCTGGCTGCGATAGACACCAATGGTCTAACCTCCCACTTAGTTCACTGCAAAATCTACCTTCTCCAAAACTCCATTCCTGATTACTCCTCTCCCCAAGTTACACTTTCCCTCCATGATATGTGATAACCTTTGTATTTCCTCGGACATCTGTCTTACTCTGCTTTGTATTTTGATGAGATATTTAAGCACTTGATCTTACTTAACCTGTCTACTAGTTTGGGAAATATTTTGTGAATAGAAACTGCTTGATTCACCTTTGTGTTTAGCCATGATGCCTAACATGGTACTTAATATATAGTAGTTTCTCCATAACTATTTCTTGAATTTAGTTGAATAGAAACAAATCATGTTGGCATATAGTGGGTATGTTGCCACAATCACTAATTTCCCTAAACAGTGGACACTTTCTAGTTGACTTCCACTTAACTGATACTATTTCTACTATCTTAAAAGAACCATCAGTGTGAAGCCTTATAGATAATGGGCTGTTGTGCACTTGAGTTTCATGCTCATCTGGAGTCATTTGTATTTTATTTAATAACCTATTGACATCATGTGTAGTTGATATTCTAACTAATTTATTTAATATAGTTATATAGACCAATGTACTATAAATGTCAAAAGGATGAGAGTTGTTTCTGTAAAGACTGTGTTGATTATCCTAGAAATGCAAGGAAGTGCAGCATCCTAAAATCTATTGATGTAGTATACCACTCTAACAGATTAAGAGAGGAAAAACTATGACCTTTTCAATAAATACAGAAAAGGCATCAACATTTAACACTCATTCATGGTTTTAAAAAATCTTTAGAACTGGAATTAAAAGTCTAGCTATGGTCCTTATATAGAGATAATATGATTGATTACATACAAAGCCCCAAAATAATCTATAAAATAGAATCTTTTTTTTTTTTTTTTTGAGATGGAGTCTTGCTCTGTCACCCAGCCTGGAGTGCAGTGGCGCGATCTCGGCTCACTGTAACCTCCGCCTCCTGGGTTTCAAGTGATTCTCCTGCCTCAGCCTCCCGAGTAGCTGGGATTACAGGCATGCGCCACCATGCCCGGCTAATTTTTGTATTTTTAGTAGAGACAGGGTTTCACCATGTTGGTCAGGCTGGTCTTGAACTCCTCACCTCAGGTGATCCGCCCACCTCAGCCTCCCAGTGTGCTGGGATTACAGGCTTGAGCCACCACACCTGAGCTAGAATAGAATCTATTAAAGCTAGTAAGGGAGTTTAGCAAGTTTGCCATATTCAAGACCAATAAAGAAATCAATAGCCTTTCTTTTTTCTTTTCTCTTTCTTTATTTGTTTTAGAGACAGGGGTCTCACTACATTGCCCAGGCTGGAGTGCAGTGGCTACTCACAGGTGTGATCACTGTGTACTACAGCCTCAAACTCCTGAGCTGAAGTGATCCTCCTGCGTCAGCCTCCAGAGGAGCTCAGACTACAGCTATATGCCACTATGCCTGGCTCAATAGACTTTCAATATCAATAAATAATTAAAACCTGTATTAGAAATGAAGATCTCATCCACAATACTGATACAAATAAAAAGATTATTAGAAATCAACCTGACAAACATTATGTAAGATCATTGTGAAGAAAATTCCAAAATTGAAGAACAAATACAAATACATACACAGATCTGAATAAATGAAGATATCCACCAGGTTCATGAGTTCAATATCATAAAGATATAAATTCTTCCTTAATTTGTCCATAAATTCAATACAATTCTAAATTAAATCCAGCTATGACTTTTTGTGGAACTAAACAGTCTGATCTTAGGATTCATTTGGAAGTAGAAAAGGACAAGATAATTTTGAAGATGCGGAACAACATAGAAAGACTGTGCCACCACATATCAACTTATTTTATTTTATTTATTTATATTTTGAGACTGAGTCTTGCTCTGTCACCCAGGCTGGAGTACAGTGTTGCAATCTTGGCTCACTGCAACCTCCACTTCCTGGGTTCAAGTGATTCTTGTGCTTTAGCCTCCCGAGTAGCTGAGATTACAGGCATGCGCCACCATGCCCGTCTAATTTTTGTGTTTTTAGTAGAGACAGGGTTTTGCCATGTTGGCCAGGCTGGTCTCGAATTCCTGACCTCAGGTGATCCGCCCTCCTCAGCCTCCCAAAGTGCTGGGATTACAGGCATGAGCCACCGCGCCCAGCCTTATTTTAAAGTTATAAGATTTAAGATGGTATGACATTAGCTTAGGGATAAATTGTTGAATGGAATGGAAAAGAGACCTTAGAAAGAAGTCCATGAATATACACAGACTTGACATGTTCAAAGGTGGTATTACAAATGTAGAGGGAAGGAATGAATTAGTCAATAAATGGAAAATTGGTTGTTCTAAAGGACCAAAATAATACACCTGCCCCCTGGGGAGCCCCAGGGGCTGCTGACATTCCTTCATTTCCCAACACTTCTCAATCTCCCCACAGAGTGAGAGCCTGGCCTCCGTTGCTCTCAGTACATCAGAAGACACAATGACTCTGGTGCCCAGGTCCCAACCTACCAGACTCATAGAGAGTCTTCCCATCCCCATAAATCTCAGATAAAGCATCAAGCACCATATAACAGCACTGAAGACTGGTTTGCCAACTGGTTACACAGAGAAGCTGTGTAACACAGCCCAGAAGTTAACTAACTCCCCGTAGAGCAAACTTCAACCAAGAACAAACAGAAGTGGAGCCAGAAAATAAATTATTTGCCCTTTCTCCTGTCTCTGATGCACAATTCTGAGGTGTAGCACTTCCACGAAACCTATCTGGAAGATGTCCTGGGTAACAAAGCCACAGGCTGAATTTCCTTAGGAAGCTGTGCCCAGCTTCTAACATGGTATCCTGCATTTGCTTTCTTTTCTTCCATGACTTATTTCCCTTTTCCCCTCACTCTTGTTGGCCTGGGATTGCCCCTCTCAATACCTTAGCATGGAGGTGGTACTTCAGGCTCTGTTTTTCAGAGAACCTGGGTAAGACAGTTGCGTGTATAGAAAAAAAAGAAAGTTAGGTCTCTACGCCACACCATATCCAAAACCATATGTAAGAGGAATAAAAACCTAAATATGTAAAATAAAGCTTTAAAACATTTTGAAGAGAATGTAGAAAAACCTTTCTCTCAGAATAGTAAATTTTTTTTAAAACAAAAAAAGCATAAACCATGAAAGAAAAGTTTGATACGTATGATACCTATAATTTAAAACATGTATTTAACAAAAGATGATATGAAACAGATGAATTACATGCTGCACTCTGAGAGAAGATATTTGTAATTCATTTAATTGACAAGAAAAGGTATGCAGAATTTATTTATTTATTTATTTATTTATTTATTTATTTATTTATGAGACGGAGTCTGGCTCTGTCGCCCAGCTGGAGTGCAATGGTGCGATCTCAGCTCACTGCAACCTCCGCCTCCCTGGTTCAAGCGATTCTCCCGTCTCAGTCTCCCAGGTGTCTGGGATTACAGGCACGCGCCACCATGCCTGGCTAATTTTTTGTAATTTTAGTAGAGACGGGGTTTCATTATGTTGGCCAGGCTGGTCTCAAACGCCTGACCTCGTGATCTGCCCACCTCAGCCTCTCAAAGTGCTGGGATTACAGGCATGAGGCACCATGCCCGGCAGGTATGACGAATTTATAACAAAATTCCTACAAATCAAGAATACAAGATAAAGAGCAGAAAAAATGGGTAAAGAACAGAAACTGGGAATTCCTAGAAGAGGACTTCTGGATGGCCAATAAACATATAAAAGATAATGAACCTCATTATTGATTAAACAAACCATTTGGGATACCATTTCGCACCCATCTAATTGGAAAAAATCTTAAGAGAATAATACCAGTGTTGGGGCGCGCGCAGTGGCTCACGCCTGTAATCCCAGCACTTCGGGAGGCCGAGGCGGGCGGATCACGAGGTCAGGAGATAGAGACCATCCTGGCTAACACAGTGAAACCCCATCTCTACTAAAAATACAAAAAATTAGCCGGGCGTGGTGGTGAGAGCCTGTAGTCCAGCTACTCGGGAGGCTGAGGCAGGAGAACGGCGTGAACCCGGGAGGCGGAGCTTGCAGTGAGCGCTGAGATCGCGCCACTGCACTGCAGCCTGGGGGACAGAGAGAGACTCCATCTCAAAAAAAAAAAAAAAAAAAAGAGAATAATACCAGTGTTGGATATAGAGCAACAAACTCTCACACACTGCTGGTGAGAGTGTCAATTGTAATAACTTATTAGAAAATGACAGTGTATTTGTGAAGGTGAAGATGTGCATGTGCTTTGACTCAGAAATTCCATGTCTTGTTATATTTGCCAGGCTAGAGAAGCCCTCACGCATCCGTATACAAGGAGATGTATATAAAAATGATAATTGTAGTGTTGTTTGTAATAGAAAATATTGGAAACAACTCAGATATTCGACAAGAGAAAATATAAATAAGTTTTAGTATATTCACAAGATAGAATATTATGCAGCAGTTCAAATGAATTAACCAGAGCTGCATACATCAACAAGGATAAGTCAAACACATAACGATGAGAGAAAAAAAGTCAAGTTGCAGAATAATGCATACAGTATACCACTTACATATAGATTAAAAATATGTGGCCAGGCGTGGTGGCTCATGCCTGTAATCCCAGCACTTTGGGAGACTGAGGTGGGCGGATCACAAGGACAAGGGATCGAGACCATCCTGGCCAATATGGTGAAACCCCGTCTCTACTAAAAATACAAAAATTAGCTGGGCGTGGTGGCGCGTGCCTGTAGTCCCAGCTACTCGGGAGGCTGAGGCAGAAGAATCGCTTGAACCGGAGAGGCAGAGGTTGCAGTAAGCTGAGATCATGCCACTGCACTCCAGCCTGGTGACAGAGTGAGACTCCATCTCAAAAAAAAAAAAAATATATATATATATGTAAAATAAAGCCATATATTTATGACACACGTATTTGGAGTATAAGAACACACATGGGAAAACTAAACACAGGATTCAGGATAGTTGTTATGGATGGGAAAGAGGGACAGAAATGAGATCAGCATGGAGTGTACAGAAGATTTCACTTCTACCTGAAATGTTTATTCTTTTTTGAAAAATCTGAAGTATGACAAAATGTTAGCATTCATGCAGCTGGGTGTGGGAACAGGTGTCCATTCTGTTTTTGTATGTTTGCAACATTCATTAATTTTTTAACTTTGCACCATTTCATTAATTTTTTTTAACTAAGTGGAATGATTTTGAAGGAGTGAAGAATGTGCCATCCCAAAATATGCCAGATTGGTATGTTTATTATTTCAAGTTGAAAACATTGGAGACGAGGCGCATGGCTCACGCCTGTAGTCCAAGCACTTTGGGAGGCCAAGGTGGGCGGATAGTTTGAGCACAGGAAATCGAGACCAGCCTGGGTAACACAGTGAGACCCCATCTCTACAAAAAATATAAAAATTAGCCTGGTGTGGGAACACGTGCCTGTAGTACCAACTACTCAGGAGGCTGAGGTTGGAGAATCACTTGAGCCCAGGAGGTCAAGGCTGCAGCAAGCTGTGATTGTACCACTGCACTCTAGCCTGGGTGACAGAGCGAAAACCTGTCTCAAGACAAAAAAAAAAAAAAAAACCATAGCAAGATCCCATCTTTACAAAAATAAAAACTTTTTGTTTTGTTTTGTTTTGAGACAGAGTTTCACTCTTGTTGCCCAGGCTGGAGTGCAATAACGCAATTTCGGCACACTAGAACCTCCGCCTCCCAGGTTCAAGCAATTCTTCTGCCTCAGCCTCCCAAGCAGCTGGGATTACAGTTTTGTGCCACCATGCCCAGCTAATTTTGTATTTTTAGTAGAGATGGGGTTTCACTATGTTGGCCAGGCTGGTTTCAAACTCCTGACCTCAGGTGATCCACCCGCCTCAGCCTCCCAAAGTACTGGGATTACAGGGATGAGCCAATGTTTCTTAAAAAAGAAAACATTGGAGAAATTGTAGTTTCAGAAAGGGTGAGAACTGACAATTTTCTTCCTGCGTGTAGCCAGATTCCTCTGGGAGGGGTACCCTCTCTATACCAGAGCAAGGAAATAGCCCTTATCACTAGAAACTTGGACTTGAAGGCTGCAATGGGCCTGAATAAATACACCTAGTGAAGTTACCCTTAGCTTTTACCTGTATTACACCCCTCCATGTATTTCCTAACGACTCCCCTAGAAAATTTTACTGCCCTAGCCAGATTTTATTTTCTCTCAGGTTTGGGAAACATTTTTGTTAAATAGTTTCAAGCTCTCCTGAGAGATCGGCAGATATTCAAACATATTTCTCTCTTGGAGCACAGTTCTGGGTCATTTCTTCTCAAGTTTATTGCTCTTTGTCTAAAAAGTATGAGAGTATCTTGCTTTGGCCATTTCTTCAGACTTCACTCATAAAGATCCCCATGTACATGTAAAACTAATACAATTTGTATACTTTTATTCATCTGCTTGGTGTCAATTTGGTTTCCAGATCCAGCCAAAGAGCCCACTAGGAGCTAGAAGGGGGATTAGGGGGATTGGCTGTGATCTATGGCTCCCTTATTCACTGGAAAGACTCAGTGAAGACTGAAGACTGACTGAGTTGCTAAAAAAAAAAAAAAAAAAAAAAAGAAAGCAAAAACGACTGTTGAAATAAATGTAAGCAAAACAACTACAGAGTTGGGTAAATAATTTTAAGTAATTTAAAGTCCTACACATAGATATCTTCCTAGGTGTGTTTAAGTTCTTGCACATTAAAGAAACCCAAAATGAAGAATCATAAAAATGCATATTGTGAGTGGTTTGTTCAAGAATGATAATACAGAGTTCCAATCAGTGGACTATTGTACAAAGAAAAACAAGCTTGCCTCACATTCGAAGGCCTATGAATGGATGTATATAAATGGGTTTGAACTTAAAATATTTAAAATAAGTACAGATCATATTTTATGATTCCCTACTTTAATGGAATGGTTCCATTTCTAGACTGATCACATTGGATAAATGGCCTTTGTGATAGTCATTCTAAGGTCTCTCAACACAGATTAAAGGCCCCTATGTTATTCATTGACCTCGGTGCTGATGGTTTTCTAGAGGACTGAGTGAACCAGAAGAGGTGGGGTACAAACATCCTAGGCAGAGGAAAAAAAGGGAGCAAATTCAGCAAAACATGGACATGGCATAGAGCATCAATTTCTTCTACTGGAGGGTATAGCAGGAGGGGAGTGGGAAAGTTGAGAAAACAAGTTATGGTAAAAGAAAAAAAAGAGGCAGTTGAATTTAGTCTCCATTTTCACATACTGGCTCTCTAAGCTTTGTTAAATAGTTTCAAGCTTTCTGGGATTGGCAGATATTCAAAGCTAACTATTTCTCTCTTAGGACACATTTACAGATTCTGCAGAAGACCCAGTAGGAAGATTCTGTTGTACCTTATATAATTCAGGTGATACCATCTCCCTTTCATTGGCTACTCTCATCTCAGCCTCTGTTTTTTGGTGGTCCAGTCTACACTGGGTCTTTCTGTTAGGAGTTCCATGGCTCTTCCAGGCAATCCTCCTAGGCAAGATTTTAAAGGGTTTAAGCCAGCTCTCCTTCCAAAGAAACCTTCCACCCTGACAAACTCTTGGAGTGCAGGCCACTTGATATAATCATTTATTTGACCTTCACCCCTGTAGTTGGAACAGCTAGCTAGTCCACCACTGCCTTTCACATGTCCTAGGCAAGAGTTAGATATTGGTCCACTGCATCCCATTACCTGCAGGAGTTACATATCAAGGTCTCCAAGTGGTCCCATTGAAATGGCTCCCCCTTGGCTTAAGAATAAGAAAGTATCACCCAACCCTGCTTATTGGGAGAGAGGGAGGAGAAATCCTCACAAGCTTATGTCTCTCCAGAAAAGTCCTCTTCAAAGAAGCCCTACAGCAACATCTCTTTACCTCCCTGAGGATGAGGGGCTTGAGAACTGTGCAACTGGTTTTTGATTATCTACTTTGAAACTCCCACAGAAGGGTATGCTGACAACTTTGCCATCTAATATCTATTGCCTTAGGGTTTCTGGTGGACACTTCCTATTTGAAATCTATTACACTTATATTTGTGGACTAAACAATACTTGGATGTGATGTATTATTCTTTTACTATCCTAATGGATTAAATTTACCAGTGTTTTATTTAAGATTTTGTAATCTATGTTTATAAATGAAATTGACCTATACATGTGCTTTTTTTGTACAGACCTTGTGTCATGTAGCAGGACAGAAATTTGCATACTATGACTCAGATGTGCGAAAGAATGTTAACATTTGTTACTTTCTGTAATGACTCCTATTTTAGACTCAAGCCTCAATTCCTACTAATAGCAGGGGGAAATTTTTAAATTGTGTTTATGTCTCTGTGAGTTTAAATAGAATTTAATTCATTCAAAATTCACACTCCCAGCTGAGTGCGGTGGCTCGTACCTGTGATCCCAGCACTTTGGGAGGCCAAGGTAGGTGGATCATTTGAGGTCAGGAGTTCGAGACCAGCCTGGCCAACATGGTGAAACCCTGTCTCTACTAAAAATACAAAATAAATTAACCAGGTGGTAGTGGCGCATACCTGTAATCCCAGCTACTCAGGAGGCTGAGGCAGGAAAATCACTTGAGCCCGGGAAGTAGAGGTTACAGTGAGCCGAGGTCACACCACTGCACTCCAGTCTGGGTGACAGAATGAGACCCTGTCTCAAAAAAAAAAAAAAAAATTCACACTCCCTGCTGGCTATTTTCTCCCCTCATAAAAGCAGGAGGAGAATACCACACTGTCCTGTGGCCTTCCCTGAGATGTCCCTCATCCCACTGTTGAAGCTGACAGAGGGAAACTTGGCTGTATCTTATCTTTTGTGGCATCATTTTGCTGCCTATTACTGAGATTCTTCATTCCTGCATTCTGTGCTCTGCTTATGCAACCTAAGGCTTCCTGCAGCCAAGTGGTTCCCCTCAGCACCATCTGTCCCCTGAGGAATCCAAGGAACTCTTGACTGCTTTCTCCTTGACATGATGTACTTGTGGGATCCTGGGAGGCTGCTCTCAGACTTCTCCCTCATCCGTTACTACCTGAGTCATACTGAACATGGTACCAACCCCAATACAGGGTTGTTCCAAGGAACCTGCATCATCTGAAACAAAATCTGGAAAGTGGGCATGAGCCATGTTTTGGAATTTCACCAGATCTGTATCCCCAAATCACTTATTTCTGGCCTCCCACTCCTTTGTCTCTCACACTCTCTGCTTTTCCCAATTATCAGAAGAACTTCCTGCTTTCCCTTCCTGTCTCTCAGGAATTCTTCTACCAAATACCCTTTTCCTTCCTACGTGGCATTAACCCTTGCCTACTTTGATTGAATAACAGTACAGGCAAGGGAGTGGCAGGGAAATAATCCAAATTATTAAGAGAAAATGCAGCCAGGCATGGTGGCTCACACCTGTAGTCCCAGCACTTTGGGAGGCCAAGGTGGGTGGATCTCTTGAGTCCAGGAGTTTGAGACCAGCCTGAGCAACATGACGAAACCCTGTCTCTACTAAAAATACAAAAAGTTAGCCAGGTGTGGTGGCACGCACCTGTAGTACCAGCTACTTGGGAGGCTGAGGTGGAAGAATCACCTGAGCCCAGGAAGTTGAGGCTGCAGTGAGGAATGATAGCACCACTGGGTGACAGGAGTGAGACCCTGACTCCAAAAAGAGAGAGAGAGAGAGAGAGAGAGAGAGAGAGAGAGAGAGAGAATATGCATTAGGGTATTTTCTACAAACACTTCAACTAGCTTACTTACATTTAAGCCCAAGATATTTATTGTTCTTATGCTTTTGCTGCTAAATCAAGGATAGACTCACACATAATATTTCTCTATTATACTGGTGGGTTAGCACACTGCCTATTTCCTCCAAGTGGTTTAATCAGCTTCTTGAAACCCATACTAATAACTATTACATGTAATTCATTTCCCTTTCCCTTGCAGATAAAAGTGGCCAACTAGATGTAAGCAGAAGTCACTGGGTAGGCTTCTTGGAACTCTGTCATTATTGCCCTTCTTCCGTTTGTCCTTTCTGTTGCTTGGAAGGCAGATGAGGTGGCTAGAGCTTCAAAAGCCATATTGGACCAAGAGTAACCTAGAACATGAAGGTGTGTGCCAAAGATGGCAGAGCACATGGAAAGGGGAGATCCTGGATGCTTAATGACCAAGGAGCAGCCACACCAACCCTGAACTGCCTAACTCTGCTCTTCTTTATTCTGAGGAAGAAATATGCCTCTTTTGTATTTAAGTTGCTTTAATTAGTATCTTCTACAAACAACCACATGTAATTTCTTACAAATTATTCAGTTAAGTGATGTATTCAGTCATACAACTAGGTCAGGCACTTGTAATCCCAGCACTTTGGAAGGATGAAGTGGAAGGACCACTTGAGGCCAGGAGTTGGAGACCAGCCCGAGCAACATAGGGAGACCCCATCTCTACAAAAAATTTAAAAATGAGCAGGGCATGGTGGTGCATGCCTGTAGTCCAAGCTACTGGGGAAGTTGAGGCAGAAGGATCACTTGAGCCCAAGAGGTCGAGACTGCAGTGATCTATGATTGTGTCACTGCACTCCAGCCTAGGTGACAGAGTGAGATCCTGTCAAAAGAAAGAAAGAGAGAAAAAGAAAAAAGAAAGAGAGAGAGACAGAGAGGGAGAGAGAGATGGAGGGAAGGAAGGAAGGGAAGGAGGGAGGGGAATTTTTAAAAAACTAACAAAGTCATACAACTAGTAAGATGTTAATACTCAGATTTATCTAGCTCCAAAGCCCATATTCTTGCCTTTCCAGGAGGAAACTTCTCTTTTACAAGAGGAAAATAGTATATTTTTATAAAGTATCTGCAATAAAATGAAAAAAATCGTAGTTGGCTCCACCATATTTAGGGAAAGGTAATTATTTTTTACATCTAGAGTTCTTTATGTGAGAAAGCATTTCAGCTAGCAAAATAGTTCTCTATTAGATGTATGCAACATAAAATTATAGAAACACACCGTGACCTATCAAACTAGACATAATTTATTTCCTATCTCTGACTTTTTCTATTAATATTAATTGGCTTCTTATTCATTTCTTTTGTTGTCAGCTAGCATACACTGACAGACAAGCAGAAAGAGGTACCAATGTTGAGGAAAATTAATAGGGAACGTTTTTGAAATCTATAACAAATTATATTCATTAATGTAACTTTTTTCATTTGGAAAAAAATCCACAATTATTTAACTGTAAGTCTAATGCATTAGGTCTACCTTATGGGACACATAGCTTGCATTCTCTAATCTATATGATTGCCCGATGAGGACTTAGACTATCAGGATGGAAAAGACATAGAAGACAAGGAATAGATAGGCTTTGTGGGCCATCATGAACCTAGAAGCCTGTATAAACATTTGAGCCTTTAAAGTTTAAGAGATCATTTAATGAGAATAGGAAATCAACCATATGTACTATTTAACCTACACGTTCTAAATTGCTACTGAGGAAAATATCAGTAGAATAAGTGAGGAAAATTGTGATACATTTTTGGTAAAATACCAAAAAGCAACATAAGGTTTTTAGAATGGTTTATTAAATAATACTGTTATTATCATCTCCTTTTGGAAAAAGAAGAAATGATTGTCTGAGGCTGTTGAAAACATTCAGAGTTTGAGTGTCCTGTGTAGCAGAAAGGAAGGTAAAACTGTGATTTATCAGCAGATGCCACTTTTTGGTTTTAAGGTTTTATAGTAGGTAGAATAATGACACCCCCACCCCCACAAAGACA
The DNA here is from genome assembly GCF_000001405.40 of Homo sapiens. Taxonomy (NCBI): domain Eukaryota; kingdom Metazoa; phylum Chordata; class Mammalia; order Primates; family Hominidae; genus Homo; species Homo sapiens. The sequence goes on from NC_000001.11 coordinate 42,362,495, forward strand.
TCCATGTTCTAATCCCCAGGACCTGTGACTATGTTACCTTATGTAGTAAAAGGGGCTTTGCAGATGTGATTAATGTAAAGGTTTTAAAATAGAGATATTATTCTGAATAATCTGAGTGGGCCTGATATGGTTTGTATTTGTGTCCCCACCCAAATCTCATGTCAAATTGTAATCCCCAATGTTGGAAGAGGGGCCTGGTGGGAGGTGATTGGATCACGATGGCAGATTTCCTCTTTGCTGTTCTCATAATAGTGAGTTCTCACGAGATCTGGTTGTTTAAAAGTGTGTAGCACCTCCTCCTTCACTCTCTTCCTCCTGCTCCAGCCATGAACGACATGTCTTCTTCCTCCTTGCTTTCTGCCATGATTGTAAGTTTCCTGAGGCCTCCCCAGCCATGCTTCCTGTACAGCCTGTAGAACTGTGAGCCAATTAAACCTCTTTTCCTTATAAATTACACAATCTCAGGTATTTCTTTATAGTAGTGTGAGAATGAAGTAATACAGGGCCCAATGTAATAACAAGGGTCATTAAAAGATGAAAGAGGGAAGCTGAAGAGAGAGGAGATTTGACTACAAAGACAGAGGTCAGAGTGATGTCATTATTGAAGGAGGCCATGAGCCAAGGAAGGGAGAGAAACAGCCCCTAGAAGTTGAAAAAGGCAAGGAACAGATTCTCCCCTAGAGCCTCCAGAAGGAACACAGCCCTGCCTTGACTTTAGCCCCATAAGACCCATTTCTACACTTCTGATCCCCAAAACTATAAGATAATGCATGTCTGTTGTTTCAAGCCACAAAGTTTGTGGTAATTTATTATAGCAACAATAGGAAATAAATATGAGTTTCAAACTTTTATTTGCTTAAGCAAGGTAAAACAACTGAATCAATAGGAAGTGAGAGGGGTAGTAGGTCCTGCCCATTCTCCTCTCCTCTCAACTTCCCTCACCACTTTCTTTTTGGACACACAGTCTCATTCCATCACCCAGGTTGGAGTGCAATGGTGTAATCTCGGCTCACTGCAACCTCTGCCTCTCAGCTTCAAATGATTGTCATGCCTCAGCCTCCTGAGTAGTTGGGACTACAGGCGCCTGCCACTATGCCTGGCTAATTTTTGTATTTTTAGTAGAGATGGGGTTTCACCATGTTGGCCAGGTTGCCTCGAACTCCTGGCCTCAAGTGATCCACCCGCCTCAGCCACCCAAAGTGCTGTGATTACAGGCATGAGTCACCGCGCCCTGGCTGATATCACCACTTTCTAAGGAGTTTGTTTTAAATGGAAATATGCAAATCAAGGAACAAACCATGGGCCTTGGAGAAATGGCTGGTTCCAAAATTAGGACAGAAAATATACAAGATGAATCTGAAACATCTTCTAGTGCCAGAAATAAGGAAATGCTAAAAAGCAACATAAACATAACTAAACAAAACCAAAAACCACAATAACACAATGATGGGAATATGTTAAAGAGAAACAGGGACCAACTGAAAGAACTCTCAATGGCCAAAGCTGGAACAATTTGAGCAACAAAATAAACAAATTAGTATTGGATTATAACCCAATGAACAAAATAAATATCCATGAAATCCAGGGTGACTCTTTCCTTCCAAATTCTGAACAATGCGCCCACATGAAAAACTGCATTTCCCATTTCTCTTGCAGATAGGAACAGCCAATTGGATGAAAGCATAAGTCACTGAATGAAATAAATAAGTGATTGAAGAATAAGTAAATGAGGAGAAGAGTTGAATCTCCCATGCAAACGAATTCAAAATAATTTATGTAGCTACTCTGCCCTGAAGGAAGCAAGCATACCACCCCACTCCTTAGTGTGGGCTGTGCATAGCGACGCTTTCTTCCAAAGAGTACAGCTGGGACTACAGGCATGCACCACCAAGCCTGGCTGATTTTTAAAATTATATATTTTTTGGTACAGACAGGGTCTCACTTTGTTGCCCAGGCTGGTCTCGAGCTCCTGGGCTCAAGCAATCCTTCTGCGTTGGCCTCCCAAAGTGCTGGGATTACAGGCATCAGCCACCATGCCTGGCCCCAGGCTCTTTTACTGGGACATAGGACTTGGTACATAGACAGGTACTATCTCTTGGAAATGGCGGTATTCTGAAAGACTTCCTCCGTGTCTCATATGGCTTGTCAGCAGTCTCTGGAGATGTGATGTATATTATACAGACCTAGTCTGAGTCTTATCTCCTATAGGCCAGGACTCACTCTCCTATTCTTGTAGATAACTAAGGGGGTATCTGGAATCCAAGCTGTGCCATCAACAGAGTACAGATTATAGCTTATGAGCATAAACAACATCACAGATCAAGCAAGGCCAGAAGATAGCCAGTACCCTTTGGGCCACATTTGGAACTATCCAGAATGGCTACAACATATTTTTTTTTTCTTTTAGGAGAGATGGAGGGCTCTCTATGTTGCCCAGGCACATCTTGAATTCCTGGCCTCAAGCAATCCTTTCACCTCAGCCTCCTAACTAGCCAGGATTAACAATATAATACTTTATCCTAATGTTACCAGTTGTCTGTGAAGTTGTGCACAGCCTCTAAAGGTACCACAGAGAGCTTTACTATGCGTGTAGGTCTTAGGAATATATTTCTCTAGAGATATGATGACACCACCCACCCCCCCAAAAAAGCAACTGATGGGGAATGTTTAGATGTATCTTAAACCTAGGTTGAAAGGAACGTTTAGTGAACCCATGACTAAATTATTTTCCAACACTATCTCTCATTGCCCCTGTGCCCAGCCACCAAACACCTTCCTGGAAGACAAGTGCACACTTTGCGTCTGCACCTCTGGTTATCACCAGCTTGGGCTTGTTCCCTCTTGGTATTTGGCTCAGGGCAGCTGATTTGTCCTTGGTCCCTGGTGTCTATGAGTTTCTTGAACAGCCTACAGACACTTCCAATGAGACTATGGAATGATGGCATTTTAAAGCTGGCCTTAGAGGTTATCTAAAGCCCTTCATTTTGCAGATGGCTAGTGAGGTTTTAGAGGCCTTTCTATTTTTGTTGTTTTTTTTTGTTTTTGACATGGAGTTTCGCTCTTGTTGCTCAGGCTGGAGTGCAGTGGCACGATCCAGCTCACTGCAGCCTCCGCCTCCCAGGCTCAAGCAATTCTCCTGCCTCAGCCTCCCAAGTAGCTGGAATTACAGGTGCCTGCCACCATGCCCGCCTAATTTTTATATTTTAGTAGAGACGGGGTTTGTTGCGTTGGCCAGGCTGGTCTCGAACTCCTGGCCTCAGGTGATCTGCCCGCCTCGGCCTCCCAAAGTGCTGGGATTATAGGCATGGGCCACCATGACTGGCCAGTTTTAATGGCTTTTCTAATGTCACATGCTAGCTAGTTAGCAGTGCTAGGCAGGACAAGAACTTGGGTCTCCCAGTTCGATGGTTTCTTTCCTACTACCCATGTTGCCTCCTATATAGTCTGCCTAATCTATGCTATATACAGTGCACGCTCTTCTATTGAATATAACTAAATTATCTGATGTAGTCAAATAAAAACTGCACCTAGGAGCCTTCAGTTGGCTTCAAGATAAAAAAAAATAAAATATGTAGGCTTCAGCAAGACATGACAAAATAAATACAAGATACTGATTGTATGTTGTCACCTTCCCAGGCAAGAAAGGACAGGGCCAATGACTATTAATTTTTCCAAGTAAGGGGTATGGCTCATCTGACTTTTGCTTTTCACCAGGGGTTTAGTTTGTAGGTCCAGGACTGACTTAGTTGGCCAATCAGTGTGAAGGTCAATTATTCAAAATAGTTGTATTCACATTGCTGAGATTATCATATATGAAGATGTAGTTTGATGATGGGGTGGTGCTATGGTTTGACTGTTTCTGTCCCCCCAGAATTCACATGCTAACACCTAACACCAATGTGATGGAATTAGGAAGTGGGGACTTGAGAGGTGATCAGGTCATGAAGGCAGAGCCCTCACGATTGGGATTAGTGCCCTTATAAAGGAGACCCCAGACAGCTGTGTTGCCGCTTCTGCCATGTGAGGACACAGCAAGAAGTTACCATCTATGAACCAGAAAATAGGCCCTCATCAGACATCTAATATGCCATCGCCTTGATCTTGAACTTCCCAGTCTCCAGAACTATGAGCAATACGTTTTTGTCATTTGTAGGCCAATAAGTTTATGGTATATTATTATAGCAGGCCTAATAAAGACAGGTGAGGTGGGCTTGTGCCCCTAGCTGCTCTCACAATGTTATGTTTATGGTAGTGGCATTCTTCTGATACAATGGCAAACAGAAGAGATGTACTTGTTCCTAACCTTTCAGAGGAAACAGCCAGAGTTATGCTGCTGCTAGCCTGCAGGGAAGCTTTGTCTGAAATTTTTTTTTTTTTGAGACGGAGTCCCGTTCTGTCACCCAGGCTGGAGTGCAGTTGCGCGATCTCGGCTCACTGCAAGCTCTGCCTCCCAGGTTCACGCCATTCTCCTGCCTCAGCCTCCCAAGTAGCTGGGACTACAGGCAGCCGCCACCACGCCCAACTAATTTTTTTTTTTTTTTGTATTTTTATTAGAGACAGGGTTTCACCGTGTTAGCCAGGATGGTCTCAATCTCCTGACCTCGTGATCCACCCGCCTTGGCTCCCAAAGTGCTGGGATTACAGGCGTCACCTCCTGGCTAGGCGCAGTGGCTCACGCCTGCAATCCCAGCACTTTGGGAGGCCGAGGCAGGTGGATCACTTGAGGTCAGGAGTTCAAGACCAGCCTGGCCAACATTGCATATCCCCATCTCTACTAAAAATACAAAAAAATTAGCCAGGCATGGTGGCACATGCCTGTAGTCCCAACTACTTAGGAGGCTGAGGCAGAAGAATTGCTCGAACCCAGGAGGTGGAGGTTGCAGTGAGCTGAGATCACACCACTGCATTCCAGCCTGGGTGACAGTGAGACTCTCAAAAAAATAAAATAAAATAAAATAAAATAAAATAAAATAAAATAAAATAAAATGTCACTTCCTTACGACCTATGGAATAAACTTTTTAGCATGACATAAGAGGCCCTATGGGACCTTCAGCTTTCCACTCTAGTAATATCCAATTACTTGAAATTCCCTGAACATGCTTTTCTGTGTCTTATCTCCATGACTATTTATGGTAAATCTTTCTCACATTTCTTTGCTTGCTAGAATCAGCTCAAGTAATATGTTCTCCCTGATGCATGGTGGCTTGGTACCCTTAAGCAAATAAAAAAAGTATGTCTTCTACCTGGAGAACACAAAAAGGTAGATGTACAGCTTAGTAAGCTGGATTTCATGCTAGACTTCAGTTCCCATGTTTGCTTTCATGGGATGCCCTTATGCACTGAACGACCTATATAACTGTTCCTAATTACACAACTGCATGAACTAGTCCCTGCCAGAGTATCTGAGATGCCCATGGGCACTTTTCCAAATAGACCACTGAGAGGAGGTCCGGGAAAAAAAGCACAAGCAGTGGCCTGAGCAGCAAAGTGGCCAACAGTGGTCCAGCTAAGTGGTTTTAGTGGCAGCCTAAGGGAACCACAAAGCAGGTGTTCACACTAAAAGCAAGCAGTGGTCAGTGCAGAACATCAAGAGTAGAAACAAGCAGAAGTATGAAATGAAGCCTGGGCTGTTTGGTGCGAACATGTGAGATATTTACTGGAGAGTCTCAGCATTAGAAAGGAGAGTGTGACCCACATGAATTCTGAGTCTCACGAGGCTACTAGTTATACCACCCCACTTCCCCGCCACAGGGCCCAGCCAATCGTACCCTGTACTCTTGGCCACAATGACTAGTCCAGGGCTAGAATGTGACTTGAGTCAGGCCAATCAAAGTTCTTCCTGGGAATTTTTTCATTTGGAGATAGAAGAAAAGTTATCCAGCCTTCCAGATAAAGAACATTTAGAATGTGAATGAGGGCTATCTTCCCTGCCTTGTGGAGGAAGGTAATTCCCATAGAAAAGAATGGGATCAATGAAGAATAAGAAGGTTGGGATTGAAAAAAATGAGAAAGGCCAATTTGGAAAATGCATTTTAGTCTCTGGATCTACTTGTGACTGAAGTCCATTCCTAGCCTTCCAAGGACCGTGAGTCAGTACACTCCCTTGCCGCTTATGCTAAATTGGATTTCTGTCATTTGTAAATGAATAACTTCTAACTAATACAGGCAGGGAAACTTGGAAGGGTTCTCGGTACTTGAGCTGCCCAGGTGGGACCTATCTGTGACTCTTCCATGACCTTTTGGAATTGAGAATTTTCAGTTCATGACAAATTACCAATTCATTTTCAGCTCATCAAGAACACTAGAGTTCCCTGCCTCTTACTTCCCTGGATATTACTGAGTTCTTTTGACAATCTGACTAAATTGCTGACTTTTTAAGGTTAAATCTCCTTGTTCTGATCCACAGCTTTGACACACAGAAGGGCAGATTATGTGGCTGCCCAAATCATCCATCTGACCTGGGAATTGTACCTTGCTGAACAATTACCAAAGTTATACCAAAAAGATAGAAAATAATGCATAAGATCTTCCTAGTAAGCCCTTTTATAAAATAAAGAACATCTACCATATGAATAACCTTCTCAATACCCTGGTTTGCATGCTCACATATTCATATTTTAAGCATGTATGTAGATATGTATATGTATGTGTGTGTGTGTGTGTGTGTGTGTGTGTATATATATATATATATATATATATATATATATATATATATATTCATCCAAAGAAAGTCTGTACAAGTTGCTTTTTGTGTCAGTGATATGCCACAAAGCTGTTAATCCATTCTCATCATGGACCAGTTAGTTTAAAATAGAAGGTACCAATAATACTTATCAATCTTAAAATGGAAAACATTCACAAGTCAGGCAGAATAGAGTCTTCGCAGTGACAAGTGGAAAATGGCCAGAGCCCACTAGGAGCAGAACTGGGAGGAAATGATCTACCTAAACGATCATTTGTCAGTGTCCAAAGACAATAAACCAGAATTGAATTCCCCCAGGTCTCACCATCAGGAAAATCCATAGCAGGTGAAGCCTAGCAGCAAGAGCTTCCAAGATCAAAGGCAGTAAATGGCAGTCATGCCCTTTAGCAGCTAGCCCCTAGGGGTAACCAAAACAAACTTTAGGCTCCTCAAAGGAGGAAATTCACAAGGACTAGAAAGAGGATTGGGATCCTAGACCAGCAGCAGCCTCAGGCTAGTGCTTCCAAACCAGTGAGAACAAGAATGTCTACTAATACAGCCTGGCTATTACAGATGTAAGCTACAACCCAGTGAGCATGCAAGGGCTCAGGCAATGGCACAACATCTTTCACCCACTGGTAGGCAAAAGGAATTCAGCTCAAATTAGGAACTAAAGGTACAAATACGACTAAGACATAGCATACTTGCTCTCAAGGTGCTTACAATCTAGATGGTGACAGAGCCGAAAGGAGATGATTTCAAACTTTTGCAGTCAGTGGGGGAATTTGACAAGTGCCAGAGGAGATGAATGCATAGTGTGCTATGAGAAGACAAAGAAGAGTCAGTTGCCCCAGACTGAGTTTTAGGAACACTTGGAGATGATGTTATTTGAGCTGATTCTAGCAGGCAAAGAAAGGTGAGAAAAATTTACCATAAACAGTCATGGAAGGGAAACACAGCAAAGCAAGTTCAGGGCATGTCAAGTAATTGGATATTACTAGAGTGGAAAGCTGAAGGTCCCATAGGGTCTCTTATGCCATGCTAAGAAGTTTATTCCACAGGCCATGGGGAAGTACGGTGGAAACTGCTCATCATCCCTATCATCATTTCTCCTCTTCCTTTTTGTAATGGAAGCCGTTCTCTCTTCCACTACATTTAGCTGAGCATATGTCTATCCAGTTAGGGAATATATTATCCAGCCTTCCCTGCAGTAGATGTGACCATGTGACCAAGTTCTAGCCAATGAGATGTGAATGGAAGTTAAGAGTACAACTTTGATGTTATGTCATTAAAAGCAAGCTACTTGCTCTCCACCTTCTCTTTCCCTTCTTTCTCCTTCCAGAGGTCTAGACACAGATGTGGCCAAGTGAGCCAGGCTCAACCATGCAAACAATGAGCACATCCTGGAGTAGGTGGCACACTGAGATGAAAGAAACCTGGGTTCCAAGATGAACAACTGGAGCGGAGCTATCTGTATAGTCAGACATCCACCTTACTGGACTATTAAGTGAGAAAGAAATAAACTTCTTATTGAGTCACTGTCTTTTGGGGGGTCTATGTTATAGCAGCATAGCCTGTATCCTAACACGGAAGGGAAGGAAACAGTGTTGAGGCTCCTAATCTAATTCCTGACTTGGTCAGAAATGACTAAGAGACTAGGAAAGGCTGAGACAACAAATGTCTATCCTTAATGATTATAGCTAAGTGAAGCTAAGGCTGGCAGATAACAGGATAAGCAACTATGCAGCCTTGTCTTGGGAGGGATAGGAAAAGTCCCTTGAAAACTATAAACCTCTACCTGGTTCTAGGAGCCAACTTCATCCAGAGCAGGATTGCAGCCAGCAACCACCTGAATGCCTTCTTTGCACTCCACCCTGCAAAACTATGTCCATTGCCACCTTCAAAAGCTGACTCCAACAAGCCTGCTAATAAGACTTCCTTGACTAACCCCACTTAGTCATTTTGTGTTAATTATGTCTGCAGAAAGGAAAAGGTATTTATGATCCTCCTCTGTTTTCTGAAGAGGATGGCTCTTCTAATTGGAAGAACTTCTGTGTTGCTGAACAGAGTCATTTGTCCAGGGTACACTTTTTGGAAGCATGAGCTGGGATAAAATGTTTTCCTCTGACTAATGAAGGGCTGAGGAATTTGAAAGAGGCTCTGGAGTGGGAGAGTTAAGAGCAGCAAAGCTGGAGGCTTGGAGGGTGGAGAAGAGTACAAAAAACACTCTAGTAGCAGAACCAGAGAGGGTACTCTGGAAAATAGTTTATAGAGGGATTACTAAATGAATTGTTGCAAGCTACATGATGCAAATTGTGTCTCTACTTCAGTAAATTCTGCCTGGTTCACTAAGGCCCTTGTTTGAGAGGACACAGGGGGTGTGAGCTTGAATAAGAGGATGAGGCTGATATCTGGATGACATATAACATCTGAAAAAAAAAAAAAACTAGAGCAAGGAAAGTCAGAGACAGTGCCAGAGATTAAACTTCTAGAATTTCACACACCCTCCCTTATTAATTCTATAATTTAAAAATTATATAGATTGCATTGCCATAATCTAAGAATTATCATTCACCCAATATGCAATCAGAGTGCACATTACTAAAATAATTGCTTGAGTTATTAAATGCTTACAATAATTCAGAAATGGAACCCTTTCTTCTAGCTGGGCTTGAGGTGGATTTTAGGGAAGGCAACATGGAACAAGTTGTGTTTAAGCTGGGTCTTGAAGTGTGGACAGGAATTGGTTACGCAAATACTTTTCAGAGGCAGGGAACAGCAAAGATGATGTGACCAAAGTCAATGTCACACTTTCTTCCAATAAATATGTATCAATATCCACCGTGTGCCACACACTGTGCTAGGTCACAGAGATATGAAGATTAATTTGGCCTCCCAGGCTTCTGTTAATATAGCCCCCAATTTTTCTACACATTCCATTACTGGTTTGCCACATCTATCAGGCCCTTCTTGGCACATTTCTGTGTGGTCAGTTTTTCCCTTGAATTCTATTGTGTGTGATGCTATTGGTTGATTAATTGAAATGGAGTTTCGCTCTTGTTGCCCAGGCTGGAATGCAGTGGCACGATCTCAGCTCACTGCAACCTCCACCTCCCGGGTTCAAGTGATTCTCCTGCCTCAGCTTCCCGAGTAGCTGGGATTACAGGCACGCACCACCACACTCAGCTAATTTTTTGTATTTTCAGTAGAGATGGGTTTTCATCATGTTGGCCAGGCTGGTCTTGAACTCCTGACCTCAGGTGATCCACCAGCCTCAGCCTCTCAAAGTGCAGGGATTACAGGCATGAGCCACTGCACCCAGCCATGTGATGCTTTTTTTTCTCTCCTTAATTATACCACTTTTCCGTTTATCCTAGAGCATTTTATGTAAGTTTTTAAATTTTTAATTTTTGTGGGTACATAGTAGGTGTATATATTTGTGGGGTACATGATATGTTTTGATACAGGCATGCAATGTGAAATAATCACATCATGGATTGATGCTTGAGGGGTATCCATCCCCTCAAGCATTTATCCTTTGTATTAGGAACAATCCAATTACTTTAGTGCATTTTAACCTGCTATTGACAACAGTTTCTCTAATTTATTGAGGTAGCTTGAATTTTGATCTTCTATATACTTGGCAGATCCATCTTCTTGGGGATATATGTAATGTTTATAAAGACACTCCTTCTACTGTCCAGTCCCATATCTCAATACCTTTCTATGCCAATATATAGTGAAGGTTGAAAGAAAGATAAGAAAGCCCCAGAACCCCAGGTTACGAAAGCCTGCTATATCTGTATTGGCCACAGTTTTGTAAACTGAACTTGCAATGATGTTTCTTAAATGACAACCACAATTGCTACCAACAGAAACTGAGTGCCTATCACATGTAGAAACAGTATGCATGATGCATTGCCCCTGACCTTGACAGGCTTAATCTAGATGGGGAGGTAATTAGACAACGCACATATTCTGTTTGGTAGGAGAATTTTCCACTCATCTTCCCAATGGAATAAGAGACAACAAAATGTGGGAACAGAGGAATTATCTCCTCTCCCCTGTCCTCTTACGGCTATGATCACAAGGAAGAAGCAGATATTAACCTGATTGGTCAAAGCCCAGGCCAAAGGAAAATATTTTTTATTTTATTTTTTATTTTTATTTTTTGAGATGGAGTCTTGCTCTGTCACCAGGCTGGAGTCCAGTGGCACAATCTTGGCTCACTGCAACCTCTGCCTCCTGGGTTCAAGCAATTCTCCTGCCTCAGCCTCCGGAGTAACCGGGACTACAGGCGTGCGCCACCAGGTCCAGTTATTTTTTGTATTTTTAGTAGAGATGGGGTTTCAACATGTTGGCCAGGATTGTCTCAATCTCTTGACCTCGTTATCTGCCTGCCTCAGCCTCTCAAAGTATTGGGATTACAGATGTGAGCCACTGCACCCGGCCGATTTTTTTTTTTTTTTTTTTGAGATGGAGTCTCACTCTGTTGCCCACACTGGAGTGCACTGGCGCAATCTCGGCTCACTGCAAACTCCACCTCCTGGGTTCCAGCAATTCTCTCACCTCAGCCTCCCGAGTAGCTGGGACTACAGGTGCCCACCACCACGGCCGGCTAACTTTTGTATTTTTAGTAGAGATGGGATTTCTCCATGTTGGCCAGGCTGATCTCGAACTCCTGACCTCAGGTGATCCACCCACCTCAGCCTCCCAAAGTGGCTGGGATTACAGGCATGAGCCACTGCGTCCAGCCTAGATGTATTTTTTATGTGCTCACACAACACTTTCGACACCAAATGTGTGGGTCTCTTCTACAACAAGCAATTCTCCAATTCTTTTCGTACACCAACTGGGTATCCTACAATTCAATTCAATTCAATTCTGACACTATCTACTGGTGCTAGCATCAGATGCTAAAAGTTAAGAGCTTGGTCCCATAAGACTGCCCTCACTTCAAATGCCAGTCACAAGTCTGGGCCTCCTGTGCTTCTGACTAACTAGTTATAAATTGGGGCTTCCTACGACCCCCTCCTTGGGTTCAATAGTTTGCTAGAATGGCCAGGTGTGGTGGCTTACACCTGCAATCCTAGTGCCTTGGGAGGCTGAGGTAGAAGGACTGCTTGAGGCCAGAGTTTGAGGCCAGCCAGGGTAATATGGCAAGACCTCATCTATACAAAAAAATTATTTAAAAAAATTAGCTGGGCTTGGTGGCACATGCCTATAATCCCGGCTACTTGGGAGGCTGAGGCAGGAGGATCGCTTGAGCCCAGGAGGTTGAGGCTGCAGTGAGCTGTGATTGTGCCACTGCACTCCAACCTTGGTAACAGAGCTAGACCCTGTCTATAATATAAATGTTTAAAAATTTTGCTAGAATGGCTCACAGAAGTCAGGGAAATACTTCACTTACGTTTTCTGGTTTATCATAAAGGATACCATTTAGGAAGAGCCTTGGAAGAGATGCATAGGCAAAGTGTGGGGCGAGGAACGTGGAACTTCCATGTCCTCTCCAGATGCACCACCGCCCAGCAACTTGATGTAGTCACCAACCCAGAAGCTCTTGGAACCCTGTCCTTTAGGGTTTTTTGTTTTTTTGGAGACGGAGTCTAGCTCTGTCGCCCAGGCTGGAGTACAGTGGCGTGATCTCGGCTCACTGCAACCTCTGCCTCCTGGGTTTAAGCAATTCTCCTGCCTCAGCCTCCCGAGTAGCTGGGACTACAGACGTACAGACGCACGCTGCCATGCCCAGCTGATTTTTTGTATTTTAGTAGAAACAAGGTTTCACCATGTTGCCCAGGCTGGTCTCAAACTCCTGAGCTCAGACAACCCGCCCACCTCGGCCTCCCAAAGTGCTAGGATTACAGGCATGAGCCATGGTGCCTGGCCTGTCCTTTAGGGTTTTTATGGAGGCTTCATTAAGTAGGAGTGATTGATTACATCATTGGCCATTGGTGACCAACTTAACCTTCAACCCCTTTCCTCTCTCTAGAGGCTGGGGTGGGTGAGTGGGTGGGGTTGAAAGTTCCAACTCTGTAATCAAACGGTTGGTTCCTCTGGTAATCAGCTCCTCATCTTTGGGAGATTTCCAAAAGTCACCTTACTAACATAAACTCAGGTGTGGTTGAAGGGGGCCTGTTAGGAACAACACAACTTTATCATTCTGGAGCTGTTTCAGGAGCCAGGGACTAAACCCAGTATTTCAGGAAAAGATGCTCCTATAGCTCCTATCACTTAGGAAATTACAAGGATTTTAGGAGATGTAGTCAGGAGCTGGGGACAGAGACCAAAATATATATCCCTTGTTATATCACAATATCAAACCAGGATATTTAGTCCACACTAGTGGTTGGGGCCACTTTGTGCTAAAGGATCATTCCCCATTTCCTTCTTTTCTTTCTTTCTTTTTTTTTTTTTTTTGAGACGAGTCTCCCTCTGTTGCCCACGCTGGAGTGCAATGGCGTGATCTTGGCTCACTGCAACCTCCGCCTCCTGGGTTCAAGCAATTCTCCTACCTCAGTCTCCCGAGTAGCTGGAACTATACAGGCGCCCACCACCACGCCCGGCTAATTTTTTTTTTTAGTACAGATGGGGGTTTCGCCATGTTGGCCAGGCTAGTCTCGAACTCCTAACCTCAGGTGATCCATCCGCCTCAGCCTCCCAAAGTGCTGGGATTACAGGCGTGAGCCACTGTGCCTAGCCCTCATTTCCTTCTGAGTAGGCCCAGACCAGTCTTCATTTAGCACACACTTGGATGAGTAAAGCTTTGCAGACCTGAGCATCTTCTCCTCTCTTTCTGTAGGCATGCCTAAGCATACTGGTCCCAAAACTTACAGCGCAGGGAGGGTGGGGCAGGGAATTAGGAAGCATCGCTTCAGCCTTAAACCTAAGCCATGCAATTCGATTCCATCTTTTTGCAGAGCTCTGCTTTAGATGTTGTTGGGTGCTAGCTCAGCTATGAATAAAATGATCCTTTGGTTTCTACTCCAGTTTTTCTTGGATATAGTTCCCTTGGGAACCCTAAGGAGAGGAGGGATGATTAGCAGAGCAGGATTTGGCTATTTCTGGTCTTCGATTGTAGCAGACTGTATAGTTGGTCACAATTGTTCACAAATTTTTGCTGCCTTTCCCAGGGAAGGATTATATTTCCTTTACTTCACTGACATCAGGTGTGGCCAGGTGAACTTGGTCTGGCCAAGAAAATGTGACCTGACCATGTGTAAGTGCCAGGCACAAGTATTAAGAGCCAGCATGTAGTTTATCATAATCACTTTCCTTCTTCCATGAGAGACCAACATATTCCAGATAAAGACTGCTCTGGGCTCGGTACAGTGGCTCACGCCTGTAATCCTAACACTTTGGGAGGCTGAGGCAGGCAGATCACTTGAGGCCAGGAGTTCAAGATGAGCTCGGGCAACACAGTGAGACCCCTATCTCTACAAAAAAAGAAAAACATTAGCTGGGTATGGTGGTGTGCATCTGTAGTCCTACCCTCTCAGGAGGCTGAGGTGGGAGGATTGCTTGAGCCCAGGAGTTTGAGGCTGCAGTGAGCTCTGATTATACCACTGCACTTCAGCATGGGCAACAGAGCAAGATCCTCTCTCTGAAAAAAAGAAATAGTAAAGACTGCTCTGTCAGCCTGGGTCCTGGCACAAAAACAACCTAGAGGATAGCCATACTGTCCTACTATGTATGAGTACATTTTCAGAAATAAGACTTCATTGTTGCAAGCCCTCTTGGGATCACTTGTCACCACAGCCTAACCTAGCTTATCTTGACTGATACATTTACCATATTGTCATCTATACGAAGCACCATTGTTTATCCTCCCAACATCTATTCTCCTTTTTTTTTGTTTTGTTTTGTTTTGTGATGGTGTCTTGCTCTGTGGCCCAGGCTGGAGTGCAGTGGTACAATCTCGGCTCACTGCAACCTCCACCTCCTGGGTTCAAGTGATTCTTGTGCCTCAGCCTCCCAAGTAGCTGGAATCACAGGCACGCGCCACCATGTCCGGCTAGTTTTTTTGTATTTTTAGTAGAGACAGGGTTTCTCCATGTTGGCCAGGCTGGTCTCGAACTCCTGGCCTAAAATGATCCGCCCACCTCAACCTCCCAAAGTGCTGGGATTACAGGCATGAGCCACTGCACCTGGCCATCTATTCTCCTTTCAATCCTCCTAAAATACCTCCAATCTTTCCCCAGTTCATCCACCTCTACATGGCCATGTGCTTGGAGGAAGGGAGTCTAATTCCCAGCCCCAAGGAATGAACCATAATGAAATTAAGCCATTCATGATAGTTTCCTTTTCTTTGCTGGTAACTGGCTTAGATGTGGGCATATGAGACTGGAAAGTCGACTTGAGGGCTTCTGAGAAAAGTTTTCCTTGCCGATTAAAAAAAGAGACACACAGGAAGAAATAGTCTCTCTGTTTCTGCTGGACATTGTGCATGTATGTACGTCAGCTAGAATTGTGGCAGCCATTTTGTAGCTATGAGGGGCACTAGCCCAAGGCTGTCAGAGTGAAAATATGGAAAGAGTCTGGGTCACTGATGATGAGGCAGGCAGATCACTTGAGGTCAGGAGTTAAGACATCAGCCTGGCCAACATGGCGAAACCCCACCTCTACTAAAAATAAAAAAAAATTAGCCGGGTGTGATGGCACATTCCTGTAATCCCAGCTACTCGGGAGGCTGAGGCAAGAGAGTCAATTGAACTTGGGAGGCGGAGGTTGCAGTGAGCCAAGATCGCGCCACTACACTCCAGTCTGAATGACAGAGTGAGACTGTCTCAAAAAAAAAAAAAAAAAAAAAGAATCCTAACGTACCTACCTCCAGGTTTCTTGTTATATGAGATAATTCATTTTCCTTTTTGTTTAAGACAGTTGAGCCTGGACTGGAGGGGAAAATAATTAGTTTAGCCTAGGGACATTGAGGTGATGGCAGAACAACATCCTTTTAAATCCTAAAGCTCAGGGAACATCAAGGTTAAATTTGAATTTGGGAGTCACCTATGGAGAAATATTCCATAAAGTAATACATCTTAGAAAGCAGACCTGTACCTGGAAAAGCTGCCTCTGTGCTTGAGGAATTCCGGTGACGTAAGAGAACATTGCACATACATGTGTAGTCATTTCCTAACTGGATATGCTACTGTCCCAGGTCTTTGTGTCCCATCTGGAGAAGGGGAGATCACAGAGCTGGTAGTGAGCTCCTGGTGAGGGAGTTCAGAGAAAGTGATTACAACATCTGGATCCCATCCTCAGATTCTGCTCTTCTCAAGCCTGGCTTTTATGGACCTTGATAGCCATCTACAGTTAACTTAAAACATTCTAGTCTAGTGTGGATGGCTTTGAAAATGGGTTATAAGTAACTTTTAAATTCACTGACTTATATATCTTTTAGTAAAGATATATGAAAATCAAGGTTCTGACTATCTTATAGACCTCCTATGGGTGATACTATAGAAGCCTTAAAGGAAGCATCACATTCTATGGGTGATACTGTAGGAGCCAGGGTTAAAAAAATGTATAACATGAAACATCAAGGAAAAGGCCAATGTAGAACATAGAGGTTCTAGAGCTCAAGCTTACGAAGTGTTAAACAAAAATTATGGGAGGCCATTGTTTTGGACTGAGCTTTTGCACCAGGCCACAACAGAATAGACCAAACCAAATCGAGTCCCTCCTGCTAAATGCCACATAATCAAACTTGAGGTACATCCCACAACAGACCAGCTTTTCCTGAAAACAGGAGATTTCAGTTTACCTGAGTCAGAATAAGGAAGTCCCCTCTGCTTTAACCCTTACCAAAAAAGTAACCCAAAGTAGCCTGATGTTAAGCAATCAGCTCTTCTTCCATTGCTCTATTTCCTTGTTCCCCTCTTTTAAAACCCACTCTTCTGCCATTGCCCAGTGAAAGCTCTCATTCTATTCTGTGGAATGGAGGCTACCCCAATTCATGAATCTCAAAAGCCAATTCAATCTATAACTAAATTTGTTGTAATTTTGTCTTTTGCCATAAAATAGTTTTGAAAGTTACCAATCCATAGGGCACTATTGTTACTTTAAGAAAATACATTCATAGAACGGGGGAGGAGATATTTTGCAACATCAAAATACTTACTTAAGATTGCTTGAAAAGGCCAGGCGCGGTGGCTCACGCCTGTAATCCCAGCACTTTGGGAGGCCGAGGCGGGTGGATCACGAGGTCAGGAGATCGAGACCATCCTGGCTAACACGGTGAAACCCCGTCTCTACTAAAAAATACAAAAAATTAGCCAGGCGTACTGGCGGGCTCCTGTAGTCCCAGCTACTCCGGAGGCTGAGGCAGGAGAACGGCATGAACCCGGCAGGCAGAGCTTGCAGTGAGCCGAGATCGCGCCACAGCACTCCAGCCTGGGCCACAGAGCGAGACTCCGTCTCAAAAAAAAAAAAAAAAAAAAAAAAGAAAAACATTGCTTGAAAAATAACTTTTGAAATTCCAGTATACAGAACTTTCCTATAGGCTCATCTTAGTGAGTAAATGCACACACCTGCACAATATTTACAGAGAAGCCTGTGCCTTCCCTGAGACAACTTACCCCATTTCTAAGTTGCCATTGCTGGGTCTACCTTGAAACTACTCTTGCTTCCCTAAGCCAAAAAAGAAATTAAAAAAAGGCATATTTTAATGAACTGGAAGAGCAAATGCAGTCTCCAAAAATGGCTAACTTCAATCCTGCAGTTATTTAGAAAGGAAAATCTGGCTTCAAACACTATTGTCTGCAGGCAGGGTTTGCAATTGGCCAGGACCAAGGACAGTGTTTAAAGATGACTCAGTTGTATGGCCTGGGGAGAGCGGGAGTGGTGAAGGGAGACCAGCCAGTGGTCCTTCTAACTGAAAAGGATGCTAGGTCAATTTTTTATGACCTCGAGTCTGTGAAGGCTCAGACCTGCTGAAACCTAGGAGGGGATGTCCAGTGTAAGAAAATCTGAGACCCCAGGAAATGCACTTTCAAATTATCTGAATGGGAGGTGGGTAAGACTCAACTTCCCCCTCTCCTACATCCTCCCCCACCCCCGTGGGGCTTCAGGCTAGGATTTCGGCAGAGAAATCCCTCTCCTTCCAATGCTTTAGGGTCCAACTGGGGACCTAGCCGTGTGACCTTCGCCATACCCCGGAATCTCCTTTGGGACGTCCCCGAGGCCCTCCCTGTCCGGGGCTCAGCAGGCGTCCGCCCGTGTCCCAGCCCCCGAGCGCCCGGGATCGCCTGGGAGACGCATCCGCCGCCCACTGCGCATCTCTGGCCCGTCAGCTCGGAAACCCTCCGAGCCTCACAGGGCCGCCGCCCCGGCCCCTCCTGCTCCGGCTGTCCCACCCCAGCCCGCAGCGCCACGTCCACCGGGTGTCCGGGGCCTGCCGGGGCTGCCCTCCTCCGCCTCGCCTGCGCCCGCCGGCGGCTCGCTCCCCGGAACCCCGGGTCCTTTCCCCCGCCGCCGCAAGCCCCCCACCCGCCGTCCTTCCCCGGCACCGCCCGCCAGGGTCGCTTCTGCAGCCGCCAGCGCCCGCCGCCGCGCGCTGATTGGCTGGCGGGGCCGACGGCGGCGCTGAGTGGCCGGGCGGATTCGCTGGGTCAGGGCTGCAGAGACGCCTGGCGCACCCGCGGGAGCGGAGCCGTGGCGCGCTCGCCCCGGACGCCGGCCGCCCCTCCGCTCGCCCTACTGAGCGAGCGGCCCGGGGCGCCGAGGGGTCCGCGCCGCGCGGGGCGCACCGCCCTGGCCGCCATGTGCTCCCAGCTCTGGTTCCTGACGGACCGGCGCATCCGCGAGGACTACCCGCAGGTGCAGATCCTGCGCGCCCTCCGGCAGCGCTGCTCCGAGCAGGACGTGCGCTTCCGGGCGGTGCTTATGGACCAGATCGCCGTCACCATCGTCGGCGGCCACCTCGGTGAGCGAGGCGGGCCCGGGGAGGGCAGGGAGGCGCGCCGGGGTCCACGAGAGCCGGTCGGGTGGGCGCGCTCGCCGGGCCTCCCGCAGCAGAGTCTCCTTCGGGCCCGCACACTAGCCGCACTCTAGCTGCGAGACTTCTTGGGGTTGGAGAAAGCCGCTAACCTTCATAGCTTCTTTAACCACCACCACCTGCCCCGAGGCCAAGATTCGAGAACGCGATTTAATTTACTTAGGGGACTTCATTTTGTGAGAAACCCGAATTCACCTGAAGCCACCCAGGTGTCCGAGGAAAATCAGGCTGTTAAACCCCACATTTGCAAATCCTGCTCGCATCAATACCTTGACAGTTTAGACTCTGAGGTTTCTAGAAATCCACACCAGATTTACAAAATTACTATTAAGATGACTGTTTTAAAAAAGTTTTTTGGGAGTGTGTGAGCATCAGTAATGTGCACCACATAGAATATTATTTCCAAACTAGAAAGCCACATATGGGGGAAATCTGAGAAAGATTGGAGTCACTTCTCGAGTGTAAAGTGGGAGTGTAGACCTTTGATGGGTTTAACTCATCCTTCTCCCTAGCAGCGTTGAATTCTGATTCCAGAAGAGCCGGGATTTCAGGTTCAGACAGTTCTGGCCTCACTGATCACTCCACTGCTGTGTTCAGGAGACTTTTGTGGGTAAGACATGGTTGTCATCTGTGGGTTTGACCTCAAAAGGTTAATTATTTTTTCGTATATCCTTAATACAGGCCTCTCTGATTTAGGAATCCCTGACGCAGAAAACCCTCTGGCTTGCTGTTTGAGTGTCTCTGGGGCTCCACTGGAGGCATCCAACCATTTCAGGGAGTCCAGGACTCAAAAGGATTTGCGCCCAGTTCAGGGTGCATCTTGGGATACTGTTCGCATTATTTCAACAATTATTAATGGTTAAATAAGCTCGTAATCTGTTACTTTGCTTTGGCAGGGGAAGGAATTTCAAATTCGGAAAGACTACTTACAAGTGAGATTTTGAATATGACCTGTTTCTGAGTGGAATATATCTGTTATAGATTTTTCATCTCCAAGTTTATCGAAGTCCCTCATACTTAATATCAGATTGTATATCCTGTTGGAGAAATATACCATAAACATTAGGTACCTTACATTTAATCTACAACAATGACTATCAGATGCAACCGGTACCCTCTCTCTATCCTTGATTTATTAAAACTGTCACAGTTAATGTAGAACTAGATTTCTGAACAGGGAATCTGCAGATGTGAATTCCTATTACAGCTTTACAGTTAACAAGTATCTTGGCTTTGCTTTGGGCAAACCACTTTTGTCTTTGAATCTCGGGATTCTTATTTATAGAAACTAGGGGTTAAGGTTCCTCTCACTTTATGTGTTTCAGGATCATATTTAAATTGTATAATCTGTTGTATTTCACCGACCTAGATTAAGTAGTTAACATGTACATCTTTCTACCCAGGATGAACTTTTTGCTTATTTATTTTACAGTTTGTAAAGATGTCTCTTTTTTGAGATACAGTAGCCAAATTCCACATCACATTTAGTTTGTAGAACCGTCACAAATTCTGTAAGAGCAAGAAAATGCTCTGTATCTAAAACCTCATTTTAAAGAATCAGTCCTAAAAAAAAGATAAAATTAAATGCTAGTGCCACAGGAAACACTCAGACCCTTTTGTTTAGTGTCTTAAATGTTAATAGAATTCATGTGTGAAAATACCTTAATCTATTCACAAACCAGGAGTTCTTTTTTTTGTTTTTTTTGAGACAGAGTTTTGGGTCTTGTTGCCCAGTCTGGAATGCAATGGCGCCATCTTGGCTCATGCAGCCTCCACCTCCTGGGTTCAAGCAATTCTCCTGTCTCAGCCTCCTGAGTAGCTGGGATTACAGGCATGTGCCACTACTTTTTTTTTTAATTTTTATTTTATTTATTTATTTATTTATTTATTTATTTTAGTAGAGACAGAGTTTCACCATGTTGGTCAGGCTGGTCTCAAACTCCTGACCTGAGGTGATCCATCCGCCTCGACCTCCTAAAGTGCTGGGATTACAGGCGTGAGCCACCGCGTCCGGCCTGTTCTTTTTAACTACAGGAAAATGTACACAGCTATTTGCCTGGTCGATGGAGAAATTGAAGACAGGTATTTTTTGATGCAGTTTTAATTTCTGTTAATTCCGAGGTAGCCTACACAAATCACAAAACGTAGAACAAAACGATTAGATCACCAATTCTGCTGTCCAAAGATTTGTTATGGAAGTAGATTAATTAAAGCACAAGTGAGTCCCAGGAGAATGACCTTGTTGGCTTTGTTCAGTGCTATAATAGTGGCCAGAATAGTGCCTTGCACGTAGTAGGCTCTCAATACATATTTTTTTAAATGAATGAGGATATGATCTCTGGTTCCTAGTTTCTTCTGTAGTCAGACTATAGAAAACACTTGGTAATTTGCCGAGCCAAAGTATTTCTCGAAAAAAAAATTCCAGAATTCAACTTGCTTTGAAATACAGAAATATGTAGTTATGATGATATTGATATTATTTACCATTTGAGAACTACAGAATGTAAGAGCTGGGAAGGATTTTCAGATCAACCATTCTAATTCCTTCATTTTACGAAGAAGAACCTGAGGCTCTGAAAGGTGAAGTGACTTCCTCAATGCCATCCAGCTAGTTAACAGCAAACCTAAAGTTTAAAAACCTGGTCTTCTAATTTCTAGCCCAGTGATATGGAATAAGCTTCCTTTAGGATGTCTGCAGCCTATAGTACCTTTCTCAGTAGATGTGGAATTGAACTGAATTGAGTTATATTGAGGCTAGACAGTGACTTTGCAATGTAATTTTATAATTTAGGAAATTCAGGTATCACCTTTACAAAGCTTTTGTGCCTTCACTCCTTTCCATTGCTTCTTTATGTTAGTGTAGGAATATGATGGTGGAGTTGATTGGGGCAGGTATGGGCAGTGCCTCAGTCTATTGCTTAAATTCATTCCTGAGCTTTTCTCCCTGGAGGCTAGTGGGAGCCCAAATCCAGGGCTTAGAGTTTCAGGTTATATCTGGAAGTAGGATTCAGACAAGAGATTACAAGTTTTCATGATTATTATTTTTAATCTAGCAATCTGAGTGGGAGACAGTGGAGAAAGGAAAATGATCTTTAGGTGACTGAAGTAATCCTGTAGAAAACAGCCTCCCTTCACTTTTTGCTGGGTGTAGCATTATGTGAAAATCATACCCATCTCCGTTTCCTTTTTAGAAACTGCAAGTTCTTCATTCGTTTCATAAATACGTACTAAATATTCTCAACCCTAGGGATAAAGTGATGAATGTGACACCAGAATGCACATAATAATAATGGTCATAGCCATATATGTGTGTGTGTGTATATATATATACATGTATATATGTATATATGTGTGTATATATACATATATATGTATATATATGTGTGTATATATACATATATATGTGTATATATGTGTGTATATATGTATATATGTATGTATATATATACTATATATGTGTGTGTGTATATATATATATATAGTGTTTATTCTGTGCTGGGCATAGGTTTAGCTGCTTTTTACCTATTAGCTCTTCTAAATGCCAATAAGGATATATGGGAATATAGCACTGGCTGAGAGTTAGGACCAATACTCAGTAATTCTGGTCTAAACACTTTGTCTCCTCTCTTCCACTTTATCCCTTGCATCAGTCTACACTGATTTCACCATGCTTCTCTGTGACTCCAGACCTTGCACTAAAATTCCCTCTGCCTCAGATGCCCACTGTTCCCTCCCACATGGTTCACCTTTTTTCATCCTTCAAATCCAGCACAAGTCACTTATCTCTAAAAAGGCTTGCTTGCGCTCCTTTCTCTGTCCTCAAGTAGTCCCTCTCTTCCATCTGCTGCCAAATAGCTTTGTCCATACCTTTTAAAATAGCACTCATCATATTTTGCTATAATTGTCTATTTATACAGTTTATATCCCCCCTCCCTCTGAAGAACCAGGATTCCTCAAATGTGTGCTTCAAAACTGGTACATAGTAGGCCTTCCGTTAATGTTTATTGGATGACTGAATGAAATGTCTTAAAAGCTACTTTGAAGTATGTGAGACTTTTACTGCAATGAGCTAAGGAGCTTCTGTGTGGGGGAGATCATGAGGGGATGTGTAAATGAGGACAGATTCACTAGGAAGAATTAAGTTCTTTGCCCACCCACAGGTCTGTATGATTAATTGGCTCAAGAAACAAGTATAGTCACAAACTCAGGGACAGATACCCACCAAGACATATAAAATGAGTCTGACCTGGAAATGAGGTTGTGTTACTGTTTGTCTCTTAGGAGCAGGATGATTCAGCATTCCTTCCCTTACATTTAGAGCTAAAACGTTGGTAGCTAAATGGCAAATTCTAGGTCAGATTCTTTAAATCAAAGTGTTCTTGGATCCTTTTACAAGGGCTGAGAGTGGGGTGGATGTTTAGTTTATGTTTCTAACAGGAGTTTTTATGGATACCCCATGAACTATGTTAGGAAGAGTTTTAGAACCAGTGGATGAGATCCTTCATGGATCTCAAAGCCCTACTCCTAGATTTCCTTTTTCTTTCCTTCTCTTTCTTTCTTTCTTTCTTTCTTTCTTTCTTTCTTTCTTTCTTTCTTTCTTTGTTTCTTTGTTTGTTTGTTTCTTTCTTTCTCTCTCTCTTTCCTTCCTTCCTTCCTTCCTTTCTTTCTTTCTTTCTCTTTCTTTCTTTCTTTCTTTCTTTCTTTCTTTCTTTCTTTCTTTCTTTCTTTCCTTCTTTCCTTCTTTCCTTCTTTCTTTCTTTCTTTCTTTTTGAGATGGAGTCTCACTCTGTCACCCAGGCTGGAGTGCAGTGGTGTGATCTCAGCTCACTGCAACTTCTGCCTCCCGGGTTCGTGCAGTTCTCCTGCCTCAGCCTCCCGAGTATCTGGGACTACAGGCATGTGCCACCATACCGGGCTAATGTTTTGTATTTTTAGTAGAGATGGGGTTTCACCATGTTGGCCAGGCTGGTCTCAAACTCCTGACCTCAGGTGATCTGCCCACCTCGGCCTCCAAAAATGCTGGTATTACGGGCGTGAGCCACCGAGCCTGGCCCCTACTCCTAGATTTCTGAGCCACCTGTTGCAGCTACCAGAACACTTCCACCAAATTTGTTGGGCCTGCTTGGTGGAAGGGAGTACAGCCATCACTCAGAGATGTTTGTGTCATCTCCACCCATCCACACCTCACCTCCTTGCCACTACCCTCACTAGCAGGGAGGACACTGCATCTGCATATGTCAGTGTTAGCCTCACCTCACTCCAGCCGCTTCCCTGGCCACTTTACCCATTGTCCCGAGAAACAATTATAATTTGGATTATAATTGTTTTTTGGTTATAATTGGGTTTATATTGTTTTAACACAAACCTACAACATATTCTGAAAAATTTTTTATAGAGACCCTGTCTCTATAAAAATAAAAAATTGGGGGGGTGCTGTGGCAGGCGCTTGTAATCCCAGCACTTTGGGAGGCCGAGGCAGGTGGATCACTTGAGGTCAGGAGTTCAAGATCAGCCTGGCCAACATGGTGAAACCCCGTCTCTACTAAAAAAAAAAAAAATACAAAAATTACCCAGGCTTGGTGGCATGCACCTGTAAATCCAGCTACTCGGGAGGCTGAGGTGGGAGAATCACTTGAACCTGGGAAGTGGAGGTTGCAGTGAGCTGAGATTACGCCACTGCCCTCTACCCTGGGCGACACAGACTCCATCTCAAATAAATAAATAAATAAATAAATAAATAAATAAATATTAGCCAGGCATGGTGAAATGCACCTGTAATCTCAGCTACTCAGGAAGCTGAGGCAGGAGAATCACTTGAACCTGGGAAGTGGAGGTTGCAGTGAGCTGAGATTACGCCATTGCCCTCTACCCTGGGCAACACAGTGAGACTCCATCTCAAATAAATAAATAAATAAATAAATATTAGCCAGGCATGGTGGAATGCACCTGTAATCTCAGCTACTCAGGAGGCTGAGGCAGGAGAATCACTTGAACCTGGGAGGCGGAGGTTGCAGTGAGCCGAGATTGAGCCACTGCCCTCCAGCCTGGGTGATACAGTGAGACTGTTTATTTATTTATTTTTATTTATTCCAAAAAATAAAAAATAAAAAATAGCCAGTCATGGTGGAATGCACCTGTAGTCTCAGCTACTTGGGAGGCTGAGGCAGGAGGATCCTGTGATAGTGCCACTGCTCTCCAGCCTGGGCAATAGAGCGAGACCCTGTTTCAAAAAAAAAAATGTAACTCCAGATTCCACTATGAGAAAGTGATAAATTTAGATTACTTTGTGTTGAGGAACTAACAGGAATACTGATTCTGCATTCCTATAACTCTGTTGTTAATACTTTAGTATACTTTATGTGTCTTAATCTTTGCAACAATCCTATACATTCATTTATTTCATTTAATAAATATTTATTGAATGCCCACTCTGTGCCAGGCATTGTACTAGGCAGTAGAGATAAAATGGAGAGTGGGAACAGAGGCAGGCTTCACGCTCATTATTATGATTTTATTCATTTTTTTAAATCCTGTCAACAGATATCTATTGATGGCCTAGTGTGTATAAAGTACTGTTTCTAGGCACCAGAATAAAGTAGGCAGAAATCTGTGCCTCTCAAGTAGATTACATTCTAGATGGGGAAAATAGGATGTAAACAAGGTAAATAAAAAGTATAGTATATTGGCGAAAAGAGCTAAGCAAGAAAAAAAGAAGAAAACAGAATGTTTCTGGAGGTAAGAGAGGGGATTGCAATTTTAGATGGGGTGGCCGGAGTGGTCCTCACCCAGAAGATGATAATCCGTGTAAAGATCTGAAGGAGGTAAGGATGCAAGCTGTTTAGATATCTGGAGGTAGAGTAGTTTAGGCAACAGGGAATAGCAAGGGGGCCAGCATGGCACAGCAGAGTGAGCCAAGGGATGAGTATTAGGAGAGGAGGTCAGAGAGGGGAGTGGGGGAAGAAGCAGATACATAGGGCCTGGTGGGTCACTGAGGGACTTTTGCTTTTACTCTGGATGAGCTGGGAATCCACTGAAGGATATTTTTTGTTTGTTTGAGATGGAGTCTTGCCTGTTGTCCAGGCTGGAGTACGGTGGTACGATCTCGGCTCACTACAACCTCTGCCTCCTGAGTTCCAGTGATTCTCCTGCCTCAGCCTCTCTAGTAGCTTGGATTACAAGCACACACCACCACACCCAGCTAATTTTTGTATTTTTGGTAAAGACAGGGTTTTGCCACGTTGTTCAGGCTGGTCTTGAACTGCTGGCCTCAAGTAATTCACCTATCTCGGCCTCCCAAAGTGCTAGGATTACAGGCATGAGCCACTGTGCTTGGCCCACTGAAAGCTTGTTTTTTTTTTTTTTTTTTTTGAGATGGAATCTTGCTCTGTCGCCCAGGTTGGAGTGCAGTGGCACGATCTCAGCTCACTGCAACTTCTGCCTCCCAGGTTCAAGCAGTTCTCTGCCGCAGCCTCCCAAGTAGCTGGGATTACAGGCACATGCCACCGTACTGGCTGATTTTTGTATTTTTAGTAGAGATGGGGTTTCACCATCTTGGCCAGGCTAGTCTTGAACTCCTGACCTCGTGATCCGCCCACCTTGGCCTCCCAAAGTGCTGGGATTACAGGCGTGAGCTACTGTGCCTGGCCTCCACTGAAAGCTTTTGACCAGAGAAATGATATGATCTGCCTAATGGGTCACGGAGTCATTCTGGCTACCATGTTGAGAATAGACTAGAGGCACCAAGAGCAGAAGTAGGGAGGTTGCTTAGGAGGTTATTGCTACAATTCAGGTGAGACGAGATTGTTGGGCTAGAATGATTTCAAGGGAGAAGGTGAAAAGTGACTGGGTTTGGGCATATTTTGAAGACAAAGTGGTCAGGATTTGACTACTGGATCAGATATTGGGTGTTCAGGAAAGACTAGTCAAGGAGGACTCCAAAGTTTTTGGCCTGAGCAGCTGGAAGAATAAAATATGTTATTTGCTGATATGGAAAGGAAGACAGGTATAAGTTTGGGCAGGTGAGGAATATCAGAACTCAGTATGAGTTGCACATTAAACATCCAAGGGGATATGTCAGGTAGCCATTTATGGAAAGATTGGGATTCAGGAAAAAGGCTTGGCTTGGAGATACCAAAGTAGGAGCACCTTTACACACCTATCAAGGGAGTGACTATAGATAGAGAAGGGTTCAGAGATTGAGCTCCAGTGCTTAGTGGGCAGAGTGAGTAGGAGAAACTAGCAAAGAATCCTGAGTAAAAGAAAAATGAAACCCAGGAGAGTGGGTGTCCTGTAAGCCAAGTGGAGAGAGAAAGTTGTTTAAGAAGGAAGATGTGATCAGATCATGTCAAATGTTGCTGCTAGGCCAGACACAGTGACTCTTGCCTGTAATTCCAGCACTTTGGGAGGCCGAGGTGGGCGAATCACTTGAGGTCAGGAGTTCGAGACCGGCCTGGCCAACATGGTGAAATCCCGTCTCTACTAAAAAATAAAAAAATTTAGCCGGGCGTGGTGGTGCGCGCCCATAATCCCAGCTACTCTGGAGGCTGAGGTGGGAGAATCGCTAGAACCTGGGAGGCAAAGGTTACAGTGAGCAGAGATCGTGCCACTGCACTCAAGTCTGGGTGACAGAGCGAGACGCCATCTCAAAAAAAAAAATGTTCTGGTAGATGAAGTCGGATGAGGAATTATAATTGATTTAGCAATGTGCGTGTAGCATTAGCAACCCCAATAAGAGCAGTTTCAGGTAAGTGGTAGAAAAGAGTGAATATAAACAGTCTAAGAGTTTTGTTGTAAAGGGAAGGTGAAAAACAGGATGATAGCCCAAAGGCTATCAGGATTGAGACAGGATTCAGAGGATTTTCTTTTCCTTTTTTTTTTTTTTTTTTTTGAGACGGAGTATCGCCAGTCATCCAGGCTGGAATGCAGTGGTGCGATCTCAGCTCGCCGCAACCTCTGCCTCCTGGGTTCAAGCGATTCCCCTGCCTCAGCCTCCTGAGTAGCTGGGACTACAGGCACATGCCACCACACTCAGCTATTTTCTGTATTTCTAGTAGAGATGGGGTTTTACCATGCTAGCCAGGCTGGTCTCGAACTTCAGAACTCAAGTGATTTGCCGGCCTCAGCCTCCCAAAGTGCTGGGATTACAGGCGTGAGCCACCGTGCCCAGCTGAGAGGCTTTTCATAAAGAAGGGGTAAATAATGGTACATTTGTATGCTGTTGTGAATGATCTAATACAGCGGGAGAAATTGGTGATGTAGGAGAGACAGGCAAATGGCAGGAGCAGTGCTTTAAGTGGCTGAGAAGGGCTGGGATCTACTGCGTATTTGGAGGGGTTGGTCTAAGCTAGGAGTAAGGACAATTCAGCTGTTACAAGAGCAGAGAAGGTAATCTATATGTCACAGGTGCAGGTGGGTGGGTAGATGTGATAGTGGGAACTTACAGAGAAGGTCTTTTCTGATTGCTTCAGTTTTTCACATTGAAATAGGAAGAATGAGAAGATGGGACAAAGTAATAAAAGTGTAAGATAAGAAGAGAAAGTGTGAAATAGTGTTGTGGTTGATTGAAGGGACTAGGGACATATAATGATTGCCAGACATTAAGGGTGCCCATGAGACAAGTCAGCAGGTTTGTGTATTTTCCCTAGGTACGTTTCATTACAAAGGAGGGACATAAAGGGTTGAATTGGTCTGGCCAGAGTTGTGGTTTACATAAACAATAAGTGGGTGCAAGGATTTGAGGGTATATGCAGGAAGTGATCATGGTGCTTGACTATGGAGTTTGAATAGGATAAGAAGGGAAGTTGAGGATATGAACGGAGGGACAGTGAAAAGATGGTGGTACCCGTGGATGGTAGCTTCTTGTGGGGTCAATGCATAGCTGGGTCAAGGAATAGTACTAGAAGAAGCAAGCTGGAAAGATAGGAGGAGTGGTTGGAGATTAGAATAAGGATGCTTGCACAAAGTCTAGAATGTAACCAGGAGTGGTAGCTGAGGTGGGATGGTGGAGAAGATCCTTGGAGAAAAGGAGGTCAAGACATTGAGAGTCCTTGGCATTGAAAGGATTCTTCATAGGGACATGGAAATCACCAATATTTCTGATAGTGTAAGAGTAAGGAGCTAAAGCTTCAAGAACAGAGGGAGTGACCTGGGCTCTGTAGACGACTTGCACAAGAAGGGGTGATGTGTTGTGTGGCCTGATGAGATTCAGGCTGGATATTTTAGGGAGGAGAGAAGGCAGAATGGTCTTCTAATTGCAATCAGGAGCGAGGAGGATATCTAGGCCCAGTAATCTGTGGCGAGAGGGGAG
Source organism: Homo sapiens (assembly GCF_000001405.40). Lineage (NCBI taxonomy): Eukaryota > Metazoa > Chordata > Mammalia > Primates > Hominidae > Homo > Homo sapiens. The sequence continues at coordinate 42,391,476 of NC_000001.11, forward strand.
AAAACAGCCACAACTTAGAGGGCTGTTGGGGAAGCGGTGTCATTGGCGAGAGACAGGATGCAGCTTGACTCAGAAAAAGAAGGAAAGTGAAGGGAAGGCACACGGAAAAGGTTGAGGATAAGGGAATTTTCTGTCCATTGAGTTTCAGAGGGCAGAGTGGAGATGGGAAGAGGTGGAGGGTGGAATGAGAAAAGGCAGTGTCAGAGCTATATGGGGTATACAGTCCAGGGAAATGATGTGGCCTCAGAGACTGAGACTTGGGTGACTGATATGAACAGAGGAGAAGGACTTGCTGAGCTTTGTCTTCATAGCTGAAGAAAGATCATGTTGTGAGATGGCGAGGGAGATGAGGGAGGAAGGTTTGCCAGGTTCTGGGGCCCTTCCATTTTATAGAAGAGGAGACAGACCCAAAGCGATTTTTGTGTCTTGCCAAGCTAAATGAGAGCAGCTAAATAAATCAGGTCTCTGACTTGAAGGCCAATACTGTATCCACTTTGCCAAATTCCCTTTCATCTCATGTTGTTTCAACTTCTTGAAGGGCCTTTCCAAGGAGTTACTTTAGCCTTGAGACATTCTTGAACTCAGTGCCTATAAGATGCAATGTCTTACTATTGATTTGTTTGAGAGGTAGAGATTATGAATTTATTAGTTTTCCACATTTCTTCAGAGTTTAGAGGCATGAGGTGTCAACATTTCCTTTCTGAAACTTTCCTTGATTTTTCTCTCTCCCCAGGCAGAGATAATCATCCTAACTGCTCCCTCCTCCTTTGCTCTCCCTGGACCCTGATGTAGGTCTGTTGGAGCACTTAGCACATTGTGTTACAGTCAGTCTCCTCTCCCTCCCCCTGCTCAACAAGACCCAGGTGCTCTACACAGAACATTAACAGCATTAATAACAACTGTGTGTTGTCTGTCTTCTTAAATTCCAGGGATATTGTTTGTTTTACTCACACCTGTCAACTCCCATGCCCAGCCCTTAAGAAGACAGTGCTTGTTCCTTCCCTGTCAGTCCCTTTGGCTTTTACCATTTGATTGCACCAGGGCCCGGCTTCTGACTACCAGCACCTGCACCTGTTAGAGGGCTTTGTCTGGTACAGGATCCCACGTTGCCCACACATGTATGGCAAGCCAGAAGGGTCAGGAAATTAACACCATGCCCCTGGAGCAGCCTTAACCAAAAACTGAGTTGATGTATAAACACTTGAAATTGGCTGGGCATAGTGGCTCATACCCTGAGAGGTAGACATTATGAGTTTATGAAATCCCAGCACTTTGGGAGGCTGAGGCAGACAGATCACCTGAGCTCAGAAGTTCGACACCAGCCTGGGCAATATGGTGAAAACCCGTCTCTACAAAAAATACAAAAATTAGCCAGGCATGGTGGCTCGTGCCTGTAGTCCCAGCTACTCAGGAAGCTGAGGCAGGAGAATCACTTGAGCCCGGGAGGCAGGGGTTGCAGTGAGCCGAGATCGCGCCATTGCACTCCAGCCTGGATGACAGAGCAAGACCCTGTCTCAAAACAAAAACTTGAAATTGTCAACTCCCTGGCCTCTCAGGTGGAATAACTGAAGTGCATGTACTAAGCCATTTCCTAGAGTTCCTCAGCAGGATTCAGCTCTGGTTGCTGAGAGGTGGTAACTCCCTTGATAAAGTATGTTTTGTTTGCCTCATTCCCTTCTCTATGCCCCTCCCAACATTTCCTGAAATTACTATCCAGAGAGACTACTTGCACTTAAATCCTGTCTGAGTGAGCTTCTACAGAAACCAAACTAACACTAGGCTTGGCCCAAAGTAGGTGCTAAATAAATATTCCCTGAATGAATATGTGAAACAATCAATGTGTTTCAGGAGTGAAAAAAATGCATATTTAAGTTGTGTATCTTTCTCTGTGAGGAGACTATAATCTCCTGGTAGGCAGAGACCATCTAGTTCAACTTTGTATTCCTGCTTAGTAGTGTGTCTGAGTCATACCAACCAGTTCAATAAGTGTTGAATTGAATTAAATCACCTCAAAATCACAGTTGGTGGAAAGAGAAAATGGCCACATAAATGTCTGTGGGTTTTAGTGAGGTGGAGGTGAGCTTTCTTTGGGCATTGTCACAAAGAACTTTAAAAGGGAAGGAGAGGGGTGTGGCATCTACTTGTTAAAAATAAAAATAACTGTTTTACGAGAAAATGCTGTGGGTGGAGTAGGAAGAAATAAGGGGAAAGGTGGAAACTGATGGAGGTGTGCCAAGTCATGTTTGGATGACACATCTTCCTCACAACACAAGATAATCTGAAGTGCTAAGTGGATTATCCACTTTTATTTTTTTATTTATTTTTGAGACAAAGTCTCACTCTTGTCCCCCAGGGCTGGAGTGCAATGGCGGGATCTCGGCTCACTGCAACCTCTGCCTCCCGGGTTCAAGCAATTCTCCTGCCTCAGCCTCCTGAGTAGCTGGGATTACAGGCGCCTGCCACCACGCCCAACTAATTTTTGTATTTTAGGCAGAGACAGGGTTTCATCATGTTGGCCAGCCTGGTCTCGATCTCCTGACCTCAGGTGATCTGCCTGCCTCGGCCTTCCGAAGTGCTGGGATTACAGGCGTGAGCCAGTATGCCTGGCCTATTCACGTTATTTATATAGTTGATTCCTTTCTGGTAACTTTCAGAGTTTCACTGCCAGCCACTGTTACATGATCCTGCTCAAATATAATGGTTCTAAAAGCTACCATAAGTGAGGTCCTTGTTTGCTGTCATGCTTTAGTATCCTGCTGTTTTCTTAATTTTTCTGCTTGTTTTGTACATGAAGGTTTTTTCTGGCATACCAGACATCCGTTTGGTGTTGAAGCTTTCTTTAGTGAATCCAAGGATGCACATGTGTGCACACATATGTGAGTGACATGCATGCACAGGTTGGAGGGTGATGACTCATTATGTATCGGCTTTGTGTAAATGCAAAGACATTTATAGTCAAATCAATTCCAAGGATCTGTATTATAAGACACCTTTACTTTAAACGAGATAATGTGTGAAAGTTCTTAGCAAATAACCTAAAACGCAATAGAGGCTCAATAAAAATCTTGTCCGAATTCAAATCTGAACTACAAGACCTTTTATTATCCATGCCTCTGCTTCCCTCTGTTGTTATGATGATTGAGAATGGTTAAGTTTTAGAACTCTGCTTTCCAATAAAGATTTATTTCTGAAGCTATTTCTCTTTATCATAAAGTGTATTTCTTCGCTATTGCACATACAAATGCGTAAGTCCAGTTATGAAGATTTTTTTTTTTTTTGAGACGGAGTTTCGCTCTTGTTGCCCAGGCTGGAGTGCAATGACGCGATCTCAGCTCACTGCAGCCTCTGCCTCCTGGGTTCAAGTGATTCTTCTGCCTCAGCCTCCCAAGTAGCTGGGATTACAGGCGTGCACACCACCACGCCCAGCTAATTTTTGTATTTTTAGTAGAGACGGGGTTTCATCATGTTGGCCAGACTGGTCTTAAACTCCTGACCTCAGGTGATCCACCCGCCTTGGCCTCCCAAGGTGCTGGGATTACAGGCGAGAGCCACTGTGCCCCGCCTAGTTATGTAGAATTTAACCCAGTATATGGGTTAGAAAAAACAGACTCTGTTCTTTGGGAAAAGTTATCCTGGTTTTCTATCTTGTTTTTAATACATCAAAATATTTTCAAATATAAATAGAGAATTCAAAAGGAAATCAGAACACAATTACCCATAAAAGTAGATTATTCTTTTTTAGAACATAGAGAAAATATTGTTTTGGTTTCAAAAAATTGGTTTTAACTGGGTTGGCAGTTGGTCACTGTCCTAACTTGTTTGAGGTTTGATCTTTTTTCCACTAATATTTCATTGACCTATTTGGGGACAGAGTGGTTGTTTTAGTTTTTTTTTTTTTTTTAAGTGGTTTGAGGCTAAACATAATCTCAAGCCCACCCCATGAGTCTGGGAGACCCCAAAATATTCCAGAAACAATTCAGCTGCCTCTCCCTCTCCCCAAGTTAGGGTGATACCCAAGAGCACTAGGGTACTTAATCACATGAAATCTCTTCTTGGAGGGCATGAGCCTCTGATTGTTGAGGGCTTTCCTTCTGTTGACTAGCAACCAAGCAGAGCCCTGTCCTTCCTGATATCCTGCATCAGCTCTTCGTTCCCTTGACTTGAGGTCCGTAGATTGCAGTGGAAATGTTAACGATCCTGGGAGAGGTGATACATTAAGCTCCATCCTGTATTAAGTTTATTAGGTCCTTTCCTGAGAGGAGATTACTTAAGTGGTTAAAGGTCTCAAAATTTACAGACCTTTTGCCGAGGGCCAGCCTTAAACCCAAATTGTCCTTGGCCATGGCTGTGTATAACTGTTGCTCCCACTGAAGCCACATGAGCAGCTGCTTCTTGTCTACTACTATTAGAAATATGATGGCAGTGGCAATGGGAAAGAGCAGGAGGCATGTGAAGTTGCCCATGGCAAGAATGTCAGAGCTAGCGCTGGGGGCGGTGGCTCACGCCTGTAATCCCAGCACTTTGGGAGGCTGAGGCGGGCGGATCACCTGAGGTCAAGAGACCAGCCTGGCCAACATGATGAAACCCTCTCTACTAAAAATGCAAAAAAAATTAGCCGGGCATGGTGGCAGGCACCTGTAATCCCAGCTACTTGGGAGGCTGAGGCAGGAGAATCACTTGAACCTGAGAGGTGGAGGTTACAGTGAGCTGAGAACACGCCATTGCACTCCAGCCTGGGCAACAAGAGTGAAACTCCATCTCAAAAAAAAAAAAAAAAAAAAAAAAAGAATGTCAGAGCTGTGTCAATGGGCAAAGATTGTGATTAGTTTTGCAACTGCATCCCTAAACCTGTCATGTCCCTCTCTGCACAGGCCTGGATAGCCAGCATGCACAAGACCTGTCTAACTGCTTAGTAGAGCCTTTTGGGCTATACTTTAACCCATTCCATTCTTCATTTATTAAAGGCTTCAGTTGGAATGAGCCAGGCCCAAAGATTTACCTTTGGAGAAGAGAGATGAAGTCCTGGTAAGACTTCCTAGGTCTATGTGAATCTGCTCGTTGAGGCTGAGTTGTCTCTGTCCACTTGTGGTTGGTATTTCCAGAAATGATTGAATTCTTTTCTTCCCATTTAGAAGTTTAACTGTTTGTCTGTGGTCTCATGTTGGGATTTGAAAGCCAGACGTTTTTGCTGCTTCTCGTTTCTCTAGGTCATGTTTCTGTTGTAAAGCTGTTTTTCTTGTGAGGTGGTAAAAATCTCCATAAGTTGTCCTACTTTGCTTAGTAGAATGTCTTCTGTGTAGTAATAATGCCAGTGCCTTACATATGTATAGCATTTTATAGTTTTCAAAGCATTTTCACATATATTATCTCACTGTGTAATGTTGTCCTGGGTGTTCTGTATTTACTATCTTAAGCAACTTGAATATTTTTCTTTTTTCTCCAACCACTTTTGAGGCTACTACACATGGGTTACTTTTACCTTTCGCATTATTTCCCCCAAGGGCTGTAAGTGTCAAAGGAATTTTTCAAAGAACAGTAAAAGCATCTGTAAGTGATACTGTTTTCTGATGGCAAAGTGAAGATAACTTGGATGCTGTTTATAACCCTGAGAATTAGGTTCCAGTTCCTTGGACTCACATGATCAGCGGAAGTACAAAAAACAGTTTATTGTAATGATTGTTCCTACCCCTCCCCTTTTTAATCAGTGAAATATCTCCTAGAATGGGGGAAAGTGTGCAATTCAGGGCCATGTAGTAGTTTTGTGGGTGTTTTGTTTTTCATCTTTGTGCCTAGAGCTTTTATATTGATATTATTCATCACCTGGTGGAGAAATTGTAACTTCATTAGCACCCTTTTCCCCCTAGAATTATGTGGTTATGCAGTATAATATCACTTACAAAATAGAAGGTGCTTTGGGTTAAAGCCTATAAAATATCTCTGTAGACTGTGTTTTAAAGGTTTTTTTGCCTGGGCACAGTGGCTTATGCCTGTAATCGCAGCACTTTGGGAGGCCAAGGCAGGAGGATCACTTGAGACTGGGAGTTTGAGACCAGCCTAGGCAACATAGCAAGACTACATCTCCCCAAAATTTTTTTTAAAATTGGCCAGGCATGGTGATGCACACTTGTAGTCCCAACTACTTGGAAAGCTGAGGTGGGAGGATCGCTTGAGCCTAGGAGTTAGAGGTTGTGGTGATCTGTGATCACACCACTGTACTCCATCCTGAGCGATAGCAAGATCCTGTGTCTAAAAAAAAAATAAAATAATACAATATATTCTTTAGAGCATTTTAGAGATTCCTTCAAGGTTAATTAGAGCAGACCAAGTATAATTCCTTGAACTAGCTTCTCATTGCCCTACTCATGCCATATCCTGTCTGCATCATTCCATCACCAGATTCTGGGTGCACCATGGAGACCTAGGTAATGACATAGAGTAATACCAGCCATAGGATGTCAGGACTGGGAGGGACCAAGCAAGTTGCTGTGAACCCCTCTTACCCTTGCATGCTCTCTTATACCATCCTTGAGTAATGAGCCTTGGCCCTTACATCCTAAGGGAGTGGAAAAGTATCCATTTTGTTGAGCCCAAATCCATCTCCCTATAGCATCTATTCAATTCAACAAACACTGAGTGCCTACCGTGCAGCAGGCACTATTCTAGGTGCTGAGGATACATCAGTGAACAGACAGACAAAATAATGCTCTTATGGATATCTCTGTCTCCTGGAGTTTTAGAAGACAAGCCAAATAATTCTTCTGCACTGAAGCCCTTCAGAAACTTGAAGACTGTGCTCCTGTTCCTCTGAGTCTTCACTTCAAGCTAATATTCCTACTTAACCCAGTGGAATACAGCATCACGTCATCTTGCAAAGTGGATTGGTTGTCTTTGGATGCATTCTAGTTTTCTTTGATATTGAATTGAACTGATTTTTAGTAGACTGATTTTTCAGAAAGTTTTTTGTTGTAAAGGTAATAAGTACTTGGAGAAATTTTGGAAAATACAGACAAGTATAAAATATAAAGAAGACATTACCTGTAATTCCATTACCCACTGTTAAAATGTTGGTATATTTCCTTCTAGCTGTTCCCAATTTGTATCTGTTTATATAGTGGAGATCATAATGCATTATTTATAATTTTATATCCTGTTTTTTCACTTAACATTGACATTTGTGCATTATGTTGATAAAATCATTTAAATGGTTGCATAGCTCAGCGCAATGGCTCACGCCTGTAATCCCAACACAGGAAGGCTGAGGCGAGTGAACTGCTTGAGCTCAGGAGTGTGAGATCAGCCTGGGCAACATGGCGAAACCCCATCTCTACAAAAAACACAAAAATTAGCTGGGCATGGTGGTGCACGCCTGTAGTTCCAGCTACTGGGGAGTCGGAAGTGGGAGGATTACTTGAGCCTGGGAGGCAGAGGTCGCAGTGAGCCAAGATGATGCCACTGCACTCTAACCTGGGTGACAGAGTAAGACCCTGTCTTTAAAAAAAAAAAAAAAAAAAAAAAAGGGCTATATAATGTTCCAATCAGATATAAAAGAGTGGTAGGGATTCCTAAAGTGGGCAAAACTATTTCCTTTTCATTAAGCCTTCCACCTCCTAAGCCACTACACTTTGAGTCATACTTGTCCTATGGGAAGGAAGGTGACTGTATATCTCCTGTGGATTCTTTTAACCTAGATTATTCTTGATATGCTTTCTTTCTGGTCATTCCTTTGTGTTTCCTCATGATCATGCTCTGCCTGTTTGTTTGGCGTATAGGGTTGCCTATAGAGTTTCCTTGTACACCAGGATGTCCAGGGGGCCAATTTTGAGGCTCTGTTCCTACTAGGTTCAGTCTTGAAGAGTCTGTTGGAACCATTTCTTCTGGTGGACTAAACGATAGCAGGCACAGCACTCACTGTTGTCCTTGAATTGCAGGCCTCCAGCTAAACCAGAAGGCCCTCACCACTTTCCCGGATGTGGTGCTTGTACGGGTACCCACACCCTCAGTGCAGTCAGACAGTGACATCACTGTCCTGCGACACCTGGAGAAGCTGGGCTGCCGGTTGGTCAATCGCCCACAGAGCATCTTAAATTGCATCAACAAATTCTGGACGTTCCAAGAACTGGCTGGACATGGGGTCCCCATGCCAGACACCTTCTCCTATGGTGAGTCAGCTTGAAATAGCTTCCCAAATCATGTGCATCTCTGTTTTCTTTCCTTAGAAACCTTCTAGTATCTTTGTTGCTTTTGAATGTGAGTCTGTTGATTCAACATCTTGGCCTATCTGAAATCTTTATCCTGGCCTTTCTATCTGAAAATGCCTTGGCGTCTTCCCTTCTGTAAGTTATTCATTAAATACATATCTGGTACACACTGTGTGCCAGGCAGCATGCTAGGCACTGGGTTACAGCATTAAGCAAGAGGCTCCTGCCCTCAAGGCATTCCCAGTTCATCAGAGGCAGAGGACAAGTGAACAGGCAATTTCAGAGCAATGTGAAACATGCTATGAAAAGAATAAGTGCAGAGCGGTGCAGGAGTATGTAGGAGAGCTCCCCAGTGCAGTTTAGACATTGAGGAAGTCTTCCTAAAAGAGCTAACATAGAGTTACGCTGAAGTTATCTAGCTAAGCAAAGGGAGATGGTGGAAGGGAGGTAATGTAACAAGAGAGCAGAATATAGAAAGACCCAGAGGGGAGAGACACCCTGACCTGTTGGTGGTATTCTGAGTAGTTTGTAGAATGTTAAGAGAGATATAGCTAAATATAAGGCTGGGAAAATAAGAGGGCACTATATACAGCAGGTGAAGGAGATGAGGGTTAATCCTGAGACTAACAGGAAGTTATGGGAGGGCTTTAATCAGGGAGGTGACCTGATAAGAGTTATAGTTCAGATGATCACTTTGGCTATACTGTGGAGAAGGAATTGGACAGGGGCAAAGTAGAGACAGGACAAGTAGTGGTAGGTTTTTAAAATAATCCAAGTGAGCAACGATGGTCTAAACTAACAGTGGGAATGAAGATGTGTGAACAGATTCAGGAATTGTGAAGTTTGTAGAAATAATAGGACATGATGATTGATTTATATGAAGAGTTTGGAGAGAAATCAAGAGTGACTGGTTTCTGATTTGAGCAACCAGATGTGAAAGCAAACATTTGCTAAGACTAGAAATGTGGGAGGAAAGAAGCTGATTTGTGGGTAGGGGGTGAAGGATTATAGGGGAGAGGTGATTTCAGTTTGGGACATGATCTGTTTGAGGTGTCTGTAGTACATGCAAGTAAAAATATTTAGTAGGCAGCAGATAAATGAATCTGGAGCTTCTGAAAGAAGTGCAGACTAGGGAAGTGGAGCTGGAAACCTTCATTATGTGAGGTGAAGTCCGAGGAATGGATGAGAGTACTCAGGGAGAGTGTATGTAGGAAGAAAAGAGGGCTGATCTGTTCACCTAAAATGGTTAAAATGGTATATTTTATGTATATTTTAACACCAACATTTTTTTAAAAGAGGGAATCCTTTCGGGCAGTGGTCCCCAAGCTTTTTGACACCAGGGACCGTTTCATGGAAGACGATTTTTCCACAGATGGGGGTGGGGTGGGGGAGGATGGTTTCAGGACGAAACTGTTCCACCTCAGATCATCAGGCATTAGTTAGATTCTCATAAGCGGTGCACAACCTAGATCCCCCTGCATGTGCAGTTCATAATAGGGTTAGAGATCCTATGAGAATCTAATGCCGCCACTGATCTGACAGGAAGTGGAGCTCAGGCAGTAATGCTTGCTCACCTGCTGCTCACCTCCTGATGTGCCGCCCGGTTCCTAACAGGCCACAGCCTGTTATTAGGGTTGGGGACTCCTGCTTTAGGGAATGGGTACAGGAAGAGGAATCTATAAAAGAAACTAATCACTTGAGCCCAGGAGTTCAAAGCTGCTTTGAACTATGATCATGCCATTGCCAGCCCGGATGACAGAATGAGACTCCATGTCTAAAAAAAAAAGGAAGGAGGGAGGGAGGGCGGGCAACTTGAGAGGTGAGAAGAGAAAAAAGAGAGATCAGAGAAGCCAACGGAGAGAGTATTCCAAGATGGGTGGTATAATCAAAAGTATTGTGTGATTCCAAAAGGACAGGTAACATAATGCGACTTGTCAACATTGATGTGTGTGTTGGGTTCAGCAAAAGGGAGTTTAATGAATACAGCTTCAGTTTAGTGCTGGAGAGAGGGAGAAGGAAATAAATGGGAAGTTAGGAAATGGAAACAGTGGCTTTCTATAACTCTTTCAGTGGCTAATGGTAGGGATACAAAGTTATAGTTAAGGGATGATGCAGGGTCAAAGAATAGGGACTCTTATTTGCTTAAGATGGAAGATAATTGAGCATGTTTAAAATGCCCATGAAATTAGGAATTGGGAGGTTGAAGATATAGTAGAGAGGGTGCAAAATCCCTGGGGAGTTGAGAAAGGGCGTCTAAAGCACAGTGGGCCAGGGATGGATTAGGAAGACCTCTCTTACTGCATCGAAAAGAAAGGAAGGAAGGATGGCTAGAGAGAACATAAGCTTATCAGCGGGATGGCGGGAAGCTGGGAGTTCCCTTCTTACAAAACATCCTCTTCATGAAGATGCCCCTAATTACGTTCACGGCCTCATTTTCTTTTTTAAAAATCATTAGCACTCTTGTGAACTAGACAGGTCTTGTTAGTATTCTAGAGTATTTTGCTTTGCCTGTGGTAGGCAGAATAATGCCACTCCCCCACCCTGAGATACCCAAGTCCTAATCCCTAGCACCTGTGATTATGTTAGTTTATGTGGCAAAAGGGAATTAAGACAGCAGATGGAGTTGGTTGCTAAGCAGATGACCTTAAGATACAGAAATTATTCTGAATTATCCAAGAGGGCCCAATGTTGTATATGTCCTTAAAAGTGGAACAGGAAATCAGAAGAGAGAGTCAGAGGGAGAGGTGACCGAGGAGGAAGATCATTGTGTTGCCATGTGAGGACTCTACCTGCTGTTGCTGGCTTTGGACATGGAAGAGGGCCATGAGCCAAGGAATGTGGGTAGCCTCTAGAACCTGAAAAATGCAAGGAAATAGATTTTCCTCTACAGCCACCAGAAAGGAATCCACCTGGCTAACTTTTTTTTTTTTTTTTTGAGACAGGGTTCTGCTCTGTTGCCCAGGGTGTACTGCAGTGGCATGATTGTGGCTCACTGCAGCCTCGACCTCCTGGGCTCAACTGATCCTCTCACCTTAGCCTCCCAAGTAGCTGGGACCACAGATGTGCACCACCACACCCAGCTAATTTTTGTATTTTTTGTAGAGATGGGGTTTCACTACGTTGCCCAGGCTGGTCTCAAACTCCTGAGCTCAGGCAGTCCGCCCACCTCGGCGCCCACGAAGTGCTGGGATTCCAGGCATGAGCCACCACACCTGGTCTTGGCTAACATTTTTTTTTTAGCCCAGTGAGACCTGTGTTGGACTTCTAACTACAGAACTGTATGACAATAGATTTGTGTTGTTTGAACCACCAAGTTGTAATTTGTTACCGCAACAAGAGAAAACTAGTGCCCCACTGTACCTACAAAACACATGTATTTAGCACATTTTTGAGAACTAGGAAGTAAACAAAAAGAACCTCTAAGCAGCCCAAATATGTGTCACAAACTCCAACAAGCATTGAACCTCCCTCTCTTACTTAATGAATGGGAAAGCCCTCCAGACTTATCTGGAACTTAGTTTCCCCTGTGCTAGAAAAATCTCACAAGTTGCATTGTCCTCTCTAAGCCCACAGCAAAGAGAATCAGGAAAAGAGGCTTATTTCTGCTCTATACTGACAGCAGTGAGAAATATTAGTTGACATCTGACAGCAAGGAATGTGACAAACCACTAAAAAACCAGGTTCCCAAACTAGAAAGTACACTAGTTTGGTGCCATTGAATAGAGGGCGGATGTAGTCCCTTGGGGCATTACGGTGCAGTCATTAATGTTCATGACATGGACTCTAAGCTATCAAGAAAAGATTATGTTTGATATAGTATATATAAGAACCCAGGTTCATAAAACAATTTAGAAAGATTTTCATGCACATCGTTATTCATATTTTTTTAAATTAAGGCTTATAGGAGTATGGTGGAGCCAGTTCAGGCTTCAGAGTCATACCTTAATTTTGGGTGAGACAAATCCCCAGGCTTGGTTTCTTTGAGTGTTGGTTTTCTATCGCTCCATAACAAACTTCTAAAAACTGAGCAGCTTCAAATGATACCCATTGATTACCTCGTAGTTTCTGTAGATCAGAAGTCTCACAGCATAGCTGGGTTCTCTGGTTAGGTGTCCTTAGGCTGAAATCATGGTGTCAGCTGGGGTTGTGGTCTTACCTGAAGTTTGGGGTCTTCTTCCAAGCTGCCTGATTGTTGACGTTCAGTTTCTTGTAGTTGTGGGACTGAGTCCCCCACTTCCTTGCTAGCCATCAACTGGGGACATTCTCTGCTAGAGGCTGTCCTCCGCTCCCTGCCACATGGCCTTCTCCACAACATGGCAGTTTGCTCCTTCAAGGCCAGCAGAAGAGTCTCTCTGATGTTTCACCATTTTTTTTTTAGAGACTCATCTGATTAGGTCAGGCTCACCAAGGATCATCTCCCTTTCAGTTAACTAAAAGTCAAAATCACAGGAATGATATCCCAACATATTCATTGGTCCCTTCCACACTTAGAAGAGGGGATTATACAAGGAGCTTACACCAGGGGGCAGATATATCTTGGGGTTCCACCTACCACAGCCATTGTAAAGGGAAAGGTATCTACCTATATGATTGTTATAAGGATTGTGAAGTCTTTACCACACAGAAGGCACCTGCTAAATGTTGGTTTCCTTACCTCTCTGCTCCCACCTTTTACCTTGCAGGTATATAATGTGTGTCTGTTGAATCAACTGGGTTTGAATGGCCTTAATCAGAGAGAGATGAGGCCTCACAAGAATTCCTACAGAGGGGCGGGGCTGGGGTGACCGCTACCTGACTATCAGCCTTACCTTCACTGACTTTCACCTTTTCTTGGCAGGTGGGCATGAAGACTTTTCAAAAATGATTGATGAAGCTGAGCCCCTGGGCTACCCAGTCGTGGTGAAGAGCACACGAGGCCACCGGGGTCAGTGCCACCTCTCCAGGGCTTCCTGGGTAATCAGCCCACTAGGGCTGCTGCTCTGCCTGGACAAGACACTCCTCAAGTGCTGCTTAGAAAAATGGAGCTCCCCTTTGAGGAGCTTGCAGTGTTTCTTTCTCTTTGTCCTCTGTTCTTGCTTTTGTCAGATCATGCTCACCTCTTCCCTGAACTATTGCAATCAACTCCTGACTTAATGCTGATCAGTTTCCCTAACTCCACTGCCAGTGCCTCTTCTGTTCTTTTTTTGAAGTAATTTCTCTGAAACATAGATCTGTTCTTGTTACTCTCTCACTGAAAAACCCTCCCAAGACCCTGTGCCGCCTATTAGACAGAGTCCATATTCCTCATCATGAAACTGAAGGCCCTGTACAAACAGCCTCAGCCTTCCCTTGCAGCTGTCTCTGGCCACATGAACCTTTCATAATCCATTCCAGACTACTTCTCATTCACCAAGTAGACCGTGCATTTTCCCCTCTTTAAGCGTCTGCTCTTTTCCCTTTGCTGAGAATGCCATCTTTCTCTGCTCACTTGGTCAACTTCTTCTGCTCATCCTTTAAGGCCAGCTCCAGATGTCATTTCTTTTCTGCACACATTCCCTGATCTCCCTCCCTGTCTTCCAGACAAAATTAATTGCTCTTCCCTTTTTGTTTCCATAGCATTTTGTATGTGCCTCTAGCAGAGTGCTATACTTTGTAACAGTTACAGGTTTATATGCCTCCTTTCTTTACTAGACTGCGAGCTGCTCATTGGTGGGGACCAGATCCTGAGCATCTGTCTCTGTAAGGCTTACTGTAGTGCTCAGTGCATCGCTGGGACTCAGTAGGGACATCAGCAACAGAAAGGAGTCTTCCTGCAGTATATGAGCAGGTGCCTCATCGGGATACCCAGGTGGCATGCTTAAACACTCCAGGCATCTGGAGTGAGGGAAGGTCACCCTAAATAGATACATAGTGAGCAACTACTATGGTGTAGGGACTATGCAATAGAAATGAACTAGACAGCACTCTATCCTGGGCGACAGAGTGAGACCATGTCTCAAAAAACAAAAAAACAAAAACAAACTAGACCCAGTCACTGATCTCGAGGCGCTCAAATGTGTAGACACAGTTGCATTGCAGGGTGATCATCACTGATATAGCAAGTATGCCCAGGGGTCTGTTTAAGCCTACAGGAGGGAGGGGACAATTCTGCCATGAAGTCTTCACTGGAAGAAAAGCAGACTTCAGTGGATGTGTAGAATTTGAATTGGCGGAAGTGAGTGAGCAACACACAGAAGCAAGGGTAGGCAACGCAACCAGTGAGCATAGATGAGTCGTGTTGAGGAGCAGAGAAAGGAGCCTGGGTGGCAAAGTGGGACTCTTAGTGCGATGCAGATGTGCTACTGAGCTCAATTTCAACCAGCCTTTCAACTAGTCATTTTTATTGTGGTAAAATACACATAAAATTCACATATTTATTGAGTGTCTACAAAATGCCAGGCACTATTCCAGGCTTTGGGGATACAGATAAAAACAAAAGTTCCTGCCCTCGAGTAGCTTACGTTGTAGAAAGGTAAGACAGCAAACAGAAATTAAATATACATAATGTTTTGGAAATCAAAAAAATGAAAATACAATTCACATAAAAAATTTAACAGTGCAAAGCGTAAAATTCACTGGATTTTAGTGTACTCACTGTGTTTTACAACTATTACCACTACTTAATTTCAGAACATTTCCATCACCCCCAAAAGAAGCCTCATACCTAGTAGTAGTTAGTCCCGATTGCCTCTCCCTCAGTCCCTGGCAACCACTGACCTATTATTAATAATACTTTCTGTTACTATAGATTTGCCTGTTTTGGCTATTTTATATGAATGGATTTATACAGTATGTGGACTTTTGTGTCTGGCTTCTTTCACTTAGCATGATGTTTTCAAGGTTCATCTATGTTGTAGCAAGTAACACTAGTTTATCTCTTTTTGTGACTTAATAATATGACTGTTGTATGGCTGTACCACATTTTACATTTCCACCAGCAATGTTTGAGGGTTCCAATTTCTCCATATCCTCACCATCACTTGTTATTTGTTATGTAAGTATGTATGTATGTATGCTTATTATAGCTATCTAGTGAGTGTGAAATGGTATCTCATTGTGGTTTTGATTTGCATTTACCCAAAGACTAATGATGTTGAACATCTTTTCATGTGCTTGTTGGCCATTTGTGTATCTTCTTTGGAGGAATGTTTTTTCATATCCTTTGCCCACTTTTTAACTGGGTTTTTAATCTTTTTATTGTCGAGTTTGAAGGGTTCTTGTATAATGTAGATTCTTTTTTTTTTTTGAGATATGCTCTCGCTGGACTGCAATGGTGCGATCTTGTCTCACTGCAGCCTCTGCATCCTGGGCTGAAACGATCCTCCTGCCTCAGCCTCCCAAGTAGCTGGGACTATAGGCATGCGCCACCATGCCTGGCTGATTTTTGCATTTTTTATAGAGATGAGATTTTGTCATGTTGCCCAGGCTGGTCTCAAACTCCTGGACTCAAGCCATCCACCCACCGCAGCCTCCCAAAATGCTGGGATTACAGGCGTGAGCCACTGCACCCAGCCGTATAATGTAGATTCTAAATCCTTATTAGATATATAACAACATGTTTGAACATGTTTTTCACATTCCCATAGGTTGTCTTTTCATTTCTTGATATAGTATCTTTGATGCACAAAAGTTTTTTATTTTGGTAAAGTCTAACTTGTCTATTTTTTTTTGTTTCCATATGCTTTTGATGTCATTTTGTGCTTGCCTAATCCAAAGCCACACAGACTTACATTTATGTTGCCTTCTAAAAGCTTCATAGTTTTAGCCCTTACCTTTGAGTCTTTGATACATTTTGAGTTAATTTTTATGTATGGTATGAGGTAGGGGTTCAACTTGATTCTTTTGAATGTGGATATCCAGTTTTCCCAGTACCATTTGTTGAAGAGCCTGTTCATTCCCCCACTAAAAGCTGTTAGAACCCTTGTCAAAAATCAGCTCACCATGTGCGTGAAGGTTGATTTCTGGGTTCTCAATTTTATTCTTTTGATATAGTTCTATATGCCAAGCCACACTGTCTTGATTACTGTAACTTTATAGTAAGTTTTGAGATTGGACCCTTTTTCCCTCAAATGGGATTAACCATCCTTGTTATAATGGCTTCCTAGGGCTAGCATGAAGTATAAGTGAAATAATAAAAAATCAAACTGCTTGGCACTTAGTACATGATTAACCAATCTTACTGCCTTTCTCTCCTTTTTTCCTTCTTGCCTTAAAACTGTGGCTCCTTTATTAACTGCAGACTGACCCCCATATTAGAACTTCTGTACCCGAAACCAAGAAACCCAGTTCCTATCTCTAGCCCCCATCTCTGCTGAAAATCCTACCTAATGTCCGGAGAACCCAGTGCATATACCTGAATCCCAGCCATCTGTTGCCAGAAGCCAGATCTCCAGATCTCCTGGCATCAGATGTGTATCTGCTTGCCCCACACTCATTGATTGAAGACAGGGAACACTGATGCTGCATCGTCCACACTTGCTGGGGCCTCTCCATTTTCCTCTTGTGACCCCTTGCTGGGCCCTATCCAGCTTCCCTGACATTGACACCCACTTACCTGCACACTCTCCTGTCACCTGCCATGTGGACATCTTCAGATCACGTGGCTGAACTCCTCCAGCTCTGTCAGGTGTCTAGGATCCAGTCATCTTGGGAATGATTGCATCCTGGTTATAACATGTTTTGGAATTTACTTTTCAGTTTTATGTACCACTAGGGACTGGTGTATTTGTTTGTTTGTTTGTTTTTGAGATGACGTTTTGCTCTTGTTGCCCAGTCTGGAGTTCAATGGCGCGATCTTGGCTCACCGCAACCTCTCTGCCTCCCGAGTTCAAGCGATTCTCCTGCCTCAGCATCCCAAGTAGCTGGGGTTATAGGCATGCACCACCATGCCCAGCTAATCTGGTATCTTTAGTAGAGATGGGGTTTCTCCATGTTGGTCAGGCTGGTCTTAAACTCCTGACCTGAGGTGATCTGCCCGCCTCAGCCTCCCAAAGTGCTAGGATGTCAGGCGTGAGCCACTGCACCTGGCCTGGGACTGGTCTTTTTATTAGGACTTCAGAAGAGTTCCAGTCCTTGTAAGATGGTGACACAAAGCTTAGGAAAACCATCTCTTTGTTCCATATTTGCTGAAAAGAATGTTCAGACTGGGCATGCTCATGTCAGATTTGCAGAGCAAACTTATCAGAACCTCTGCTCAGGTCTGTTAACTAATATATCAATGGAAAAGCTGATGTTGGCCGGTTATGGTGACTCACACCTGTAATCCCAGCACTTTGGGAGGCTGAGGCAGGCAGATCACTTGAGGCCAGGAGTTCGAGACCAGCCTGGCCAACATGGTGAAACCTCATCTCTACTAAAAATACAAAAATTTGCTAGGCATGCGTGCCTGTAATCCCAGCTACTCCAGAGGCTAAGGCAGGAGAATTGCTTGAACCCGGGAGGTGGAGGTTGCAGTGAGCCAAGATCGCGCCACTGCACTATAGCCTGGGTGACAGAGCGAGACTCTGTCTCAAAAAAAAAAAAAAAAAAAAAAAAAAAAAAGCTGATGCTAAATAATTACAAAAGTGTAGGCAATTTGAACAGAAAATAAAGAATTTAGAATCAAGAAGGAATGCTTTCTGCAGAGATCAATAGAGGCATAGGCCATTCCTTTCAGAATTAAATGGGTATAGCCAAATAATAACTTTATGTCTAAAAGGAAGGATGTCTGTCAGTGCTTCCCTCCTTTGAGCTCCCACAGAATTATGCATAGACCTCTGTTGATGTTATATCACTCTGTGCTACCTTTTTTTGGGATCTCTCTCCATCTAGACTTGGAATTTCTCTAAAGTATTTTCAACAAATTATGTTCTACAAACATTAATTGGCATCTGCCCTGTGCATCCAGCCCAGTGTTAGGTCTGAAGAATTTTTTTAAAATGAGTTAGATGTGGATCCTGCCTAATCAGCATCCTGGGGGTGATGGGAGATGCTAATTAACTGTTTTGGGCACTGAATTGATTAGATCTTTGGATTCTATTTTGGCTCTTTCTCTGTGTTCCTGGAATAATCATTAAGTCATTTCAAAAAGAGTGATGGTGGAGGGAGAGGGTATTAGGACCTGAGGAAAGTTAAGGGAAAGTAAGGTTCTGTGGTCATTTGATAAGAAACAAAAGTCTAGCAGAGAAATAGAAGGGACCAAAGTGAGGCAAGTTTAGAAAGAACTGATGACTTTATGGACAAGGAGGCCAGATGGCAAGTACAGAGTCCAGAGGCTTCTCTAACCCCTTCTCTTGCTCTTTTTCTTCTTAAAGGAAAAGCTGTTTTTCTGGCAAGAGATAAACATCACCTCTCTGACATCTGCCATCTGATCCGCCACGATGTGCCCTACCTGTTCCAGAAGTACGTGAAGGAGTCCCATGGAAAGGACATCCGGGTGGTGGTGGTAGGGGGCCAGGTCATAGGCTCTATGCTTCGCTGCTCCACTGATGGACGGATGCAGAGCAACTGCTCTCTCGGTAAGGTATAAAAGCACAGGGTTTTATTAGGGTATTTGGACCCATTCAGCAAATGTATATCGATCCCTACTGTCTTGTCAGACCCTCTGCTAGACACCAGGATCTCACAGATGAGAATGAGGAACAAACTCTTTCCTATGGCAGCAAGCAATCCTGGAGGGGAGCGTACAAGTGTAAGCGCTGTGGCAGAGGTCAGGCAAGGAGTGTCAGGACATGGAGGACTGAACGCTGTCCTCTAGGTGTTAAGACTTAAAAAGGGAGTGACATGAGGACCAACGTTGGAGAAAAACTCCCATCTGGGTAAAGGATGGAATGATGGCATAAGATGGGAGGCAGGGAGATGAGATTTGAAGCTGTTGCAACAGCTCAGGCAAAAAAAATAATAAGAGTCTAAAGTGATGACAGGAGAAATATATTTTCCTTTTATATTTTAATGGAAATGTTTTCCTTTTTGTATGATGTTATTAGAAAGCTACAGTTTATGCTTTGGTCGAATGCATAAACCCATCCCATTAACCCATTGATAAAGTTTGTTATCTGTTGTACTGAATGGAGATACTTCAAGAGGGATGTAAGTTCTTGTCCCCATCACAGAAAGCTATTGTCAACCTCACTGAATGAGTTTATATGTTGGTGATAGGAAAAAAAAAATCACAATCACTAGTTATTATTTCCTAAATCACCATATGAGTATACCAAGTCCAGTGACTAATAAAGAGGCTTAGACACTGTCTGGCACTTCTTTCATTGATAGTCATTGAGCATTTCCAGGAACAGATTATGTGTTGGATGCCGGGAATGTAGAGATGATGAGAGAGCCTTTGCCCTCAGGTAGCACGTGGTCCCATAAAGAAGACATGGGCCAGTTGTGGTGGCTTATGCCTGTAATCCCAGCATTTTGGAAGGCCAAGGCAGGAGTATCACTTAAAGCCAGGAGTTTGAGACCAGCCTGGACAATAAAGTGAGACCCCATCTCTACAAATTTTTTTTTTAAAGTTAGCCAAGTGCAGTAGCACATGCCTGTAGTCCCAGCTGAACTCATGAAGCTGAGGTGGGAGGATCCTTTGAGCCCAGGAGTTTGAGGCTGCAGTGAGCTATGATTGTGCCATAGCACTCCAGCCTGGGCAACAGAGTGAGACCCTATCTCTTAAAAAAAAAAAAAAGAGAGATAATTATAAGATAATTGTGATAAAGTGATGTGTTGGTGTCAAATGCTAGATTCAGGTTGACACACTACTAAGTACCTTACATGTTATCTCATTTTCTTTTTTTTTCTTTTCTTTTCTTTTTTTTGAGACAGTCTTGCTCTGTTGCACAGGCCAGAATGCAGTGGCGTGATCCCAGCTCACTGCAACCTCCGCCTCCCAGGTTCAAGCAATTCTCATGTCTCAGCCACCCGAGTAATTGGGATTATAGGTGTGTACCACCACACCTGGCTGATTTTTGTATTTTTATTTTTATTATTTATTTATTTATTTATTTATTTATTTATTTATTTATTTTTGAGACAGAGTCTCGCTCTGTCACCCAGGCTGGAGTGCAGTGGCACAATCTCCGCTCATTGCAAGCTCTGCCTCCCCGGTTCACACCATTCTGCCTCAGCCTCCCGAGTAGCTGGGACTACAGGTGCACACCACCATGCCCGACTAACCTTTTGTATTTTTAGTGGAGACAGGGTTTCACCGTGTTAGCCGGGATGGTCTCGATCTCCTGACCTTGTGATCTGCCCGCCTCGGCCTCCCAAAGTGCTGGGATTACAGGTGTCAGCCACCACGCCCAGCCCATTTTCATGATCATGCTTAGTGCCAAAGTGTTGAACCTTGTGTGTGTGTTATCATTTTGACTTTTTTAGTTACCTTACAAAATCCATTCATTAGTAACCACGTGGCTTTATAATTTATCCATGTTGCTTTTCTTGGTGAGCTGTTTTAAAACCGTTTTATAGCCTTTTTTAGATACAGTGTCATAGGTGGGAAGGGACATTGTTAAGGTAAAGACACTAGTTATTCGACCTGAGAATACAATTCTTAAATCTTTCCAAGGAGACTAACTGGAGAGAAATCTGAAGTCCTAGCTTTTTAGCAAAGTAAGGGGAATTGGTCTCTGTCCTTGGTACAGGATTTTGTCTCAGTCCTTTCCATATCTCTCTCTCTCTTTTTTTTTGGTCCATTGAGGCATTTTATTTATAAATATTAATATCTATTACATCCCTAGAAAAATAATCCCAGGATTTTCCCACCTGTGTATTTTCATCTTACTTCTTCACAGGCCATGATGGCCATGATGCCAGCTGAGGTTGTCAGTACAGTGAAACCAAACTGATGGAATGGGAGCAGATTATTCTGCCATTTTTCTAGATCTTCAAATTGCACATCAGACTGGGGCTGTTCACTCCCCACTTGTTTAACCTGCCTGTGAGGTTCACAACAATTTTCCCAGCTCTGTGATCATCAGTGATTTCAGATTTGCCAACGTAACTATGCTTTGTCATCAGTTAGAAACCAGATGATGACTTTGGAGCATGGCCTAATAAGAACCTGGCGTTTGCCTCTTTTTGGCTTTGGTGATGCTCTTGAGAGCATCAGCCAGGACATTGACATGCATCATTCTGTCAGCACAGAAAGACGGAAGAAGGAGCCATCTCTCTTCTTAAAAATCAATAAATTGGCCAGGTGTGGTGGCTTACCCCTGTAATCCCAGCACTTTGGGAGGCTGAGGCGGGCAGATCACAAGGTCAAGAGATCGAGATCATCCTGGCCAAGGTGGTGAAACCCCGTCTCTACTAAAAATACAAAAATTAGCTGGGCGTGGTGGCATGTGCCTGTAGTCCTAGCTACTTGGGAGGCTGAGGCAGGAGAATCGCTTGAACCCGGGAGGCGGAGGTTGCAGTGAGCCGAGATCGTGCCATTGCACTCCAGCCTGGGCGACAGAGTGAGACTCTGTCTCAAATAAATAAATAAATAAATAAGTTAATTTTATTTGTTCTAATCATGAGAAGAATACATTCTCAGTGTAGAAAATTCGGAAAATATGGCCGGGCGCAGTGGCTCACACCTGAAATCCCAGCACTTTGGTAGGCCAAGACAGGTGGATCACCTGAGGTCAGGAGTTCGAAATTAGCCTGGCCAACATGGTGAAACCCGTGTCTACTAAAAATACAACAATTAGCTGGGTGTAGTGGCGGGCGCCTGTAGTCCCATCTACTCGGCAGGCTGAGGCAAGAGGAGAATTGCTTGAATCCAGGAGGCGGAGGTTGCAGTGAGTCAAGATCACACCACTGCACTTCAGCCTAGGTGACAGAGTAAGAGTCTCTCAAAAAAAAAAAAAAAAAAAAAAAGAAAGAAAAAAGAAAATTTGGGAAATACAGCAAAGTCAAATGAAAAAGGTATTTATCGTCCCCACCATTTAGAGACAACTACTGTTAATATTTTGGTGTCATATTCTTTACAGTCTTTTCTTCTGAGAAATCTCTTTTTGCCTAGTTATAGTCATATTGTATAGTCTTTAATCCCCTGTTTTCCCATGTAATTACAAGCTGTCTGTGGGCATTATTATTTGTTTTTGGAACAGGGTTTTACTCTGTCATACAGGCTGGCGTGGAGTGGCATGATCATGGCTCACTGTAGCCTCAAACTCCTGAGCTCTAGGGTTCCTCCCACCCCAGCCTCCCAAGTAGCTGGAACTGCAGCTGGGGTGGGAGGAACCCTACAGCGAGCCACCATACCCACCTAGTTTTATTTTTATTTTTTTGTAGAGATGGGGTCTCACTGTGTTGCCCAGCCTGGTCCAAACGCTTGGCCTCAAGCAATCCTCTCACGTCAGCCTCCCAAAGTGCTGGGATTACAGGCGTGAGTCACTGCACCCAGCTGGTATTATTATTAATGGCTGTAAAATACACTGTTTTTCTCTATTGTGAGAGATTTAGATTATAATTTTTCATTTCTTCATTCAATATTTATTGAATATTTATTAAGTGCCCATCATGTACCTGGCTCCATGATTTGTATTTTAAATAATACTGCCATCAACATCTTTGTGCATAAAGCTTTTTTTCCCCCATATATAAGATTATTTCCTTGGTAGTAGGATGGCTGAGTCAGAGGAAATCAGCATTTTTAAGACTAGATAAAAAATGGCCGTATTGTTTTCCCAAGGTGTACTGATTTCCATCCAGACCTTTTGTGATTAATGATCGAGCCTCTCTTTCTGCCCCTCCTGGGCAGATCCCTGTCTCTTCTTTGAAGAGTCATCTGACTTCTCAGTTGTCACCTTTACATCACTGTGCTTTCCCCACAGGTGGCGTGGGCGTCAAGTGTCCGCTGACAGAACAAGGCAAGCAGTTGGCTATTCAGGTGTCCAACATCCTAGGCATGGACTTCTGTGGCATTGATCTCCTTATCATGGACGATGGCTCCTTTGTGGTGTGTGAGGCAAATGCTAATGTTGGCTTCCTAGCCTTTGACCAGGCATGCAACTTAGATGTGGGTGGGATCATTGCAGACTATACCATGTCCTTGCTGCCAAATAGGCAGACTGGAAAGATGGCTGTCCTCCCAGGACTGTCGAGTCCAAGGGAGAAGAACGAGCCGGATGGCTGTGCTTCAGCTCAGGGAGTTGCAGAGAGCGTCTATACCATCAACAGTGGGTCTACCTCTAGTGAAAGTGAGCCTGAACTGGGAGAGATCCGGGATTCCTCAGCAAGCACAATGGGGGCCCCACCCTCCATGCTGCCCGAACCTGGCTACAACATTAACAACAGGATTGCTTCTGAGTTAAAACTTAAGTGAATTCCTGCTTTTTGGCAGCATTTAAACCAAATCCTACTGCTTCCCTAGTAGTTTTGAGTGAATAAAATCTGGACTAATGTGATTTCATTTGCACAGAAACTAGAAATCCCATCTGGGCACTCAGCATTTTTTCTAACGATGATTTAAGCAAATGGCCTAGCTTTGTGGTTTTTACAAAGACAAATATAAAAACACTCAAGAACAACGTCCCGACTGATCAGTATGAGACTGATGTCTGCTGTGAGCACGTGGATATTACGGCTGACGCTAAGGCACTGACTCTGCTGTTGCTTCTGACTTTTAGCAGTAGAACCCATTAGCTCAAAATGGCTCTTGGAATTATGTACTCAAAAGCAACCACGGGATGGAAGCATGTGCAGACGAGGTGGAATGTGACTGCAGTAATAGGTTCTTCACTAAGTGTGTGTGTGATGCTTGGAAAAGACACAGTTCAAACACTATTAGAGGATCGATCTCTGCTCCCCATCAATCACCATCTTGACCATATTTCTCCGACACTCAGGATATGGTGTTTTAGGGAGCTTCCTCATTAGCATTTTCAGTGAAGCACTTTGTAGAAAGTGAGATTGAACGTTCTTTGACTTCACAGGTTGGCAAATGTCCTGCTTTGTAACTGGGCCTTTCTACAAATTGCTTTGCCACTCTGAATTTATAGACCCTGCTTCAACTAACGTCAGCTCTAGCAGCTTCTTGCACCTTTGCTGCCTTTGGCCTCAGCTGGAAATGCACTTCAATGAGCTAGTGGCCACTCAGTTTATTTCTTAAGCGTGCACTAGAATCTAACACCATGGACTTTGTTTTTCAATGGACTCTGTTCACTTGTCATCCAGAAGCCAGTGGGTTTTTACCATAGAAAGCTACTTGGAGATCATCATTCTTCCCCTCCTCTACTGAAACTTTGTGTACTGCTTAGCTGTAGGGGGTTTTCTTGTATGAGTGGGTGTTGGAGGTCTATTGAGTAGATGGGAGCCATTGGAAACACTCCAATCCCCTTGAAACTCTACTTTTATCTAAGATCCAGACACCTGTCCTTACCCACTTTTCCAAACGGGGAAGACTCAGGTATCAGGAATTACCCATTGCACATTTTGCGGGGGGGGGGGCTAATGTAGACATGACACCAAGTGCTTTTCATTTTAATTCTCTAAGCAGTAGATGAGATCTTTCCCTTGGGAGAAATCACAGAGATGGAGTTTTCCATTTCTGCTTATACGAAATATGACTGAAAATGAACAAAGCCACCTTTTTAACCAAATACACTAGAACATATGCACTCAAGAGTTAGCATAATTGGAGTTATTTTCTTGATGTTGCATGTGCCAAGAACACTTAGGGTTCCCCTTTGGGATTACCTTTGAAGCCATGCAAGGCAAGAGGCCTCACAACTTTATAGTCAGACCTTGTGTTTTATCCAACCCCTCCTCCTGCCCACCAAGATCATCCTGAGCTGCTTCACCCATTTTATTTAGCAGACTTATTTTCTAATGCTCTTTAGCTGTTAAAAAAAAAAAATCATTCCTCAAAAAATAGATCTACCCTTAAAGGACAAAGATTTACCAACACTGAAGACCCTTACAAGTTGACAGTTTCTAAAGAGGGTTCTAGGAATGTTCTGTGTAAGGTCAGCTTCACTGGAATAAACATACATCTTCCCAAGGTGACTACTTCAAAGGCAACACTACCCATTCGGGTGCAGAAATTACCGTACTTACTCTGCCATAAATGTAAAATGTGTATAAAGTTAAGCTATTGCATTTTTTCATAACACATTTAAATAGAAATTGGCTTTTAAAGTATTGTAGTTAAAACCAGATCTCACCAAGTAATAGTTGTGCAATTGACAAATGTTTGGTGCCATGTAATGGAGATGTCACACTACACAGTTGTAGTTTAAATGCAGTCCAACATAAGGTGCATGCCACTGAACTGTAACCCTAGTAATGTGTCTTGTACAGTTGAAAAATAATACTTCACCTTTATATAGGTTAAGATATGTACCTTATCTTTACCACTCAGGGTGGCTTTAAAAGACGGACAGCTTTAGGTTTGTTCTCACTGGAACTGGTTACACTTTCTGTGCAAACTTAACCAAGTGATGATCGTCTGGAAGCTGCATTCCCTCATTTCCACTGTTTGGTGTGAATCTAGTCTCCCCACTTTATCTAAAAGGAGGCTAGCAGGGCCCCAGCCTGAGCAGAGCAGCTAGAGAGTGCTTCCAGATTCCTTTGCCAAAGGAGGCCCATTTTCCAGCTGTGAGTGACATCTGTAGTCATTGGCTTCATTGCCTGGCACTAGCCCTGTCTAGAAGTGGAGAAAGCTGGATCACAGCTGGACCACAACCAGCCCCAATCCAGGATTTCCCATACCATGCTGGCTGTGGGCTCTGTGAGCCTCAGCCAGGTGGCCAGGCTATACTTGTCACAGCTGGCCACAGGCCTGCTGAAGGAACATGGGGTGTAGAGCCAGAGCCTGGTTCTGGTTCTCCGCTTGAACAGCTGACCTCGTGCAATCACAGGAACTCTGCGTCTCCATGTTTCACTCAGATAGAGAAAATGCCTCCTTTGTTTACCTCTTTGAAGCTGAAGTAAGTGAGACTGGTGCATGTAAATTAATGGTAGTAGAGCACCTCCCACATCTGATTTTATAACAGTTTCCCATCACTCCTTAAAGAAAAAGGCCAGGCCGGGCGTGGTGGTTCACGCCTGTAATCTCAGCACTTCGGGAGGCCGAGGCGGGTGGATCATGAGGTCAGGAGATTGAGACCATTCTGGCTAACACAGTGAACAAAAAATTAGTCGGGCATGGTGGCGGGCGCCTGTAGTCCCAGCTACTTGGGAGGCTGAGGCAGGAGAATTGCTTGAACCTTGGAGGTGGAGGCTGCAGTGAGCCAAGATTATGCCACTGCACTCCAGCCTGGGTGACAGAGCGAGACTC
This sequence comes from Homo sapiens, assembly GCF_000001405.40. Taxonomy (NCBI): domain Eukaryota; kingdom Metazoa; phylum Chordata; class Mammalia; order Primates; family Hominidae; genus Homo; species Homo sapiens. The sequence continues at coordinate 42,417,930 of NC_000001.11, forward strand.
CGTCTCAAAAAAAAAAAAAAAAAGCCACACATTCTTGGCATTAGCACACCAAACAGTGGTAGGGTACCCTGAGAAAGGAATGCAGCTTCTCAGAGGCCTCACTTCCAGCCAGGGAAACTTAAGACCTGAAAGGAATAAGGCTCTTTGTGTATTCAGACAGCCTTCTGGATGTATCGTATATAACCTGAAACTCTCCACTCTTGTATACCAACTAACAAAGTCTTCCTTATGTAACATAGATTGCAGTGTCTGTATATGGTCTTCCCATTATCTGGTAGTAGCATCTTGAAACTGGTCAAAACTTGAATGCCAATAGCTCAGTCACTCAGAATATACGATTCTGCACTTGGGAAAAATGTCTTCATGCTGTTTTTCTGATCGGGTATGGGGTTGCCAGAATGAGGATTTGGGGCTTTAGGTCTTTCGGATCTCAGAAACAATATAAGTAGATCATAAGCCACTAGTGTCACAATTTCAGGCCCATTGCTTCCAGCTAAAAGGAGATTCCATGACCATGGGGACCAGGAGAGGAGGAAAGGGAAAAGGGAAAGGTCTGGAATAGTTTTGTGAAAGAAATAAAAAATTGGGATGATTTGGAATTCTAGTAGGAAGGAGGAAAAAATGGCTCTTCTGTGGGCTGTTTTAATGAAAGAATCATGAATATGTATTGATCAGAGGTAGATGTCTTTGAAGCTGTTCTGCATAAAGATAATGAGATGCATGGATTTCCATCCACCCTGGAGAAGTGGGGGAGATGTGCTTCCTCCCTTCTTTAAATCCTGAGGAATGCTGGTCTTGAGAACACTGAATGCAAATCTGAGGAAGATGTAAGCGGCTGGCTGGGGAGTTTTAGGACCACCCAAATAAAAGCTGACCCTCCCAGAGGCTAATGAACCACAGTGCTGTGTGCAGGCATAGCCTTAGCAGGTCAGTTTAAGGAGTCAGGTCAGAGAATAAATCCAACCTTAGTCAAGTCACTACAGTTTAATATTTTCCTTTGCAACTGGAGGTAAGCCTGTTTGCCATTAGTCTGAGTGGATGTCTTGGGAAGGCCCCTGAAAATAGCCATATTTGTCACTGTCCCTAAAGTGAATGTTCATAGATCTGGGACTGTTTTTGACTGTACCTCTGAGACTCAAGATCAGGACAGATTGTTACTTTAAAATGTTACCTGGAAGACGATTCTTCTAAGGGCTATAATGTTATAATCTTTTCCTAAAACTAAATCATGCCTCCATTCCAGGTCTATGGCTAGACTCTGCAGCCCTCCCTCCTAAAACCACAGGGCTGAATGTGGAAACTTTCTTCTTTTAAGCCTTTCCATTTCCTTCTCTAGGTACAGCTCCTGTGCCAATATGCACTGTCTCAAGCCCTGTGCTGGCATTCCAACCTGGTTTGGTAATTTTGCTGTGAGGTTCATGTTCTCTGGGGCTCCAGGGCAACACTAAGAAAGTCGCTTATGATCCCCATTTGAGACCATGGAATTAGCATTTTGGAGACCAGTCTAGTCCCCCATTTCATAAGTAGGGAATCTTACTTAGTTCCAGAGGCCATGTTCACTTGCTAGTCAATAGCAAGGCTGGACTCAGGCAGTCTGATTCCTCATCCACTTTGGCATACTGCCAGAGGTAGCTCCATCCCTCCCTGGAATCTAGCACATGCTCCCATCCTGGGCCTACCCTCCGCCTCCTCCCCTTCTGATGAGCCTCTGTTCTGGATCAACACGGTGTTGATGTGCCAGCTGTCAAGGGTTCAGCACTTGGATGGCTTCTAGGTGAGAGCCCCAAAGGCATGTATATTTCCATGATGCAAGCTGGCTCATGGCCCGCACCGTCTTTAGACCAGCCAAGACCATTTAACTCTACCCCACACTTTCAGTGGTGGGATGTGAGGAAGAAAGCCCATGCCAAGCTAACTGAAAGCTTATTTGGCTCCAATTCGGCTGATGTTCCCTCACTGCAGAATGTCCTGGAAACCAAGGGTTTGCAGCTCCTAAACCTATTGCATTAGGCACACCCAAGAAGAAATCCTGTTCGATGCACATGCTCCAGTTTCAATCAGCAACAAGGTCAAAAGTTTCCCCCCACTTTCTGTTCCACAGTGCGTTCCCCTTGCAGCCAGACATTAGGCACAGATTCATCCCTATTGTAACCCAAATGTCAGCTGAGGGCTCCTTGCCTCTTGACATCCAGAGAGGTCTGATAACTGGGCTCTGTTTCTGAACCTCTAGATTTCTGTGATTTCTCAAAGACTTATATTTTTGCAGCCACTGCTGACTCCACACTTCTGCTACCTCATTTTAAATAGCGTCTTATCCCTGCAATGCATCAGCTGAGACATGAAGCTCAGTTTCCTCGCCCATTTCCACATAGCAAAATTCAAGCGAGTGAGTGTGTGTGCCTGCGTGTGTCTCAGTGACGTGGGAAGGAATGGCAGATGCTACAACAGTGCAGACTCGGCACCCCATTTATAGAATGTTCTTTTTATATACTATGGAGGAATCTCCACTCACCTTCCACTCCACGTGGTCCCTGTCTCCTGTCCTTGGGACAGAGCAGTTCCATTTATATTCTCACATACAACCAGATGGATAGCCATTCCTTTTCTTAATTTGATTCCTGCCAACACCCTAACCGTCATGACTTCACCTTTTACCATGGGTGGCTTATTAAAAACATTTTCCTGGACGAAGACAGTTCCCTCCCCAAGCGGAATTCGAGTGCCATCTCTTAAGGTGATGCATTTTTAATTCCCACTGCACAAGCCAGGCATCACAATGACCATATTCACCACTCGTTGTCAGGGGTACACCTTTTGGAAGGCAGCGTGGGCTAATGTGAATGGTACTAGTCTGAGTCAGATCCAGTTCAAATCCAGGTAACTTAAAGCTTGTGTGACCCAGGGACACTTTACTTCAACTTGTTAAACCTTAATTTTGTCACCTATAAATGTGATACATAAACAAACTTGAATGTGTCGCACTTAACCACATGCCTGGCTTTCCATAGGTTCCTTTCCTCTTGCTTCCCCCACTGTGAGCAACACAAGCATCGCCTTCTTGTGATCATGGCTCAGTGCCAAGGGATAAAAGCTGGCAGACAGCAGCTTTACAGCTGGGAAAAAGAGCTGCTGGGGGCAGGGCTGGCGGTAGCTCAAGCATGCTGTGGTTCAGGCTAATGACTGGAAGGTCCCATCCATCCTTGAGATTTTATGACGCTATGTGCAAGATCTAGCGAACGTATTTGGCTAAGAAAAATCCTGGAGGAGAGACTGCCTCAGACAACTGGGGGGCTGGAAAGCCGACCTGGAAAGCAGCCTGACCTTGGATGATTTAGCACCTGGGTTTTTTGGCTCTTCCTGTATTAGGTTTGCTGGCTTCGCATCAAATGGAAGGAGGTGGTGCCAGGGACGTGAATTAAACCTGTCAAATAGAGGGTGAGGGGAGTGCAGAAGGCTGGGGGAAGGAGGGGCTGTGTGGGGAACTCTGATAGTCTGACAGCACCATCTGGACTTGGCAGGGATGACAGCCCTGAGATCAGATGGAACTAACCAATAAAGCTGCTAAAATTCTGCTGTCCTGGGCCTATCCGGAGTGGGACTCCCGTAATCTCCTATTTAGAAGGAACACTGATCTGCAAGGGGAGAGCTGGGGCCCTTAATCATTCTGCAGAGCTGATAACGGTCACTGTGGAGGCAGGACTAGGCGGGTGCCTGGTTTGCTTAGTCCCACCTTGAGGTCCCGAGTTCCAGTGGTGTGCCGAAGTGGTTTGCACTGGCCCATGAGAGTGGATTGTTGAATTTCCAGGAATTTTGTAAGCTGGTTGGTAAACACAGCCACAGTGACCATTAGAGATTATATTAACCTGCAATTAAATAAAGTATGTTAAAAACAGTAATAAATACTCAAAACTCATCACTTCCTAATTATTTTACTATTATCTATGTTCTTGAGGATACTGACATCTATTGTATTGGTATGGTGTGCTACAATATAATGGCGTGCTATTGCACATCTCTTCCCAACCTGAACATTCAGTGACATCACATCAGTAGCTGGGGAATCGGCCCTATTGAGAGTATTTACACCACAGAGATTGGCAAACACTCTATATCAAGACCCCCCTCCCCGAGAGCTGGTTGTTAAACATTTGTCAGCACACCACTGCTGCTGGGAGACAGAGAGAAGAAACTGATACACGTGAGCACTGAAACATCTTAGTTCCAGGGAGGTAGCATTTGTGTTGTATTTCTCAGAAGCAAGTGTCCTAGTGTAATGTGCACAAGTGGCATGAAGTTTAACACCTAAAAGACTGCTTCTCTGCTTGTTCTGTCTAACTTCTGTGATTTCAACACTTGAGAAAGATGTTTACTTTGCTACTAAACTTATTGGAGTGATTTGTAAAGTTCACTGTCACCTGTGGGCAGTAGTTCAGCTAAATTCCCTCCAGGAAAGTGGACTGTAGCTTTTCCTGCCTAACTGGCAAAATGAAAATATGCTGAAAAGAATACATCTTAACTAGGCACCAGAATAGCTCATTTCCAAGTGGTTTATACAGCAATAACAGTGTTAACTTCTCCAACAGAGACGAAATCATTTATAAATGATTGTTTTGCTGTTTTTGCTTTTTATTAAAATTATTACTATGGAACAGAATGCTTTGTTTGCCTTTGTCTCCAAAATTCTGTGCCTTTTGGTGGTTCTTGTAAAGTAAGAATCACATGCTGAATCTACATTTTATTATTTTCATATCATAAAATGAGGAAGAGCCTTCACAGAAGAAACTTCACCCTATTCACTTGCACACCAGCTGCGTTCTGAAAAACTATAATTTTCCTTTCAAACGCAGAGTGCCGTCTGAATTGTAATACTGCCAACTCTCAACTGTCAAGATGATGGAGGAAAATACTAATGCAGATGGCGTGAGCTTGTCACGGGCCTGCTCAGCGTGCTCTCCCGGGCTGACATTCGAATTAAGATTCAAATAGCAAGTGAGAGCTGAAAGCTGTTTAAAATGGCTGTGTGGTGCAGTAAGGGGTCTCAGGGGATTGAAAGAATCTGTGTACTCACCAGAAGAACTCTGACAGGTCAGGCAGGGCCCTCAGGACTTGTGTTTGCCTGACATTTCAAGAGGCTTCCTGGGAGAAGCGGTGATAAGACCCTGGGGGACTAACAGTCAAAACAAGGCTCAAGACCCTTGAACTAAGGCTATTCCCCAGCTTCTGAGGGTCAGGGAGTCCAAATTGAGGTCAGAGCATCAAAGGGATAGTGCTTGATTGCTGCAGCCGAGGATGATTTGGGGTATGACATTATGTACCATTCATATTGTCCTTGAACCCAAACACTGGGGAATGTGGCCTATGTTTCTTTCTTCTTCTCTTACATGAAAATCGTCAAACTACACAAAAGTGGAGAGAATAGTAAACTCCCCAGAAAAGGACGTTTCCATTTGCCTTTACCACATATAAAAAGATTAGCAGTAATCCCTTGATACCATCTAATTCCCAGTCCGTATTCAAATTCCCCCATTGTCTCAAAGAGAACTGCATTTAGCTCCATGGTAGACCAGCGTATTTGGTGAGAAAGGAAGTACTTTGGAAAGGTTGCTGATGGCTTCCCTACCCTCTTGACGGTGGCTCTGGCAGAAACCATGCTGCAGGGGCACAGGTGGAGAGATGTTCAGGCTGGCTGCAGATGCCTTTCCAAGTTGTGGGATCTTGGGATTTCCTCTCCTCAAAGAATAAGCCTGTGACACTTCCCCTTCTACTTCCCAGAGTTACATGGTGTCCCTCTAGGACTCTCCCAGCTTCATGCTGCTGGCACCCACTTGTCTATCACGCTGGTATCCGCTGCTTTTCCTGCAGCTGCTGCTTTCACTAATGGCACTTCTTAAATCTGGTGAGAGGCTTCTCTCAAAAATGATCGCTCTTCCACTAACCTTAGGTCTACTGTACTCTTGGTGAATCACAGCTCTTTAGAGCTCCTCAAGGGCCTAAGCATCTTTTGTTAGAAAATTCTGGCTGAAATTCTCATGAGATGGGTCAGGGAACCTTGGAGTGGCAGCACTTGTGTCACATCTAAAGGCACTCCTCTGACTAAAGAGAAGTGGCAGCTGAGCACACTGCCTGCCCAGGGATTTTCTTCTGCTCTAAAGGACATTATTAAGACAACTGGTCTGTACTGTATTGCCTGATAGTATCATATCAATGTCAATTTCCTCATTTTGGTGATTGTTCTAATAAGAATACGTAAGAATGTGTCCTTGTTTTTAGAAAATACACATTAAATATCGAGGGATAGAGGTACATCATGTTTGCAATTTACTTTCAAATGGCTCAGAAAATAATGGGTTTCTAGAGAGAGAAAATAAAGCAAATGTGGTAAGATGTTAACATTTGGGAGATCTGGGTGAAAGGTATTATAGGAATTCTTTGCATGAGTAGGCTGAGTAAGTCTGAAATTACATCAGCCTCCTGTGCTGGGTTCACCTCCTCTCCATTAAATGTTGTTTCCTCCGGCATTTCCTTAGGCTTTCTGCTATTCCCTAGCTGCGGGTTTCATCCCTACATGATCTCCATTTGCTTGGTATTAATTACAACGTACATGATACTTTCAAATTTATCTCTGAACCCAGGCTTCTTTTCTTTTCTTTTTTTGTTTTGTTTTGTTTTGAGACAGAGTCTCACTCTGTTGCCCAGGCTGGAGTGCAGTGGCATAATCTCAGCTCACTGCAGCCTCCACCACCAAGGTTCAAGCAATTCTCCTGCCTCATCCTCCCAAGTAGCTGGGACTACAGGCGCCCACCACCACGCCCAGCTGATGTTTTTGTATTTATAGTAGAGACGGGGTTTCACTGTGTTGGCCAGGGTGGTCTCGAACTCCTGACCTCAGGTGATCCACCTGCCTCGGACTCCCATAGTGCTGGAATTACAGGTGTGAGCCACCGTGCTCTGCCCAGGCTTCTTTTCTTAAGGTCAGATGGCATATCCAGTTGCCCACCCTTCATCTCTCTTCAAATGTCTGATAAGCGTCTCAAATTCACCATGTTTCAAGCTGAATTCATGTTTTTATCTCTCCCCAACAAACCTCCCCTCTTTCAGGGCCTCCTCAGTTGAGTGCACAATGCCAACCACTTGCTGAAACCACACACACACAAAATAAAACAGAACTACAGTGGTCATTTTTGGCTGCTACCTTCCTCAACCCTTACCTCCAACTTGGTTTCTTGTGGTAAAACTTGACTTTTAAACCATGAACCACCTTTTTTCACTGAAAACTTTTCTTTTTCTTTTTTGCCATGTTCATTAAGATGTTCCAGGAGATACACAATCCTGAAAAAGGTCTGCAAGGGATAATGCTTATAATATATAATTCTGGTTTTACATCTTGCTCCCAATACTAACCTTGTTCGTATGTTTTTAAAACCTGCTACTGCTTATTTAAATATTAGCTATTAAAAGTGTGTGTGTATGTATGTACATAATATAAAATATTTATCACATTGCACTGATCTTGATGAATATTAGGAAAGACATATGTTTTGTGTTTGGCAAAATGATTGCATGGTTCCGTCATCCAAATAATGCTTCACCATCTTTTCTGAAGCATTTTCTTTGCCAATTGTTTGTTTTGTGTGACCTATTGTGTTTGAGAAATGTTGTACCTCACAGAGTCATCATGAGAACAGAGACACCTCATTTGTACAATGTGTATCTGTAATGGGACATGGCAAGGCCTGGTGCTAGCAGTTTGGTTCCAATCTTGGTCATCTGAGGCCCTGTGGCACAGCAGAAAGCCATGGAGCGCAATGATAAAATGTTATATAGTGAGAGCGTAGAGCAGCAACTCAGAGTGAATTTTTGTTAAATAAAGATTCATAGACGATATGATATATTTGTAACAGTGCATATGTGCTTGCTAGTGGAAAATTTTAATCAGGCCTTTCAGAGATGATCCTTCAGCTCCACCCTTATGAATTCTGCTGAAGACGCTTAGGAAAGATGTGATCACCAGGTGGGAAGATAAGAGACACTCTATAGGGAACCCAGAAATCCTGGCTCATTTCAACCTACTTATACCCTTCAGGGTCAAGTAAACCACATTTTTTTTTTTTTTTTTTTTTTGAGATGGAGTCTTGCTCTGTCGCCCAGGCTGGAGAATGCAGTGGCATGATCTCCGCTCACTGCAAGCTCCGCCTCCCAGGTTCACGCCATTCTCCTGGCTCAGCCTCCCGAGTAGCTGGGACTACAGGCACCCACCACCACGCCTGGCTAATTTTTTTGTATTTTTAGTAGAAACAGGGTTTCACTGTGTTAGCCAGGATGGTCTTGATCTCCTGACCTCATGATCCACCCGCCTCAGCCTCCCAAAGTGCTGGGATTACAGGCGTGAGCCACTGCGTCCGGCCAAGTAAACCACATTTTGTAGAGCTGTTCAGAACTGAGATGATTTCCTGCATCAATAAATCATATATAAAAATGAAATATATTTTCATTGAAGAGTAAAAAAAATTAGGGCAAAATAAGAACATTTTTGAATTAATGAAAGAAAGAAAATCTGAGAATTTGCCATCTTTAGGCCCTCACTATAGGAAATACTGAAATATTTATCAGTAATGTGAGCCAAGATGGAAGATGTGAAAAGAAGGAACATGATGACTTTACAAAATAATTATGACATGAGTTTAAGATATATTTGAAATAATAAGAAGGTATAAGTTAGTGGGAGGTAAATATAGTTAAAAGATTCTAAAGACCTTCTATTGTCAGGGATGAGAGTTTCCCAAATAACTTTAAATTTTGATAAGTAAGGAACAAATGCTTGGATTTCTGGGGCAATCACTAAAAGAACAGAAACACAGAATATAAACTACAAGCTCGCAGAGTGGAAGAAATGGAAGGAGAAAATTATGTAATCAATCCAAAAGAAAGAAAAGGAAAAAATAGAACATGCAGAACAAATAGAAGGCATAAAATAAGATCATAGATTTAAACTCCAATAACTTTTAAAAACTCAAATCATTTAGTGTGTAAACAAAATGTAAATGGACTAAATGATTCTTTAAGAATGAAAGATATAAAAACATCTAATCATATTATTTTTACAAGAGATGCATCACAAACATTACGAGCTGGGCCCAGTGGTGCCTGCCCCAATTCCACTGGGCAGAAAGATCTCTTGACCCCAGGAGTTCAAATCCAGCCTGCAAAACATAGTGAGAACCCCTCTAAGGATATAGATTGTTTGGAAGTATAGGAGACATATAGATTGTTGGGAAGAAATATCAAGAGTTTCAGTCAGAGTTTAGTCAGGGAAACAGAAACCTCTCTGGGCATTTTGAATAAAGAAAGTTATTTAATACAGAGAATTAGAGGCATACACAATCTTTGAAGTAGCTGGGAGATCAAGATCGGGGGTAAACGGCAGCAAGCTGCTTCCACAGGAAATCTGCATTCAGGAAAACAACAGTGGATGACTCACAGGAAGGTAAATGGTTGCTCCTTATGCAGCTTCCAAATTTTGAGCAGTTGGCCCTCATTGACAGAATGTTATCCAGAATCATAAAGGGAGAGGGATACTGAGAACTATAGCTCTAAGCTTCCCATTATAAGCAGAGGGAAATGATGAAGGGAATGGTGATGACGCCTAGCTGATAACGAGCAATCCAGCCCCAAAGGAAGTGAATGCAGCTATATTAATATGAGACCAAAATAAACTCTAAGGCCCAAAACATTACTAGAGATAAAGAGAATCACACTTCATAATACAAAAAATTCCATTCACTAGAAAAATATAATATTTGAATGTGTAGACACCTAATAACAAAGCCTCAAAAAATATAAAGCAAAAACAGGCCAGGCACGGTGGCTCACGCCTGTAATCCCAGCACTTTGGGAGGCCGAGGCAGGTGGATCACGAGGTCAGGAGTTCAAGACCAGCCTGGCCAAGATGGTCTCTACTAAAAATACAAAAATTAGCTGAGCATGGTGGCACATGCCTGTAATCCCAGCTACTTGGGAGGCTGAGGCAGGAGAATTGCTTGAACCCAGGTGGCAGAGGTTGCAGTGAGCCAAGATTGTGCCACTCCACTCTAGGCTGGGCGATAGAGTGAGACTCCATCTCAAAAAAAAAGAAAAAAAAAATATATATATACACACATATATATTTCATATATATATATATATATATATATATATATATATATATATGGCAAAAACTAACAGGACTACAAGGAGAAATAGATAAATCCACAATGTTAGTGGATAGATTTTATACCTTTCTTAGACATGAACAAAAAGTCAGCAAAAATATGCAAGAATTGAAAATATGAACAAACTTGACTTAAGGGGCACTGCTCCCAATAACTTCATTATTTTCTAGCACACACAGAACACTTAAAATATTGACCACATTCTATAAAGAACATTTCTAAAAATCAAAATTATATACAGAATGTTCTAGGACCTCAATAAAGCTAGAAATCAATAGCAAAGAAGTTGTTTTAGAACTTCTCTTTTGGAAATTGAGTCATATTTCTAAGTGACTCATGAGTCATAAAAAATAAGACACATTTAGAAAAATAAAATACTGCATTTTTAAAACATATGGGATCAGCTAAAGCAGTATACAGGGTAAAATTTATAGCCTTAAATGCATGTGTTAGAAAAGAAGAAAAACTGAAAATTAAATTACTAAGCATGAAAAAAAAGCAGAAAATTATGGCCTATAGCCAAGAAGTAAATCAGTCAATAGAAACAATAAATTGGCCAGGCACGGTGGCTCACACCTGTGATCCCAGCACTTTGGGAGACCGAGGCGAGCAGATCACGAGGTCAGGAGATTGAGACCATCCTGGCTAACACTGTGAAACCGCATCTCTACTAAAAAAAAATACAAAAAATTAGCCGGGCGTGGTGGTGGGCGCCTGTAGTCCCAGCTACTCAGGAGGCTGAGGCAGGAGAATGGCGTGAACCCGGGAGGTGGAGCTTGCAGTGAGCCGAGATTGCGCCACTGCACTCCAGCCTGGGCGACAGAGCGAGACTGCATCTCAAAACTAAATAAATAAATAAAAATAAAAATAAAGAAATAGAAACAATATATTTAAACAATAACTTTATAAATTTATTCAATGCAGAAGGGTTAATGAACAGGAATTCAGGGAGAATAGATAAGACAGGAGTGAGAAGGCAAAAAGAGGCCAAGAAATAAAGGATAGAGTAGGAGTCTAATAAAATGGACTTTTTAGAATGTTTTCAGAATAGGTAAGTTCTAATATTTTCTTTGAAATTATCTGCTGAAGAGTTGTTGATCCTCCTCCTTACCCCTCCAGTCTTCATTAAGAGTCTATTTGAAAGAGCTGACTCATATTTGGGGTTACGAGTTAAGAGCTAAGAAGAAGGGGCTCTGTCTTTAAAGAGAAGAAGAAAGTGCTACACAGTGTTGACTGGAGACTGAGAATTCATCTGAGGCTGAAAATTAGATCAAGAGATGGCTGAAAGACAAGTAAGCCCCTGGGACTTCATAGCCATCATGGAGAAGCATAAGAATGCCCACAAGTATGGAAGTGGGGGCGGTGAGAGCGGGGGGTGGGGGGCGGTTTCCAGCTGATTTTACCTGAAGGGGCAGGGTGACCCATCTGACTTATTTTTATTATATGTGTCTGAGTGAATTAATTTACAGTGAGGAACATAAAACTCTCTGACAGGTTCTTGACCTGCATATCTTCTCCCTGGGTGCAGATCTACTCACGAAGCAAAATGCTGCTTGGCAAGTCTGGAGAGGAACTAAGGGAGAAAAAAAAGGATATGCTAAATTACCAGAGTCATCAAGATGGGATGAGCTGATATAGCTGTGGCCACATCTGGGCCATTTTACAACAGTAATGGATGAGGCTATAGGGAGATCAAGGTCACAAACCAATGATGTGAGAGAGCTGGAATTTGAGCTCAGGCATGTCTGAGTCCAAGGCTCACCCTCTGTCCTCTCCATCACAGGGGATCTTTCAGAATGCCTCTCCCCTAGACTGTATAGATGGCCCACATCTACTTCAAATTATTGTCTGAGATAAGAAAGATGCCACCCTGGAATGGCATCTCAGTCAATCCATACTGAAGCTCCTTGACAGGCCCAGGGGCCTCCTCTGGCACAGGAAGACCTTATATCTAATTTATGCCTGCATTTTGCTATTTGTTTTCTATGTGTCTCATGTCCTTTTTGTTCCTCTATCTCACCTTTTCTTTAAGTGGGTATTTTCTAGCATACCATTGTAATCCCTTTGTTGATTTTTAACTATTTTTAGAGTTATTTTCTTAGTGATTGCTCTATTATAATGGGTACTTTATCACAATCTACCTCAGATTAACGCTAAGTTAATTCCAGCATGGAATTAAGAATAGAGAAACTTTGTTCCAATATAGCTTTATTCCCTACCCCCTCCTTTACCCCTCCTTTAGCAAAAGTGTATGAAACATGCATCGTTGGAAGACTTCTGGGAAATGACAAACTATTTGTAGTTTAATTACAAATACCATATTAGTGATCTGACTACATATTACTCAGTCATACAAAGTCATGATAAATCAAGTACAAAGGTCATGACAAACACAGTTTTTAGTGATTTCTATGCCTAAAGCTTTATATTCCCTTAATATGCTGTGTAAGAAAAAAATAACAGCTATGTGTGCAATCCCAGGGGAAGAGGGTGGAAACTTCAGCAGTCTACAGTACCTCAAAGCAGTTGTGCAAGGCTGGAATATATTAGATCTTCAGTAGCCCCTGGAATAACCCTTGATGCAGAGCTCATGGGTCACTAAGTAATGGGATGGTCTTCAGTTGAAATGAGACTTAATAACTCTTGAATGGTGCTTTGCTCATGGACATCAAGCTGTTGTTCTTTGGCTAGACTGAGGGCCCTCATGCCATATTCCTGTGCCTGAAATAGAATTGCAGTGACAAAAGGAAGTTGTCACAGGAAAGCATAACACTGGGAAGCCCCATCTGTGCTCAACTCCAGAAACATGAGAGAGAACTGACCACCTTTTCACACCACCCACTGAGCTCTTGTTGATAAACCTGTAAACACACTGGGCCCTTACAGCTAGCCACATGTGCGCTGGGCAGGGCACCAGAAAAAAACCCCACCTGACTTGACAAACTAAGTACAAACTAAGTATACCTTCTTAACAAAGTGAGATCTTTGTAGGACCTTAATCAGGCCCTAGAGGCCATCACTGGAGGGCATAGAGGTGACAGGTGCCACAAGTAAATTACCACTCTGGGGTGGTCCTGGAGACCATGTGGCCCAGAGTTTTGACTTGGAAAGAGGCTCCCCTTTCTTCCTCCCTTCTTCTCTTCCTTCCTTCCTTCCTATAAATTGTTATTGAATGGTTACCATGTTCCAGGTCCTGTGAGTATAGGCAGAAATTCCTATTCTCATGGAACTTACAGTGTAGTAGGGGAGAAAGACAATAAAGAAGACAAATAAGTAAAACACGACAGTATCTTAAATGATAAATGCTAAGGAAAAAAATAAAGCATGAAAGGGGATAGGAAGCATTAGAGGTAGTAGTGGGGGTTTGCAGTTTTAGACAGGGAGAGCAGGGAACGCTTCACTGAAAAGAAAACAGCTGAGTCAAGTGAAGGCCTGAAGGAAGTGAGGTGCCAGTCTTGATGGATAGATAGATGTGTGCCTTTTGTCTAAGGTCTCTTGTAGATCTAACACACCCTGGGGTAATGACTTCCTTGAGTACACAGTGGAAAATTGGACATTGCACCGTAGAAATGAGGTTTTGTCCAATGTAAATTTGAAAGTTCAGTGGAAATATTTTCCTATTCCTCACCCATTCCTACCCCTATCCCAGGTAGGGTTAGTGCCCTGTGCACTGTGCTCCCACAGTGCTCTGGGCTTCGCTGTCACACTCTATTATAACCTGTGAGCTCCTCCAGGCCTGGTATACTGCAGGTGCTTAGTAAAAGTTAGCTGAAGAAAGAAAAGAAAAGAGGGAGGAGGGAGGAAAGGAGTCTTAAATTTTCCCATGTCACCCACACAAAAAGGGCTCCCTCCAACCAGCCTCCTCTCTCTCCCCCTGCCAACTGCTTTTTCTTCTTCTTCTTCTTCTTTTCTTTTTCTTTTTCTTTTTTTTTTTTTTGAGACAGGATCTTGCTCTGTCACCCAGGCTAGAGTGCAGAGGCACAAGCACGGCTCACTGCAGCCTCAATCTCCTGGGCTCAAGTAATCCTCTTATCTCAGCCTCCCGAGTGGCTGGGACTACATGTGCACACCTCTAGCCCGGCTGATCTTTTTATTTTTATTTTTAGTAGAGAGTGGGTCTCATTATGTTGCCCAGGCTGGTCTTGAACTCCGGGACATAAGCAATCATCCCTCCTCAGCCTCCCAAAGTACTGGGAATACAGTCATGAGACACTGTGCCTGGCTAGTTTTCTTTATAACAGTTTCTACTATCTGAAATTATATTACACATACATATGTTTATTTCCACTCCTCCAAAAAACACCAGTGCCATAGAGATAGGAAACGTATGGATCACCACTGTATCCCCAGTCCCTAGATTAGTGCTTTACAAATGGTAGATTTTCAATAAATGTTTGAATGAATGAGAGAATCAACCAATAAGTCAATAAACCTGAGATATGCTACTTGCTGTCTGTAAGACATTGGGCAAAGAATTGACCCTCTCGGTGCCTCAGTTTCCTTGTTTGTAAAGTAGAGATAATAAAATAGCTACCTCATTAATGTTGGTGTAAGCATTAAGTATGATAATTATGTAAAGGGTTTAGGCCAATAACTGGTAGGTAAAAGTACTCAAAAAGTTACTTTTTGAATCATTTCATGGCAATGCATTTCTGCCTGAATCCCCGCAGCAACAGGGAACTCAGTAACTGAGTGGAGTTAGAGCGGCTACTTCATCCATCCAAGGCTCCCCAGAGCCTTCCTGCCCTGCAGGCTTCCCAGCACTGCCTCAGACTCTCTTTATCTATGCAAGACTGGGAACCCTCGGGGGAAGAAGACAATCCAATTTCCATTATGCAGGCTAGACTCAACACAGGAGAAACATCGTGAGCATCTGAACCTCTTTGGAGTGAGGGCTTGCTCTGAGGGCAAAAGCTATTGGAATTGGGCAAAACACAAATTTTGAGTTCAACTAGTTGAATTTCTACCTTCATTTTAGACGTGTTGCTTTTTTAGGGAAACTTGCCTTTGAAGAATTCATCATCAGGTAGTAAAACATGACCAGGATCTTCAGAACAAAGATGGTTTTTTGGGGGGCTTTGTCAGATGTAGATTCTCGAATGTTCAAGATTGAAGTCAGGATGCGAATGGCTTCTGCTTCTTGGGCTTCATCTGCATTGGAAGGGGAAGAAAGAAAAAACAGGCTCTTGGCAACTGAGTCTGCCCTCATCAAAAGCACTCAGCTGTTAAAGCGCCTGGTCTGCTGAAGCCTTCCCAAGGGCACTGGTGGAAATAGCACCAATTACAGCAAGTTTTTTACCTAGAGGACTCCCTCCAGGTGCAAAGCAGGAAGCTCCGAAGCAGGAGTTTCAGACCGCTTTCCAGCTTTGCTTAGCATGCCATTATCAGAGTAGCCTAAAAATAGGCTCACTCCCACAGGTCCCAAAGTTGCTAAGGTTTCTCTCTTTCGGAGTCCTGAACTCTAGATCTCTTGGGCTTACAAACACAGATAATCTGCCACAGGCAGATTCCTTGGGTCCAACTCAGATTCCACTCTACAGCTGAGAGGAGAGAACTGGGGGAAGGGACTTCTTGCAGCTGCAGCAGCTTAACTCTTCTCGTCTAGGCCATAGATGCGTAAGCAACAACCTTCATGCTTCCCTCTGAGAGTCTGTTTACTATTTTCCCCAGTAGTTTTTGGTCCTACTTTAGTCATCATTTACTGAGAAGTCACTACATGCATTTAAAAGCACTTATACAAGTACTAAGCTTAGAGAAAAAGACGAAAAGGATATACACCATCATGTTAAGGTTGGCTATCTTTGGATATCTATGATTTCCAAGTTTTCAGCTATAACATGAACTATTTACATAATGAGAGAAAATTCAATAAAGTTATTAATTTTTTAAACTTTAGCTCAAAACCTCTCCTCCAAAGAGTCTTCCTTCTTCAACACCACCCAGCTGTCCTCACCTCTTCATTCTGGGACTCATCTTGTAACATAATTTGTACTCACAGGAATGTTCTTTTGTTATTGCCTATAGGTTCTATATCACCAACTGCACTGTATGTCTCTTTTGAGCAGAAACTAGATCCTCTGTGTCTTTTCATTGTCTCTGAGGGCATGATGCTGTACGGTACTATTCAACACTTAGCCCTTTGCTGGCCCGGGGAATACAGTTTAATCCAACTGGGCCCTGCCACTGAGAAGCTCACTGTTCAGTAAAGCATGAAGTTAAGGCACCAGAAGAAATCAGCAATGCACCTTCTGTGTAGAGTCTACCTTGGCTTACGTGTCCTGGAGCAAGAGTCCCCAACCCCCAGGCCATGGACCAGAACTGTTTTGTGGCCTGTTAGGAATCGGGCTGCACAGCAGGTGGTGAGCAGGGGTGGTAGGGGCGAGTAAAGCTTCATCTGTATTTACAGCCACTCCCCATTGCTTGCATTACCACCTGAGCTCCACCTCCTGTCAGTTCAGCAGCAGCATCAGATTCTCTTAGGAGCGTGAACCCTATTGTGAACTGTGCATGCAAAGGATCTAGGATGTACACTCCTTATGAGAATCTAATGCCTGATGATCTGTCACTGTCACCCATCACTCCCAGATGGGACCATCTAGTTGCAGGAAAACAAGCTCAGGGCTCCCACTGATTCTACATTATGATGCATGGTATAATTATTTCATTATATATTACAATATATTAATAATAATAAAAACATAGTACACAATAAATGTAATGCACTTGAATTCTCCTGAAACCATTCCTCCCACGCCCCCCAGTCCATGGAAAAATTGTCTTCCATGAAACGGGTCCCTGGTGCCAGGGAGAGATTGGGACTGCTGCCCTGGAGGGATAACATAGAAATGGATGCTCTGCAGAAATCACAGGGGGCTTTGATGTGGTCTTTTTTTCCCTCTAAATCTGTCCCTTAGTAACCCCCGAATGGCTATGTGTGATGATAGGGATCTGAATTCTTCCCAACACTGGTAAAATCTCTTTGATCCCCGTGTCTCAGTTTTCTCCATCAGCAACATGGGGAAGGTGGCAATGGTGTGCTTCATGACAGGGACAGCTGCTTTCCCTCTTAGGGACAAGGTCTGTGTATTGGGTGAGATGAAGTCACTGCTCTCCCTTCAGGGAAAACTGCCACTTACCCAAGCCAGTGTCATTCTCAAATAGTTTGCCCAGTAAATCCATTTGTTGGATGTGAGCCTGTGAGAGGACTTGATAGTGATTGTTCAAATATGCATGCCAGATCTCAGAGACCTGTTGGGAAAAGAGATGGTAATACAACAAGCAGGCCAGACCTCAGCCGTCGGACCAGGCAGGTGAGGAGAGTAGCGCATTTGGCCGGGCTTCTGGACAACCTGGAGGTTCTCTCTCTTACTGTGCCTGGAGGCAGAGGGAACCCTAGGAGCCCAAACAGGCCTGGCCAAGGTAAGTGTGACAAGTGATGGGCTGAAAAGGGCCTGTGGCAGCTCATCTTGGGGTAGCCCTAGTGGGGTCTAATAACAGTGGTTATCTTTTGTATAGCACACACAACACGAAACCTTCACATCCTCACAACATCCTGATGTAATATTCTTATTATTCCCATTTTACATGTAAATAAACCGAGGCTCAGAGAAGATCACACACGACTTCTGGTAAGAGCTGTTAAGTGGCATAGCCAGAATTTAAACCCTGGTCTATCTGATTCTAAAGCTTTTAAACTACAGCAAAATGCCTCTTTCTCAGAAGCAGGTCTAAAACATGAATCAACAATCAGCAGAAAGCCTGTATTACACATTTATTACACAAATGATTGCCTGCTAAGTGAGGTGTTACTATATGGATACAGCTGACATTTTAATATATTGGAAACAGTTTAAAATATTTTACATGTAAATATGGAAATTTCTCATGTTCTTGGATCCCTTGACAGGATCTTGTAGCAACAGACTTCCCTTGGAAATCTCCTTCTCTATCGCACACTTCAATAAGCCCACATTAGCTTGCTGCTATGGGTATGACACAGCATACAACAGTCTATCTGAAGGGGTTTGGCTCTTACTGACCTGTCCTTCATTATTCGTTAATCACCCTACGGATGTTAAGGGTTAGTCTATTTTGGTAGTGGAGACACTGGAAGAAAGAAAATGGAGTATATCATGTATCAGGCTATATAGTCTTGGGCAAGCCACTTCATCTCTCTGTGCCTCTCTTTCTCATGAATGGTATGTTTTTCATGAATAGTCTAATACAAGTTGTAAGACACCAAGCCTAAGAGTGAAGGCTCAGCTCCCACATTCCCCAGCTCACCTTGGTGTACAATGTGTCTGCCAGGTCCAACTTTTTAAGGTCATAGAATATATTAGCCAGGTGGAAGTAGCCTCCTGAAGTCCTAATGTCCTCTGTTCCAAATGCACAACTGGCAAAATAAATCTATAGCAGAAGGAAGAAGGAGAGTGCTTGAGTTCCTTTTGCAAATCATATATCTGATAAAGGACTTGTATCTAGAATACATACAAAAAACTGTTACAACATTCCAATTTAAAAATGGGCAAAAGATCTGAATTGACATTTCTCCAAAAAGATATTCAGATGAATAATAAGCACATGTATAGATACTAACATAGTAATTAGGTAAATGCAAAACAAAGCTATAATGAAATATCACTGCATCTAGGATGGCTAGAATCAAATACAGAAAATAAAAAGTGTTGGGAAGGATATGGAGAAAATGAAACCCTCACACATTGCCAATGGGAATGTAAAAGGGTGCAGCCTCTGTGGAAACAGTTTGGTAGTTCCTTAAAAAGTTAAACATAGAGTTACTACATGACCCAGAAATTCCTCTTCTAAGTACCTACCCACAAAGACTTGTACGTAAATGTTTATATCAGCATTATTTAAAATACACAAAACATAGAAACAACCAAAATGTCCATCAACTGATAAATGGATAGACAAATTGTAGTATATCCAGGCAATGGAATGCTAATCAGCAATAAGAGGAATGAACTGTTGATACATGCAACAACATGGATGAATCTCAAAATAATCACCCTAGGTGAAAGAGGTCAGATGCAAAGGACCACACATGATGCTGTCTGTATGAACTGTCCTGAGAAGGCAAATTTGTAGAAACAGGAAGTGGTTGCTGGGGCTGGAACAGGAATGGGAAATGACTGCGCATGGATACAAGGGATCTCTTTGGGGTAATGGAAATGTTCTGAAACTTGATTGTGCTAATGGTTGCGCTACTCTGTAAATTTGCTAAAAATAATTTAATTGTACACGTAAAATGGGTGAATTTTATGGTATATATCAATAAAGCTCTGTGTGTGTGTGTGTGTGTGTGTGTGTGTGTGTGTGTGTTTAAAAAGCTAGGCTAAGGAATCTGAGCTTGTGCTAATTTTTTTTTTTTTTAAAGACAGAGTCTCCCTCTGTCGCCCAGGCTGGAGTGCAGTGGTGCGATCTTGGCTCACTGCAACCTCGCCTCCCGGGTTCAAGTGATTCTTTTGCCTCAGCCTTCCGAGCGGCTGGCATGACAGGCACACACCACCACACCTGGCTAATTTTCATATTTTTTTTTTTGGAGACTGAGTCTCACTCTGTCGCCCAGGCTGGAGTGCAGTGGCGCAATCCTGGCTCACTGCAACCTCTGCCTCCCAGGTTCAAGCAATTCTCCTGCCTCAGCCTCCCAAGTAGCTGGAATTACAGGCACATGCCACCACACCCAGCTAATTTTGTATATTTAGACGGGGTTTCACCATGTTAGTCAGGCTGATCTAGAACTCCTGACCTCTGGTGATCCGCCCATCTCGGCCTCCCAGAGTGCTGGGATTACAGGCGTGAGCCACTGCGCCCAGCTAATTTTTGTATTTTTCATAGAGACGGGGTTTCACCATATTGGTCAGGCTGGTCTCGAACTCCTGACCTCATGATCTGCCTGCCTCAGCCTCCCAAAGTGCTGGGATTACAGGCGTGAGCCACCACACCTGGCCTACTAATTCTTAACTGTGTGGCCCAGCTCAGGACAGAATGTGCCTCTGCTTAATTTGTTGGAGGATGTAGAGTATAGAGAGGAAACACAAAGAATTGTATTAGTCAGGAGCCCAGGTGGAACTAGATGGCACCCTCAATAAGATTGCCTGAAGATAGTTTAGTGGAATTATTACTTGACATGTAGAAGGGTTAAGAAACCAACAAGGGCTAGGGAAAAGCCCTACGAGTAAAACCAACAAAGCCTAGTGAAACACCAGGGACTACCAACAGCAAGAAACTATTACCATCCCTACACCTGAAACAGCAAGGGGAGGAAACAAGGTTACCAGGGCCCAGCAAGAGCTAGCACTATGGAAGAAGGCTGCCTGACAGGAGCTGTGGCCACAGAGGAACACTGTTCCTGACAGATCAGGGGTGGGGCAGAGAGGCAGCAGAGAGAATCAGTACCCCAGCCTTTTTCTCCTCCTACTCTCCACTCCCCTACTATGCCTTCCACTCTCCAAACCCAACCAAGGCCAGAGAGCAATGGAGTCCATAGAGGTTGTGTAGTCCATAGAGGTCAGGCTCCCAGGGCATAGAGTAGGGCAGAGAATGGATATGGGTTAGTGGAATTTAAAGAATAACCAGCGTAAAATTTAATTTACGGGCATTGTACAGGCGGGCAACCAGAGGAAGGGCTGCTTGGTGCAGAGGCCAGAAGAGAGGCTGAAGAGAGAACCAACCTGCATGGAGACTGCAGTCTGACTCTACGCTAACTCAGATTTCACGCCCAGGAACTCTTTTCTCTGGTAATATTTTCCAGTACTGAAATCCTAATAGAAACCCCTTAAATTTTGAAAGAACAATTCAGTTATCATCCTCAACATCCCATCTAACTTTGTACAGAGTTTTATCATCGATAAGTGCTTTCTTATACATCTAGCTCTTTTAAATTTAATAACCAACACTCTGAAGTAGAGATATTACTGTTATTTTTTAAAATAATAGCCAAGGTACTATACATTTATTGTCCTATTATTAATCTTCGCAATGACCCAGTGAGACAGAGACTATTTTATTATTCCTGTCTTGCAGGTGATGAAAGAGGTTAAACAAATTTTCCAAGACGATGTGGCTAGTGAAACAGATCTGTGACTAGAAGCAAAGCCCTTCTCTCTCTCTCTTTTTTTTTTTTTGAGACGAAGTCTTGCTCTGTCGCCAGGCTGGAGTGCAGTGGCGCGATCTCGGCTCACTGCAACCTCCACCTCCCGGGTTCAGGTGATTCCCCTGCCTCAGCCTTCCGAGTATCTCGGACTACAGGCATGCACCACCACGCCTGGCTAATTTTTTGTATTTTAGTAGGGACGGGGTTTCACCATGTTGGCCAGGACGGTCTCAATCTCCTGACCTCGTGATCCACCCACCTTGGCCTCCCAAAGTGCTGGGATTACAGGCATGAGCCACCATGCCCGGCCAGCAAAGCCCTTCTCTTAACGAGTATGCTGTTTTGCCTCCCTTTACTCTTCAGGGCAACTGAAACTTCAGGAATATGTGACCTGGCCAAGGTTGAATAGCTATGAAGTAGAAATGCTTGAACTCGGGTCGGTAGAATTGTGTTATGGCTAACATCCCACCAAATAATCAGTTGTAAACAGAAAGTTTTAGAGAAATGCACAGTTTTAAAAAAATTAAACAGATTTTGGAAATATACAGGTGTTATAATTTAGATTTTGGAAATATACAGGTGTTATAACTTAGCTTGTTTACATCATTGGCCAGATGATAACGGGCCTCTTCATAGTTTTTCTTAGCTATATAGAGAAGTCCCAGATTCCGATGCAGTAAAGAGTGGGTGGCATTACTACAGTCAGTTGATTTGAGGACTGTCCACTGGGCTTGGAATAGATATTCTTCAGCCTGAACGATTCGGCCCAGACCTGCCCAAAAGCAGAAAAGAAGGTTATAATTCATATCCAGGCCAAAGAACACATGAGGAAATATGAGTCATTACCCATTCACTCATGTATTCATTGACTCAAGTATTTATTGACACAGAAAAACTCATACAGGAATGTTCACAGCAGCCTATTTGGAAGAGTAAAAAAAAAAAAAACAGAAACAATGTAAATGTCCATCAGCTGATGAGTGGATGAACAAAAGGAGGCATCTCCATCTCCATCTCCATCTCCATCTCCATGAGTGGAATATTACTCAGTCATAAGAAGGAATGAAGTAGTGCTACCTGCTATAATGTGGATGAACTTTGAAAACACTATACTAAGTGAAAGAAACCAGACACCAAAGGCCACATATTGTATGATTCCATTTATATGAAATGTCCAGAATAGGCAAATCCATAGAGACGGAAAGTAGACTAGTGGTGGCCAGGCGACAGGGGGAGTCCAATGCAAGGGAGGCACTAACAGGGGGTCCAATGCAAGGGAGGCACTAAGAGGGAGTAACTGCTGACAATTACAGGCTTTCTTTTAGGGGTGATGAAAATGTTGTGGAAATAGATCATGGTGATTGTTGCACAACCTTCAGAATGTGCTAAAACCAACCACTGGATTGTCCTTTTTTTGTTGTTGTTGTTGTTTTTTTGAGGGAGTCTCACTTTGTTGCCCAGACTGGAGTGTAGTGGCGCGATCTCGGCTCACTACAACCTCTGCCTTCAGGTTCAAGTGATTCTCATGCCTCAGCCTTCCAAGTAGCTGGGACTGCAAGCATGCACCACCACGCCCCACTAATTTTGTATTTTTAGTAGAGACAGGGTTTCACCATGTTTGCCAGGCTGGTCTCAAACCCCTGACATCAGGTGATCCACCCACCTCGACCTCCCAAAGTGCTGGGAATACAGGCGTGAGACACTGTGTCTGGCCTTAATTGTTCTTTAAAAGGGTAAATTTTATGATATGTGAATTATATCTCAATTGTGAAATATATATATGCATATTTAATACCCTTTCTGTGCCAGGCCTTGTGTTGGGTGATGGGGAATCAAAGTGCAACATGAAAACAAATATATTTACAATATAGTATAATTGCAATAGCAACACAAGCTTTGGAAGTGTCAGAGGATAGGAAATGTTTAATTCTATAGATGAGATGGAGAGGGACACTGAAGCAGAGTCTGAGCTGGGTTTTGAGGATGAATAGAAGTTTTCCAGGTAGATAAGGCAGGGAGAGCATCCCAGGCAGAAGTAACAGCATGTGCAATGTCATAGAAATATGAAATAATATGTTATGTTCATAGAACTATATAGAGTCACAGCTGCAGGGAACTGGTTCCAGAACCCCCATCAGATACCTAAATATAAGGATGCTCAAGGCTCTAATATAAAGTAGTGTAGTATTTGCATATAACCTATGCACATCATTCCCTATGCTTTAAATCATCTCTAAATTACTTATAATACCTAATACAAAGTAAATGCTATGTAAATAGTTGTTCTACTATATCATTTTTGTCTTTTTTGTTTACATTTTTTCTTTTTTTGTTTATAAGCCCACAAGTAACATCATGTATTGTTTTGTTTTGTTTTGTTTTTTTGAGACGGAGTCTTGCTCTGTCGCCCAGGCTGGAGTGCAGTGGCGGGATCTCGGCTCACTGCAAGCTCCGCCTCCCAGGTTCACGCCATTCTCCTGCCTCAGCCTCCCAAGTAGCTGGGACTACAGGCGCCCGCCACTACGCCCGGCTAATTTTTTGTATTTTTAGTAGAGACGGGGTTTCACCGTTTTAGCCGGGATGGTCTCGATCTCCTGACCTTGTGATCCGCCCGCCTCGGCCTCCCAAAGTGCTGGGATTACAGGCGTGAGCCACCGCACCCGGCCGTATTGTTTTTATTTGTATCATTTTTAATCATTGTATTATTTTTAAAAATATTTTTGACCCATGGTTGCTTGAATGGGCAGATGCAGAACCTACAAATATGGAGGGTGTAGGGACTGTATCGGCCTGTGATGCTGGAGCACAAATTGTGAAAGACAGAATGGCAGAAAATGAGGCTATGGTGGTAGGCAGGGGGCAGGTCATGGAGGGCTTAGTGAGTTATACCAAGGAACTTGATGCATGTGGATAAAAACTAGAGGATTTTCAAAAAGGGCGAGAGAATCAGATTTAAATTTAGAAAGATCCTCTGGAACCAATGTGGAGGAGGGACCAGAGGGGAGGAATAAAGGTAGAAGATTCACTGGAAGATGTCTGAAATAGTTCGGACAAGCACGCTTAAGAGCCTGAAACAAGACAGTGAACTAAAGAGGAGGAGATCAAAAAGAGACAGGAAGTAAAATGGACAACACACGGTTACTAAGTAATGTGGAAGGTAAGAGAAAGGAAAGCCACATTTATTGCTAATATTTAGATACTCTTGACACTTAAAGCTTTTTGTGTATTACATATCATCTTTATATATACAGAGGCCTGCCTACCTGCTTGACTCCTGGGGAAATTTGTCAGAACAGAATAGAAAGCCACTACGTCAGTGTGCTGCAGGGTAGGAGGCGTGCTCTGGGGGCGAAGCATTGGTGTGATAGGTGCTGCAGCAGAAATGGCATCAACAAAGGGTTAAGAGGTAAGGACACGAACCCCTCATAAGCCAACCCTCTGCTCCTCTGTGTCCTTCCTGTCAGACCTAGTTCATATGTAAGCATGCTTTTATTCTAGTTGTAACCCTACATCACTGAATTAAAGGAAAAGAGATGAAGAGGAAGCAGTCTACAAGAAGAAGGAAGTAACTTTGCCTGATGGAAGGTCAAAGTGCAAACTAAAATGGGAAACTACTAGATTAGGAGCACGAGGCCTAGTCCCTGATCCTGGCTCATGTGAACATGGCAAGTCACATCTTCCCTCCAGGCTTTGTCTATAAAATATGAGGTTTAGGCTGAAGTCCTCTCACATTTGAAGAAGCAAATGACTCTTAACTAAGATTGTTTAGATGGGAAAAAAATGGGACAGGGCATTGACAAATATTGGAAATTTAAAATTTTCAACATCCAGTTCTCACTCAAGGAGGCAATGCCAAAGAATGAAGACTCCAAGGCCCAGCTGAACCAGCATCTAAACAAGCATCAGTCCTAAAGGAAAAGGCATACTTGGGAGAATAAACTGTGAGGCTAGAGAGAGAGAGTACGGTGAGAAGAATGGGCTACTACTAGCCCATGAGATTACAGTCAGAACTAAGCTTGTGACCAGTGAGTGCGTAAGTTCAGGCCTGCCTCTTATGGACAGTGCCTACCTGGAGAGGCATAGGGTGAAGTGGAGGTGGTGGAGACATAAAGGAAGTGATACTATCCCTTAGGGTGATTTTACTAGTGTATGGAATTGGGAAAGGACAGCCACTTACAGACCAGTGGTACTTGTCTGAAGGGTGAGGCAACAGGCTTACACTGGGTTAACGGCAGATCTGGGAGATATTATGGGAGAAGATTTTGCAGGACTTGGTGATGAAAGTGAAGGAATGCAGCATACAGCAGTCACAGCTGAGTCAAAGGTTGTGGCTGTGAGGTGCCCAGGGGAAGAAAAGGGAATCTGTATTTATTGAAGACCTGTTATTTGCCCAACATTGTGCTAGTCCCTTTGCATCGGTGGTCTAAGTCTGCTAACAACCCTGTGAAATAATCATCAGATGAGGAATTTGAAGAGGAGGCAACTTCATTCATTCATTCAACCAAACATATATTCACCTAATTGATTGAGTCTCTATCACAATGCATGATGCTCAATGCACACTAAGACATGATCCCTGACTCCAAGAAGCTTAAAATCAAGTGAAGTAGGCATACAATAAATAGACAAAACATGAGTGCTGTGAAGGAAATGAACAGAACACAGTAACCAAAATCCTAGCTCACTGCAGCCTCCACCTGCTGGGCTCAAGCAATCCTCCCACCTCAGTCTCCCAAGTAGCTGGGACTACTATAAGTGCATGCCACCATGACCGCCTAATTTTTTTGTTTTAAGAGATGAGGTCTTGCTAGGTTGCCCAGGCTGATCTTGAATTCCTGGGCTCAAGAGATCCTCCCATTTCGACTTCCCGAAGTGCTGAAATTACAGGTGGGAGTCACCATGCCTGGCCAGTTTAAGCAGACACCTGAAGGATGATCAAAAGCCAGCCACGTATGAGAGAGAAAAGAGCATCCCAGGCAGAAGGAACCATATATGTGAGAGCTCTGAGTGAGGAAGAGCTTGGTGCCTACGATCACCCAGACAGTAAAGAAAGAGATGATATTTGAACTCAGGCTCTCCTGCTTCCAAATCACTCCAGTCTGAAGTAATCTCTAAGATGGGAAAGAAACATGTGCACAGGAAAGTGATTTCTTTAGACTTCCAGAAACGTTAGCAAGGTTTTAAACCAATGACTGTGAAGTTACAGTGAAATCTTCCATTTAGACAGTACTTTCCAGACTTCAAAGCACTTTCATGGTCATTACACTCGAACTCATTTCACCCTTAAAAGAATCCTGTGAAGACAACTCAGATTCAACACATACTTACACAGTGCTCACGAGGTTTCAGGTACTGTGAAATTATCTTTTTAGTACCTTCTCTGTGCTAAGTACTGGGCTGAGTGTGAAGACATCCGTGATAATTAAGAATAGACACAGATCCAGTTCTCCCCTGAGCTTACAGTCTACTGGAGCAGGGAGACAATTAAATAATCTCATCAATGAATACAATTATTAATGGACTAAGTGCTCAGAAGAAAGGAGTAGTTCTTTTTTTTTTTTTTTTTTTTGAGACGGAGTCTCGCTCTGTCACCCAGGCTGGAGTGCAGTAGTGGTGCGATCTCCTCTCACTGTAAGCTCCGCCCCCCGGGTTCATGCCATTCTCCTGCTCCAGCCTCCAGAGTAGTTGGGACTACAGGCACCCGCCACCACGCCCGGCTAATTTTTTTGTATTTTTAGTAGAGACAGGGTTTCACCGTGTTCGCCAGGATGGTCTCGATCTCCTGACCTCGTGATCCGCCCACCTCAGCCTGCCAAAGTGCTGGGATTACAGGTGTGAGCCACCGTGCCCGGCCAGAAAGGGTAGTTCTTTAAACAAGTATATTAAAAATGAGACCCAGCTGGGTGCGGTGGCTCACACCTGTAATCCCAGCACTTTGGAAGACTGAGGTGGGTGGATCATTTGAAGCCAGGAGTTCAAGACCAGCCTGGGCAACATACTGAAACCCTATCTCTACTAAAACTACAAAAAATAGCTGGGCGTGGTGGTGCGTGCCTGTAGTCCTAGCTACTCGGGAGGCTGAGGTGGGAGAATCACTTG
The DNA here is from genome assembly GCF_000001405.40 of Homo sapiens. NCBI lineage: Eukaryota > Metazoa > Chordata > Mammalia > Primates > Hominidae > Homo > Homo sapiens. Next base: position 42,445,353 of record NC_000001.11, read on the forward strand.
TCCCTGGGAGGCAGAGGTTGCAGTGAGCCAAGATCAGGCCATTGCACTCCAGCCTGTACAACAGATCGGGACTCCGTCTAAAAAAAAAAAAAAAAAAGGGGAGACCCAACCTGGTCTGGAGCCCTGGGAAAGCTTCTAGACAAGGCAGTAGTAACCCTTGAGCTGAAACCTGAAAGATGATAAGGAGTTAATTTGGTGAAGGGAAGAGGAGGAGAAGCAGAGAGAGTGGCTACAGAAAAGCCTTTCCAAACAAGGAAATCATCATGCTTCTGAGGAACTGAGAGAAGGCCGGTCGGTGTAACTGGAAGGGAGGGAGAAAATAATTCAAGAGAGACAAGGTGATAGAATTGAGGTGAGAGAATTTGTTAACGGCTAGATCAAGCAGAGCCTCATGGGTTGCTTTAGAAATTTGATCTTTATTTAGAGGAGTGATGGGTCACATTTTTGTATGCAAACCACATTGGAGGGAGGCCAGAGATGATGTGGGGAGACCAGTTAGTAGGCAGTGGTCTAGATGAGAGATGATGAGACTTGGGCTAGGGTGACTTTTCCAGAATCCCATAGCTAGCCAGTGTCAGAGGTAAACAGAACCTGGGCTGTATTTTCTTGTCCAGTGCTTTTCTCATTACTTTGGAGGAAAGACAGTCTGGAATGGGGTGTCAGACCTGGGCAGGGTGAGCAGGGCATTCCTGCAGGCAAACAGCCTGTTATGGGGAGTTGGAACCCACACAAGTGAGGAGGGATCCATGCAGCAGAGGCAGCCTGGAATGGGGAGTCAGGGCCCATGGAGCGGGAAGAGGTATCTATAAGGTGGAAAGGACGGAGTTAGAGAGCGGGGATTGATTCATACAGGGGAACTCATTAATATGTAAATAAACCAATGAAAGTGAAAGCTGTCAGCAAAGGGAGTTGCAATTAAGGAATGGAAGTAAATCAGATTGAACCCTATGGTGCTGTATTAGATCTGGATCAAACAGTATAGACTAGTGGTCATAGAGATATTGATGTAGATATATAGATACAGGCCAGACACGGTGGCTCATACCTGTAATCCCAGCACTTTGGGAAGCTGAAGCAGGTGGATCACTTGAGGACAGGAGTTCAAGATCACAAACATGGTGAAACCCCGTCTCTACTACAAATACAAAAATGAGCCAGGCGTGGTGGCACACACCTGTTGTCCCAGCTACTCGGGAGGCTGAGGCAGGAGAATTGCTTGAACCAGGGAGGTGGAGGCTGCAGTGAGCTCAGATTGCGCCACTGCACTCTAGCCTGGGTGACAGAGTGAGACTCGGTCTCAAAAAAAAAAAAAAGATATATAGATATAGAAATAAATACAGATGTAATGTGTGTATACGTACACCCATTATTATATTTACACTTACTCCCTAACTCCACTGAGAAGGCCTGGGAGCAGTAATACCCCAAAAGCATGAGTACATCTAGTGCACAGCTTTTGGCTTCTGATTTTCACTTTCCACTGAAAGAGATCAGGGCTCTTTAGAGGTATGTTCCAGAAAGCAGTCAAGTGAGCAAAGAACAAATGGGGTTGTATCTGGGAGATGCAGAAGCCAGCTTGAGTGGGGTTTGTCACTGGTCAAATCAGGGACAGTTTGAGGATCAAATTAACGATAGTAATGGATTTAAGCCCATTGAATAAAGATAAAATACTGATACAAATAACTAAATGAATACATTGAAAATTCGATGAGGAATGGGATATTTATATAGTTTCAAAGGACGTATCCATGAAATGAAAATTAAAGTTATTAATTACAGAAGGGTGAAAGAGTAACATTACAGGGAGGAAGACTGGCAGACGCCATCCTAATAAAGTAATTAAAATGAACATCATCAGTAATGAAAAAAATGAAAACATGCCAGTTTATAGGATGGGATGAGAACACAGCATCACCTCTGTACTGTTTTTGCCAAAAATCCATAACGTGAGTCCCATCATTAGGAAATATCAGACAAACTCAAATTGAGAAATGTTTTATACAATTGGCCTGTAACCTGTAAAAGTGTCAAGATCATAAAAGTCAAGAAAAGGTTGAGAAACTATTCCAGAGTTTTGTTGCCAACACATGGCAACAAAATGAAAAGTGTGACCCTGAACTGTATCCTTTTGCTATAAAGATGTTATTGGGAAAATTCGAGAAACTTGAATGGGGTCTTCTTAGATGACAGGGTCCCCTTGTGTGGTTCCCACAAAGACATTCTCCTTCATAACCACAATACAATATATCTCATTTACTAAGGGGACACTGAAGTATTCTAAGGATAGGGAATCAGGTGAACAACTTACTCTCAGAGAACTCAGGGGATAAAAGTTCTTTATATTGTACTTAATTTTAACAGTTTTACTTTTAAAAAAGTTTTACTTTTAAAAAAGTATTTTTTTAATGGTGGCTATTAAAACATATGAAGCATTTTTTTAAATGGTGGCCACCATGTAGGGTATCTGCTAAGTCTGCTCTATACTCTCAGAATTGCCTCTCCCATCTATAGGGGTGGGTTCCTGTATTTCTGAACTATGTGGCTCTGATCCCAGGGAATAAAGGTGGATTCCACACTCAAGCCATGTCAACAAAATTCTGTCTTCTACGAATTTGTATTTGGAAATCAGAAGCTAATTAGTTTCTACTGCCTACTTCAAACCTAGAAAACACGTAAACTGAAAAACTCCATCTGACATTTTGGGGTAGCTGTCTTCTACAGTGAGCATAGGGTAGACAAATCTGGTCTGCAGAGAGGGAAAATAGCAAAGCAGATAGATACCCAGAGAGAAGTAGATACAGGAGACAAGGCCCAAGAGAGAACGAAAGGCACTCCAATTCTAGTCCCTCATGAAGCCTCAGCTCCTGTAGGATACTACAGCACCCGCACAAAGTTCCTCCTTTTTGTGCAGGCCAGCTTGAGTGGATTTCTGCCAGTTGTAGACAAAAGTCTGTGACATCTCCTTCCCTACCTTGTGCTAAACTTTACAGCAACCCTGCTCCTTCTACAATAGGTCTCTTGGTGCCACTGTCAAGGGTGACTCTTTGATCATTGGTGTGACCCAAACATAACACCACTTAAGGGATCCAAGGATCTCAAGTCGGTTTCACTCACCAAGGCTGGCCTCGGCCAACAGCAGGTAAGCAGGCACAAGCTCTACGGAGCTCAGGCCATACAGCTTCACACGGAAGCGAAGGGACTGCAAAGCTGCTGGTACAGCATCTTCGTGTTTCCCTTCAAAGAGGTATTTCTGGGCTATGGTGTAGCAGAATTCAATCAAATACTTCTGTGGAAGAGAGAAACAGACTATCTGAGACAGTCTAAAGTTAAAGGCAAAGGTGGATGTAGATGGCCCTGGGGATAAGGCCAACACCTAATGACCCAGTTAAAGGCACATAGTGAGCCTGCCTGTATTAGAGTGGACGTGAAGCCCCACATAAGTGATATAAGAAAGCAAACTCTGGACTATGAGTTCCTTAAGGCCCAGGAACATGTGTATTTTCATCTTAGTTCAGCGCTTGGCATAGATGAATGCTCAATATAGAGTTATCAGATGAATAAATGAGTATTGTTTTTACAGTTCTAATAAAACTTTACTTTAGCAAAGCTAGCATGTCTCAGGACAATCTGAAACTTTCTGCCTTCCTAGTTGAGTTAATTTTGAGAGAAACATCTCATTTTCCCTTCCAGAATTATCCTGTTTAGCTAATATCACAAAAAACTTTAACTCTGCATTGTTCTAAGGCCACTATCAAAGTGTCATAACACTAAAATGGATGGATCTTATGTTTAGAGATTTATGGCTTATAATAAGGGGCTAATTTTTTAGAGTGATTGAGATGCTCAATACTCAATAATACTCAACACTATACATAATAATAGTGGCAGGTTTTGGTAACCTCCTTTATTTATTCAGTAGTATATCCATACATCATTCTTAACCCTCCTATTATGTGGCCAGACTCTTGGCATCTGTGGATGTTATGGGCTGAACTGTGTCCCCTGCCAAAATTCATGTGTTGAAGCCCTATCCTGCAGTCTGTCACATGACTATAATTGGAGCTAGGGCCTGTAGAGTGGTGATTAAGTTAGAATGAGGCCATTAGGGTGGGCCCTAACCTAATCTGACTTGTGTCTTTATAAAAAGAGGAAATTGGACACACAAAGAGATACCAGGCATGCTTGCACACAAAGGACCATGTGAAGACACTGTAGGAAGGCAGCCATCTGAAAGCCAGGAAGAGAGGCCTCAGAAGAAACCAAACCTGCTGACCCCTTGATCTTGGACTTCCCAGCCTCCAGAGCTGTGAGGAAATAAATGTATGCTGTTTGAGCCACCCAGTTTGTGATATTTGATTGTGACAGTGCTAGCAGACTAATACAGTAAGTATTTAGTAAATGTGGAAAACAACAGACTGGATGGTGTTGAGGACTTAAAAAGATATAAAACAAAGTCTCTGCCCTCCGTGAGGTTACAATTTAGTGATCCCAACACAGTTCGAGCCTTGTCTTGGGCAGCTTCACCGCACCTACGACTTAACCTTGGAAAGTGCCGTAGGCCCTACCTGCCGCTGCTGCAGCTGCTGCAGGCCATGCTGCCGTTCTTCCTCTGAATTGTAGAAGGGCATGGAAGTGCGCAGTGGAATCAAGAGCTGACATATTTTCTCATGGATGCTGTCCCAGTCAGCCTTCTGATGTACCACCCCACTGACAACGGAAACATAGACTTTATGATCTTTATATTTGGCATGACTTAAGATTCCATTAACCCTCCTACTGGCCTATCCCTAGACACCAGAAAAGTAAGCCAAATACAAACCAGGCAGGGAGCTCAAAGCCATTTCTGAGACTCAAATCTCTTTCCTTTCATGTGGTTATTTGATGATGTATAAACTGTGTTGGGATTGGAGAGTATGTTGTTTCTGCAGGCACACATTCACATTCTGAAGTCACACAGGGATGCTGGCATGCAATTGCTCATAGTGTTCTCTTATAATCTCTTTTATTTCTGCAAGGTTGGTAGTAATGTCCTCACTTTCATTTCTGATTTTAGTAATCTGAATCTTCTTTTCTAGGCCAGTCAACCTAGCTAAAGGTTTGTCAATTTTGTTGGTCTTTTCAAGGAGCCAACTTTTGGTCTCATCAGTTCTCTCTGTAGTTTCTTTATTCTCTGTTTTATCTCTGCTATAATCTTTAATTTTCCTTTCTTCTGCTAGCTTGTGTCTATACCCAACACAGGGCTGTGCATAAAGGAGTTTATAAATATGTTTTAGTTTGCTCTTCTTTTTCTAGTTTCTTAAGATGAAATGCTAGGTTACTGATTTGAGATCTTCTTTTCAATGTAATGTATATTAGTATAAATTCATATGAGTACTAAATTCATACAGTAACCTCTGAGTACTGCTTTGCCAGCATCTAAGTTTTAGTATGTTGTTTTTGTTTTCATTTATCTCAAAGCATTTTCTAATTTCCTTTGTAATTTCTTCTGTGACTCATTGGTTAAGAGTGTGTTATTTCTACATATTTGTAAATTTACCAAATTTCCTTGTTATTGACTACTAATTTCATTCCATGTAGGTGGAGAACATACTCTGTATGAAATCAATCTCTATAAATTTATTGAGATTTATTTTATGGTCTAATATATGTTCTATCCTGAATAATGTTCTATACGCACTAGAGAAGAATAGGCATTCTCATGTTATTGAATGGTGTTCTACAGATACCTGTTAGGTCTAGTTGGTTTATAGCGTGATTCAAGTCTTATATTTCCTTGCTGATCTGTCTAATTGTTCTATGCATTACTGAAAGTGGGATATTTGATCTTCTATCTAGTTGTTCTATTCATTACTGAGAGTGGGATACTGGATCTTTCATCTAGTTGTTCTGTTCATCACTGAAGGTAGGATATTGAAGTCTTCAACCATTATTATTAAATTGTCTATTTTTCTCCCCAGTTCTGTCTGTTTTTGCTGCATGTATTTTGAGGCTCTGTTGTTAGATGCATAGTCATGGGTTTTTGCATTTCTATTGCTTATTACACATTTTCACTTAAATGTAAGTTAACTGTTTGATTCCATTTATACATATTTCAAAACAGGTAACAATAATCTAGAGGAGGGATCAGAAAAGCTTTTCTGTAAAGGGTCAGATAAATATTTTAGGCTTGAGAGCTATAGGATCTCTGTTGCAACTACTCAACTCTGCTGTTGTAGCACAAAAGCAGCCACAGACAATATATAGCCATGTTCAAGCACCTTCTTGGACAATATTGCCACCTTCTTGGACAATAGAAATGCAATTAAAGTATATTCTTTACAAGTTGTGACTGCTACCAAAGAAATGACAGAAACCATTTAAAATGTTTTTGGGGAGGTAGAGAATTATTATAAACAGATCAATAAAAGCACTTAGCCAGGATATAGCTGAGTTCCACAGGGAATTTATCAAGTGGGGCTTGTAAGCAATGGAAATGTTAACTTAGATGCCTGAACTTTTGTTCCACTGAGAGCCACTAACATATCTTGCCTTTCTAAATAAAGTGAGCTTTATTTATATATTTGCGGGCTCCCTGCTTATTGATCTGTCCCACCTGTAACACCTAACACAGGGTCAGGGATAAAGTAGGAATGGATAAATGCTTTCAATCAGGGCTCACAATTAAGTAGCTTGTGAGCCACATGTTTTGTTTGGCTATTATCATGTTTTTTTTTAAGCTGAATTTGAATATCTTTAGGTAGGGCATTCATTCTACAATTCACCACTGATCCTATAGCTTCCTATTATTGAATACCACTTCACTGTTTGTTTTCTTAGTGATCTGCAATATTTTTTGCAATAATTTTTCCTTTTGTTTGACATATGAAGCGCAAATTTAAATGCCGTCACTGGCCAGGAGAAGAAAACGAATGGTGAAGTGGTATTCAAGAACAGGAAGCAATAGTATTTGTAGTGAATTACAGAATGTACGCCCTGACTAAAGACATTTAAATTCATGCAAACCTATGGTACTGAAGTCTCTTTTACTTGTCACCAATGTTTTAGTATGTACTTCCATAAAATTACCTTTTCTTAAAAATGTTCTACTGTCCTGTAATCCCAGCACTTTGGGAGGCCGAGGAGGGCGGATCACAAGGTCAGGAATTCGAGACCAGCCTGACCAATATGGTGAAACACCGTCTCTACTAAAAATACAAAAAAATTAGCCAGGCGTGGTGGCGCATCCCTGTAATCCCAGCTACTTGGGAGGCTGAGGCAAGAGAATTGCTTGAACCCGGGAGACAGAGGTTGCAGTGAGCCAAGATGGTGCCACTGCGCTCCAGCCTGGGTGACAGAGCAAGACTCCGTCTCAAAAAAATAATAAAAAAATAAAAGTTCTACTGTGTCTCTAAAGTAAATAAAAATGTGCTATTCTCTGAGAATGGTCATAATCCACTATAGAGCAATATGCACAAGATTACACACAATATATAAAATAAATGTATTCAGAGAAAAGAAGGAAATTCACCAAAATTTCAGGTTATTAATCCCTGGGTTGTGGGACTATGGCTTATTTTTCTTCTTGATTTTTTATATTTTCAGGTTTTCTGCAGTGAGCATGAATTGCAATTATAATCAGGAAAAAAATTCTTTTGCAGAAAAAAACTTTCACAAATTCAGACTGACTTTCTTGTTCCTTAAACTTGGGATGATGAAAAGGAACATTTACTGTGTGCCAACATGGTTCCAGGAAGGGTACTAGATGCTTTACATTCGACCATCAAAACCTATAGAACAACAACCTCAGTTTTGTTTTATCAAAAAATCTTGAAATCTGCAAGACCCAAAGACATAGAAATCTGGAGAAAAGGAAGCAAAAAAACAAAAGGAGAAGGTCTTAAAGAGAATTAAAAGCAAGTAAAAGAAAAAAAATCGAAGATAAGGGCATAGAAGATGATAATTTATACATGCATTTATCAGATATTAGTGCCAACTATGTCTTTTTTTTCACATTTTTATTTTTTGGCCCAAGGGATAAAAGCACAAGTGCCAACTATTTCAAGACACTTTGCTAGAGACTATGGGGCATACAATGACAGGTCGGACATAGATCAAAAGTTAGCATACTTGACAGTCCCTCTGTACACATTTGACATAGTATCTAGCATTAATGGAGCATAACAGAATTGAAATAACACACTCACCAACAATTAAAATGAAGAGAAATATGAGTCATCTGAGAGATACAGAGTACTGTAAAGTTAGTTCAGAGGAAGAAGGAATTACTTCCGGCTGGAGGGATACAGAGGACAGGGGTGTTTTAAGGAAAAAGTCAGTGCTCACACCAAGCAAAAGGATTGAATCTTTCCCAAGCCTGAGTGGCAGGTTTTACCCACGGCGGTTTACTGGCCATCTCTCTGGGGGTGACCCAAAGGCCTCTTAAACTCTATGCCTACAACCAAATCTGATGCCCGTCATCTTTTCCCCGTGTTCCTTGCCCAAGTTAATGGGTTTATTATCCATTTAGTTTTATTCAACAGATGTTCATTGAGTGTCTGGTATGTGTGGCCACTGGGTCTAGTAAAAGACATAGACATCAGACAAGCAAACACAATAATATAAAAGTACAGAAAAAGCAAAGAAAAATGGTACTGTGAGAGAGAAAAGTATGACGGGGAGTTGAGACTGGGTTTAGACCTCTTTGAAGAAATGACATTTAAACTGAGAACTGAAGGATGAAAGGGAGCCAGGAAGGCTTGTAGTTGAAGGGGAGGTTCCTAGCAGAGAGAACAGACTGGGAAAAGAAACTGAGGGAAGAAAGGGCTTAGCAAATTAGAACTTCAGTTCTCTATAACTACAGCAAAGAAAAAATGGGGTGAGTGTGGTGGGAAGTGAAGGTAGAGAAATAACCAGGGCCTTGTATTTTCTGTTACAAATTCTTAATTATATTCTAAAGGCAAGGAAGCCACCAAAGAGGAGATAGCAATGAAAACACAGATACCATCCCTGCCCTTGTGGGGCATACAGCCTAATGAAAGAAATAAATAAATGATTTCAGTCCATGTCCTAAGTGTTAGGATAGGGGACATACTCAGTGCTTTGAGAGCACTGAGGAAGGACACCTAGGCCAGTATGAGAAGGTACTGCAACAGCTTCTTGATCTGTTATGCAGCCGTCAGTGTCTACCTTCCTCTGTATCTGCCACACTGCAGCCCATCCTCTTTCCTTAACACAAATGAGAGCATGTCAGCTCAAAACCATTCATGGTTTCCCAGGAGATAAATTCCAAACCCTTGATCTCATGTCACTGTCTAGCCCTAACCTTTATCTTCTTGGTTTAAACTTCTACTACCTATCACAATGATGTTCCAACTTTTTTTTTTTTTTTTGAGACACAGTTTCACTCTTGTTGCCCAAGCTGGAGTGCAATGGAGCGATCTCGGCTCACTGCAACCTCCGCCTCCCGGGTTCAAACGATTCTCCTGCTTCAGCCTCCCGAGTAGCTAGGATTACAGGTGCACGCCACCACATCCGGCTAATTTTGACTCAACCTATAGTAAGAAATACATTTTTCCTGTACACACACACATGTCCACATAAAACACTAAGACAAAAGTTTTAAGAAACAATTCAGGTAGGATTAACCTGATACTTTCTACTCATTCTGTGCTCTTTTTTGTTGTTGTTGTTTTCTCTAAATGGTGATTGTGACTTATTCATAAACTGCTAAAGGGCCCTGGCCTGCAGTTTGAAAATCACTGACTGCTCCCTCCACTACTACGTTCTCCACTCGGCCCTTAGCAAACTCTGTTCTTTTGCCATTTGCCCTAGCAGTCCCGGATGCCGGGAATGCCCTACCCTTCTTCACTACTCCTGTACACAGCAGGTTCTGACTGCCCTCTCAAAATGCAGCTCAAATGTTTCTTCCACAGGGAAAGCTTTCCACATACTGCCCCATTCACTATCGTCTCACTCTCGTTGCCCAAGCTGGAGTGCAGTGGCGCGATCTCCGCTCACTGCGAGCTCCGCCTCCCGGGTTCAAGCGATTCTTCTGCTTCAGCCTCCCGAGTAGCTGGGATTACAGGCGCCCAGCACCACTCCCGCCTAATTTTTGTATTTTTTAGTAGAGACAGGGTTTCACCATGTTGGCCAGGCTGGTCTCGAACTCCTGACCTCAGGCGATCCGCCCGCCTCGGCCTCCCGAAGTGCTGGGATTACAGGCGTGAGCCACCGCGCCCGGCCTGTTTCTTTACTGATTTGTCTCCCACATTGGAATGTTAGATCTTTGAAGGAACTGATCTACCGAGCTGCCCCAGTAACTTTAGCACCTAAAATAGTGCATAACACAGAGTACGCCTTCAGAAAACATGAGTGACGAATAAGTGGGAGATGAGACAGACGAGGCCACGGGAGTCTTAGGGGCCTGTCTTAAAGCCGTTTTGAGGTGTCCCTTGCAGAGTCAGGGGCAACGGCTAACGCAAGGTACCCAAGCCAGACCCGGGAAAGGGAGAGAGGGAGGGAGTTATAGCGCCCAGGTGCCACGTTTCAGGGCCTACCAGTAATAAGTGACTGTGCAGGCCGCGCACACCCGCTCGGCTGGGGCTTCGCACACCTCACAGCAGAGTCTGCGCCCCTTGGGGACTGCCAGTGGGTAGATCACATTCATGGTGCAGCCAGCAGTGCTGGTCTCTAAGACGGTTGCCCAGCAAGGATACGCTGAACCCCGGCGTCACGTGACGATCGCGGGGCTGCGTACTTGCCAGCATTTCAAGGGCAGAGGGCGGCGGGACGTGACTCGACTAACATCTGGGTGTATTGCTGAAGTTGGAAAAGGGGAAGAAAGAAAGAAAAAGCAGCACAAAACCCACAAGTCCCACGGGTCAAATGGCCGAGAAACGACTCCCAAGGAGTCCAAGTCCAGAAAGGCCCGTACAGTGGCCGGTAAGGGTCAAACATGGCCAGTTCTTCACCCAGGCTAGGAAACGAACGTGAGGGAACGTGACCCTACCAGATGCCCACCCAGCCGGGGATCCCCCTCGTTGCAGTGTCACTTTCGCTGGGCTCTGGGGCAGAACAACTACGCATTTCCAGACTTGGCGAGATCGGGACCTAGTGTCAAAAGAAGGGTAGTGAACCGCCCACTCAGTACGGCGCGGCGCGTACACCAGGTAGGCGAGAAGGGGCGTGGCGCGGCGGCCGCGAAACGTGCGCAGGCGCCGGCCGCTGCGCTGCAGATGGCGGAAATGGATCCGGTAGCCGAGTTCCCCCAGCCTCCCGGTGCTGCGCGCTGGGCTGAGGTTATGGCTCGCTTCGCGGCCAGGCTGGGCGCGCAGGGCCGGCGGGTGGTGTTGGTTACGTCAGGCGGCACCAAGGTCCCACTGGAAGCGCGGCCGGTGCGCTTCCTGGACAACTTCAGCAGCGGGCGGCGCGGTGCAACCTCGGCCGAGGCCTTCCTAGCCGCCGGCTACGGGGTCCTGTTCTTGTATCGCGCTCGCTCTGCCTTCCCCTATGCCCACCGCTTCCCACCCCAGACTTGGCTGTCCGCTCTGCGGCCTTCGGGCCCAGCCCTTTCGGGCTTGCTGAGCCTGGAGGCCGAGGAGAATGCACTTCCGGGTTTTGCTGAGGCTCTGAGGAGCTACCAGGAGGCTGCGGCTGCAGGCACCTTCCTGGCAGTAGAGTTCACCACTTTGGCGGACTATTTGCATCTGTTGCAGGCTGCGGCCCAGGCACTCAATCCGCTAGGTGCGTGCCCTAGGAGTACCCCTTTTGCCTGGAAGCACAGCCTTTCTTTCCAGCCACTTATCCCCTTACCTCCTGCTTACCCACGGATCTCAGCTGGGGAACCCGAGTTGAGAAGGAGCTGATCCTATATCGTACCTCGCCGATTTGTTAACACCTTGTGTTTCTCTTTGCAGGCCCTTCTGCGATGTTTTACCTGGCTGCGGCTGTGTCAGATTTCTATGTTCCTGTCTCTGAAATGCCTGAACACAAGATCCAGTCATCTGGGGGCCCACTGCAGGTGATGGGCGCTTCTCTTCCAGAGATCTAATCCCATATAACCAATCTTGGGTTAATTTCCTCTTGATCTGGAGATGGCCTTTCTGCATCTGTATTCGCTAGGCACAGGGGATACAGAGATGAATAAGACACCGCCCTCCCTCATGGACCTCACAATCTAGTGAGGGAGCTGGACACAGACATAATTACAATACAGAGTGATAAATGCTCTAGTGGAGGTATGTACAAAGTGCAGTCAGATCATGGGGCGAGTGAATCCTGGGGGAGTCGATGAAGCTTCTTGGAGGAGATGAATTGAACTGGGTTTTAAAAGATGAGCAGAACCGAGCGCGGTGGCTCACGCCTGTAATCCCAGCACTTTGGGAGGCCAAGGAGGGCAGATCGCCTGAGGTCAGGAGTTCGAGACCAGCCTGGCCAACATGGTGAAACCCCGTCTCTACTAAAAAAATACAAAAATTAGCCGGGCGTGGTGGCAGGCGCCTGTAATCCCAGCTACTCGGGAGGCTGAGGCAGAAGAATCGCTTGAAACCAGGAGGCGGAGGTTGCAGTGAGCTGAGATCTCGCCATTGCACTCCAGCCCGGGCGACGAGAGCGATACTCCGTCGCAAAAAAAAAAAAAAACACCAAAAATCAAAACAAAATGAGCAGAGGGTGTACGAAGTGGGAAAGGTCATTCCAGGTGGAGTATGGCAGTAGGAATTTGAAAGTGGGCAGTGGGCTGTGAACCGAAGTGCTTTGGTAAGGCTGGAGAGCTGACTGAAGAGATGGCTTGCTTTGTAGAAGACTTTATTTTCCTTTTTTAAGGAGCTTGGACTTTTTCTTGTGGAGCTAAGGGACACATAAGTAGGAGAATGAGATAAAGTTTTTGTTTGAGAACAACATTCTGGCATCAGTATGAAAGACGAAGTAGAGAAGGAGAAAGTGGAGTGGGTAGATTAGTTGGGGGCTATTGTAGGTTAAGGAAGAAATATGGATAAGGTAGGTGTGGTTGTGATTTTAGATTTTTGGAACCTTCAGGAGTTCTTAGTCATTTATTGGGTGATACAGGTAGGATTTTATTAGGAGAAACTCTTATCTGTGGGGCATTTGCCGACTTTGTAGAATAGTTTATTGAGGTCCTACACTGCTGTAGGACTTAGAGATGAAAGCAGTGAAAAGAAACATACCCTGCCTTTGTGTTGCTTCCTCTGCAGAGGAGACAATAAATAAGTCAAATACATAACTCGTTTAGTAGTGATAAATGCTAAGGAGAAAAATAAAGTATAAATAAACTGGTATATGATCCCTATCACACTAACAGCTTTTTTTTAGGGCAAAGTCTGATGATTAGCTTAGTGATTTCACGCTTTTTAATCTCTGGGATCTTTAGTTTATCCCACAGTTTTTAGTTCTATCTTGAAAGTAACAAAGCAACTGAACATTACCCTGAGAAGGGATTGGGGATGAGGTACTAGGAGTTTTGGTCAAGTGAAAATAAAATCAGTTTCCTCACTGCTAAGTTGTGTTACATGTGACAATTTAAAAATGGAATCTAATAGCCATTCTACCAATGCAAGAAATATTTTAGGCTGAGAGGTTTAAAAACCCAACTTTATTTAGGCTTCTGCCAAATATTTGTATGAACAGATTATTTGTATCTGTTTATTTGAGGGTTTGGTTCAAAAATAAAGGGACATGCTTGAGAAAATATTAATGGTGGTAAGGTTGGCAGAGCATGGCAGGGCTTATTCAGAAGGCATGGTTTGCCCCAGAATATGTATGGAGCCTTGAATTTAGGCATCGCTGTGAACTCTACAGAGCCAAGGCTTTTTTTTTTTTTTTTTTTTTTTGTGAGACAAGGTGTCGCTCTGTTGCCCAGGCTGAAGTGCAGTGGCATGAACACAGCTCACTGCAGCCTCAACCTTCCAGGCTCAAGTGATCTTCCCATCTCAGCCTCCTGAGTAGCTGGGACTACAGGTGGGTGCCACCATGCTTGGCTAATTTTTGTATTTTTTTGTAGAGACATGGTTTTGCCATGTTGCCCAGGCTGGTCTTGAACTGGGCTCAAGCGATCCACCCATCCTGGCCTTCCAAAGTGCTGGGATTACAGGCCAAGCCACTGTGTTCCCCTAAGACTTTTTAAACTAAACATTTAACTGAAAAGTTTGATGGTTGAGAAATCCCACTTAAATTTAATTCCTTAGTTTCCCATGAGATTGACCTGGTAGGTAATGACCATTGTTTGCTTATTAAGCTTTTCTTTTTCCAATACAGATAACAATGAAGATGGTGCCAAAACTGCTTTCTCCTTTGGTTAAAGATTGGGCTCCCAAAGCATTTATAATTTCCTTTAAGTTGGAGACTGACCCCGCCATTGTAATTAATCGAGCTCGGAAGGCTTTGGAAATTTATCAGCATCAAGTGGTGGTGGCTAATATCCTTGAGTCACGACAGTCCTTTGTGTTTATTGTAACCAAAGACTCGGAAACCAAGTTATTGCTATCAGAGGAAGAAATAGAAAAAGGCGTAGAGATAGAAGAGAAGATAGTGGATAATCTTCAGTCTCGACACACAGCTTTTATAGGTGACAGAAACTGAAGTAAAAAGCCCTTATAGGATCAAAAATTGTTCAGGGCTCTTAGAGATGGTGAAAACTACAAAAAAAACCATGGCTTTCATATGGACAGATAAAATGAAAGAAAGGGAAAAGGCAGTGGTGTGTAGGCAAATATGGTTTGGCATTTGTCTTTTAATGACACCTGATATGATGTCATTTTGATTTTGAAATTGAACACTAGAACTGTTAATCACCTTTAAAAAGAAGAGCTTATTGGGAATTATATATTCCTTAAAATATACATGGGGGCCTGAATGTCAGCCATCTTTATACTATAGAAAAAGGATTATGGATGCATGAATGGTCATGCTTTGGAGATCAAATATTGGTTGAATGCCTATGTATGTCAGGCCCTGTGCTGAGCCATGAGGATTAAAAAGATGAATAAACATATCTTGTTTAGGAAATGGATGTATAAAAAAATCAAGTGCAATAAAGTGTGTGTCCAAAAGCTGACACAATGGAAAGGATGTTTTGTTTTGTTTGAAATTTATCAAATATAGTAGTAGGAAAGAAGGATACCTCCCTGAAGATAGATTGTAGAATGGTGAGCTTTTCACTGCATTTACTTTTTGCTTCTTATTGTAGATTCACCTCATGTTTGGGTAATAGTTTACATTTCAAGTATTTTAGGACTGCTTTTCAGTTTAACTTAATATGTCCTTCCACCTGGGACCAGGCAGGGGCCACTTGGTGATCTCTGTCCTGAGGGATGCATTACAGTGTGGTAGAGTATGGGCTAGAAGTCAACTTAGCCAGCTGTGCCACCTATTAGCTTTATAAACTTAGGCATTTGACTTAATCTCAGTGTCCACATGCATAAAATGAGGATAATCTCTCTGCAAAGTAATGCCATTTATTGTGAGGATCAAATGAAATAGCAAAAAGAAAGCATCAGTCTGGTGCCTAGCATTTGATTCACACTCACTAAATGGTTGCAATTATTGTTTTTCTCACTTAGCAAAGCAGTGTTACACCACTGCCCTGCTTAATCTTTGAATCCTTGAGAATCTTTGAAAAACTTTCAATACTTCTCTTGCTGTCCTACGTTTTGGGTTTGGAGTGCACAAGTAGCATAGTGCAAAAAAATTCCCTAAATGATCTGTAGGATAGTCCAGGTGCAATTTGAAAAATTAGCATTGATGACTAAGGTAGAAGCAGGTACTGTGTTTCACATAAATATTTGACTTAAAATACAATTCATGGTGTTTCATGGAGTAGGGAAGGGTAGCCCCTGTGTCTGTCTGATAATAGAAGTACAATAAATTTAATTGAGAAGATTTGACAGAAATTCTAAGACTGAAATACTTCATTAATCAGGAAATGTGACCTTGAACAGAGGAAAAATACTGCAGCAGTCAAGACTGTTCTGGAAGCAGCAGTCCCTTTGAACAAAAAAATTTTCTTAGAGACAAGGTCATGCTTAGTCACCCAGGTTGGAGTGCAGTGGTCCAATCATGGTTCACTGTAATCTTGAACTCCTGGACTCAAGCACTCCTACTGCCACAGCCTTCTGAGCAGCTGAGACTACAGGTGTGTGCCACCATGCCTGGCTAAATATTTTATTTTTCATAGAGACAAGGTCTTACTATGTTACCCAGGCTCTTTTTTTTTTTTTTTGAGCGGAGTCTTGCTCTGTCGTCCTGGGTGGAGTGCAGTGGCACAATCTCGGCTCACTGCAAGCTCTGCCTCCCGGGTTCACACCATTCTCCTTCCTCAGCCTCCCTAGTAGCTGGGACTACAGGCGCCCGCCACCACGCCCAGCTAATTTTTGCATTTTTAGTAGAGATGGGGTTTCACCTTGTTAGCCAGGATGTTCTCCATCTCCTGACCTCGTGATCTGCCCGCCCCGGCCTTCCAAAGTGCTGGCATTACAAGCGTGAGCCACCGCGCCCAGCCACCCAGGCTCCTTTGACAATGATTTTAAGTGAACTTCAGGTCCAATTTGCAAAACCCCAAAAGCAGTGGGCTCTGTCAGTGGCTGCAGTACTGAAGGGCAAGAAGTAGAATATGTTCTTCTCTGCATTCATAGCTTTATGTGGATGATGACTGTCATCTTTGAATGTACAATGGGGATATATGGGGTTAAAAGTAGAAGTGATCTTAATGTTTGTCTTTACCATAATTATTACCTCCCTTGGGAATTTTATATCCTGTCTTGTTAACGCTTAAAAACAATCAGTGTTCTACATGAAATTATTTAGTGTTTTCCACTTCAGTTTAATTTATATTCAGAGCACTTAGATTATTTACACAAGTAAAAATTCCAGGGGGGTGGGGGAGAGTGTGTGTGTGTGTTTTAATAGCAAATGGAAGTGTATAAAGAAAAGGAACATGAGTCAATGAGGGTAACTAAGAACCTGATCTTGGATGGAGGATCAAGGAATGTCTCCCTGAGTAGGTGATACTTAAACTGATAAACAGGAGTGAAGTGGGCTACAAGTGCTGGTGGTGAGCCTTTTAGTTCAGAAAAAAACACTTGCAAGAGGTCTAGTGCCAGAAGGAGAGGTTGAGGCACTTTATTATATAAAGAGTAAAATACGTCCGGATAATGCATGTAGAACCAGCAAAAATTTGTGAAGTATTCTCTTGGGGAACTAGAGTAAGACCAAGAAATGTTGTGTTTGGGATACCAGCAAAGCAAGGGCCCCCAAAACATGACTAAAATCGAGTTTGATAATTAACTAGAATTTTGCAATAAGAGCATCTAAAAAGATGATATAAATTGAGTATGTTAAATTTTGTGTCATTTATAAGTTTTTATTTTGCATTACATAGGTGGGGAAGATAACGTTCATCTTACCTGAATTTTCAGTGCTTAGGACTTCTAAAGGGCTTCAGCCTTAGGGACAATTCTAGTCAAGCCCAGTTTCTTCCTTTTTACAATAATAAGCTGGATCCAAAAATTGTGATTTATCTTACGTGCCCCACGTGGCTAGTGACACGATCTAGGCCTAAAATTCAGAGCTCTTGAGCTAGCACTTCCTGCCCCTTTAAGAATGAAGGAACTTGTAGAAAAATAAATCCAAGGTTAGTAGGCAGGGGCTCCAGCTGAGTCCTGGCGGGAAGTTCTTTGAGAGCTAGAACGCCCCAAGACAAAATGTATTCGCTAAGTCGCAAACGCTCGACATGTTACCATGGTTACAGCTGTCTCCAAAGCCAATGGAATGAGTTGTACTATCGATACGGCCGGGACAACTCCGCCCCCGACCCGAAGGCCAATGGTGTGAGACATAATAACAGTCTCCACAAGAACCACAGTCTCTGGTTCCACTGGCGTGCGTCGTCTCTATGGTTCCCGCCGGAAGGACGCGTCTGCGTCTCTGCGGCGAGCGCGGTTGCTATGACGCCCAGGTCTCCGTAGGCACCTGCAGCTAGCAGCTGAGCGCGTAGGGGCCGAGCGACCCCGGGACGCTCGCGGCACCCTCCGCAGGAAAATTTCCGACTTGGTTCTTGAGGTTCCTGCCTCAGCCCCAAGGAGGAAAGCACCCATTCTCCCCTCTTTTCCGCATTACGGGCCTTTTCTGCTTCTCCCCAGTATGGTCCGAAACTACAGGAGGGGAACCCCTCCTGGCCCGGCCTTTCTATTCCCTGGCTGGAGTGATTCCGCCTGAAGGAGAATTCGCCCGTTTTCCCCGGACCCAGCTGCCACAAGCATTTAGTATTAGGCTGCCGCTTATTATTAGAGCGGGCTTAGAACATCCTCAGCGAGGTAGGTCGGCGTTCCTTTTCTCACTTAAAGGTGAGGTGTCGAGACGCGCCCCTGGACAGACAACGCCCGAAGGTCCAGGCCACTACGAAGTCCACGGAGGGGCAGCTTTCCCCTACGTGTAGGCCCGCGAACAAAGAACTACCGTTTTCTGATTTTTTTTGGCCGATGTTCGTCATGCAGAACCTTGAATCCCGATGAAGATTTGGAGGCCTTTTGTATCCTCAACATCAGAGGTCATGAAGTCAGTTACCTTCTGCCTTTCAAGCTACAACTTTTTCCACTTCTCTCATCACTCCAAGCACCAGCTTTCTCATCCTGCTTATTTCACAGCCATTTTAACTTTTCCCTGTTCACGCTGCACATTATTGAATGTCCATTTGTCTGCACCACCTCTGTCATCTATAGACCACCTCCTTCTGCTTTCCTGCTACAATGCTTTGCGTACCTAAGTATTTCGCATTCTCCAGCTCTGCAGTCATTGGGAAGATTTTCTGTTTTTCTTTGCACTATGGCAACCTTTCAGTCTTGGGTAAACTAGAGACTAGGAGAAGTGCAAATTGGTAAATATAAACATTAAATACTGTAGGTCTAGTGTGTTTTGAAAATGGAAAAAAAAATCAAAATTGCAGTATTGGACCCATTTCAGGCTTACATAATGAAAGAAGGTTGTTCCTTGTTTCATTAAATTTTATTGATGTGTTTATCAATGTGAAAAGGGCATTCAAAGTGATCATGTAAGACAGGATTTCAACTTTAAGCCCATATGAACCCAACACTGGGGATATGATGTAATTTTCTGGAGAGGAGATGATTGAAATAGTACTTGTGCCTTCTTTTCCTGTCAATTTCTGAATCAGAAAACATTCTTTGTGATGTAAGCCAATAAATGAAAACAATAAGGAGTGATTGAAAATAAATATTTTTGGCAAGGGAGCAGACACAATTGTTCTAAAAAGGCTGGAACAGAGGGCCTTAAATATGGCATAAGATTAATTTAGATCCAGTGCAATTTTATTTTAGCTTGGAAAGCTTGACTTAATTTGTCTTACAATACGCATTCCTTGTTGAATCTTACTATTTCTTCTTCAGTATTCAGGTTTAAAAGTAAACCTATTTTGAGGACATACAGAACATACACATTTTAAACAGCTATTTGGGGCTACAATGATTTGGATATTTTGATTTCTCAGTCCAATAGAAGCAGTCGTTTGTGATGTCTCATGCTTAGAGCCAGGTCAAGTTTTTAAATACTGAGAAATTCAGCTTTCTCCTCTAGAATAGATCGGAAAACAAAAACAAGTTCTGCAGCCTTTTCAATCTTGCACATTAAATTGGAACTGGATAAAACCTAACTCTTGAAAAAAGTGTTAGATGCTATATTGTAAGGGGCTTTCCTTTCCTTTCCTCTTCTAATATGTATTTATTGAATAGCAAGGCATAAATTTAAAAACAATTTAACCTGGGCAAACATGGCAAAAACCTGACTCTACAAAAAATGCAAAAAATTAGCCAGGCATGGTGGAGCACTCCTGTAGCCTGGCTACTCTGGAGGCTGAGGTGGGAGGATCACTTGATCCTGGGAGATCGAGGCTGCAGTGAGCTATGATCGCACCACTGCGCTCCAACCTGGGCTACAGAGTGAGACCCTGTCTCAAAAAAAATAAATTCCTGTCATTCTAGGACAGTTTTTTTTGTTTTTGTTTTTGTTTTGTTTTGTTTTGTTTGAGACGGAATTTCACTCTTGTTGCCCAGGCTGTATTGCAATGGCGCGATCTTGGCCCACTGCAACCTCCGCCTCCCGGGTTCAAGTGATTCTCCTGCTTCAGCCTCCTGAGTAGCTGGGATTATAGGCATGTGCCACCACACCCTGCTAATTTTGTATTTTTAGTAGAGACGGGGTTTCTCCACGTTGGTCAGGCTGAGTCTTGAACTCCTGACCCCAGGTGATCCGCCCACCTCAGCCTCCCAAAGTGCTGGGATTACAAGTGTGAGCCACGGTACCCGACCTCTAGCACAGTTTTAAACCTGGGGAGTGGGGTGGGGTTTTGCCCCCTGTGAGACATTTGGCAATGTACGTAAGCATTTTTAGTTGTCACAACTAGGGATATGCTACTGACATATAGTTGGTAGAGATCAGGGATGCTGCTCCATATCTTAATATGCACAGAACTGCCTCCACAACAGCTCAGAATGTCAGTAGTGCCAGGGTTGAGAAACTCTGTCTTAACACATCAACAGTTCATTTTTTTGTTCTGTCACTCTTGCTTAGCTGTGTACATTTTTACATAGTTATGTACATTTTGCCTTTCTTTTTCACTTTATATTTTAAACATTTTTTACATTGCTACAGTGTTTTCAACTTTTGAAAAAAGTATACTAATTTTATTTGGGAATTGAAAAACTGTGCATAATATGTATTTTATTTAAGATGTGTGTGAGTTTTAAATTATATTTGTGTGAAAGGAGTGGAAAATAGAAGAAAGAAAGGTTACAGTGAAAAGTCACCTGACAGCATATTTCAGTTTTTGTGGCTGTGCTATGTACTTTGTTCCCTAGAGTCACTCAAAGACTTTGGAATCCAAAGCTCAGCCTTTGCTCAGAGGCAGGAGATGTGCTATGGCGTAAGATAGGGTCCTGGCCCCTGCAATGCAGTTGGAGAGTACCTACCAGGAGAAAAAACAAGGAGACTGCACCCATTCTCCTTGTCCTCTTCTCGTTTAAAATTCTTTGTCTCAGTTTGCTTTACCACCTTATTCTTTACATCTAGAAGTTTTTGGAGGCCTAAACCTACTTCAGGATGCACTTCTTTCCAGAGATTGGATTTTTAAGAGATTTAATGAGCATTTACTTAGTATCTACTTTGGACAGAATAGTTTTTTTGTTGTTGTTGTTTTGTTTTGTTTTTTTTTTTTGAGATGGAGCCTTGCTCTGTCGCCCAGGCTGGAGTGCAGTGTTGAGATCTCGGCTCACTGCAGCCTCTGCCTCCCGGGTTCCAGCGATTCTCCTGCCTCAGCCTCCTGGGTAGCTGGGATTACAGGCACCCGCCACCATGCCCGGCTAATTTTTGTATTTTTAGTAGAGATGAGGTTTCCCCATGTTGGCCAGGCCAGTCTTGAACTCCTGACCTCAGGTGATCCATCTGCCTCGGCCTCCCAAAGTGCTGGGATTACAGGCATGAGCCTCTGCGCCCGGCCAAGAATAGTATTCTTATGTACTTTGTTGTGTGGGCAATTTTAGGTACAGTTTAGATGTCAGAGCATTTATAATTTAGTTTTATTACTTCAAGATCTAGTTTACTAGAATTTAAAAGTTAATCATCAGGTCTCAATAAATCCACTGGGAAAATGTTTGTTTGGGGATCTCATAGCACCATTCCAGGTAGAGTGACCTGAATGTCAAAATTTGTGGAAATATAAGCAGCATGATAGGGACCAATAAGTATACTGACATGAATGGCTAATGTCAAGGTGCGGCAGAAGACAAGGCTAGAGAGACTGGGAGGAACCAGATTGTGAAGAATATCTGGTCCCAAGCTAAAGGGTTTGAACTCTACATGAAAGCAACAAGAAGGTTAAGCAGCAAGTGATTTGCATTCAGGAGGATCAGTCTGGAGTTTTGCTGAGAATGGATTGGATGAGGGCCAGCCTGGCAGCAGGAACATCAGTTAAGGTTGCTATTATACTAAATTGAACAAATAGTAGGCAAGCCTAAACTAAGGCAGTAACCCTAGACATGGAGAGGATGAATTAGAAAATGATGAAAGAAGTACTGCAAATTCAGTGACTGGTTGCATACCAGAGTAGAATGAATAGGAAGGAGGATCAAGGATGACTCCTGGGTTTCTGGCTTGGGAAACTATGTTGACAGTGATTTTAACTATGAAATAGAGAAGGAGGAGGGAAAGATGAATGGGTTGTTCAAGCTGAGTTGTTCACTAGAAAACTGGACACGCATTGGTCTTAAACAGTAGACTCATTTTATATTGCCCTCTTAGCTTATAGCCTCTTCTCTGGAACTTGGATCTGTCTGCCAAATCTTGCTTAAAGAGTAGGCCCTCAGAGGCCATATTTGTACCTCTACTTCCAACCCATTCCATGTACAACTGACTGAATGGGGAAAATACAGGTAACTTTGGAGAGGGGGACACAGCCTATTTGGTGAGCAACAAACAATTGTCTCTTTCAAAAATTTGAACTAAGAGATACAAAGATAGAAATGGCTTAATCTAAAAAGTCACATTCGCTAAGGACTTGAATAGTTCTTTTCAGCCTTGCTGATGAGCAAGCAGAGGAAGTTTTTCTCTGTAGAGAAGCAAGAGGAGCAAACTCGCAGGGAAGCTCAGAGACAGAAGACCTCATGGGTCAGGAGAGACTGTTAATGGCTGTGTAGTTCTGTATCCAATTCCTGTGTAGCCACATTTAGTTTCCAGCATATGTCCTTGTACCTCATCCACTCAATAACCCTCATATAGTAGTTGGGATTAGCTGGTTGTGTGAGGGACAGAAAGCCCAAAATAATAATGCGTTGAAAAAGAAAGAAATGTATTCCTCCCACATAAAAGTCAAAAATAAAACAATCTATAACTGGTGGGGCAGCACCTTGAAATGGTCAGAGACCCAGATTTCTTCTCTCCTGATATTATAGCATCCATGGCATGTGGTTTCCAGCTTATGGTGCCCAGGATAGCTGCTCAAGCTTCAGCTATCTTGTCTGAATTCCAGCTAGTAGAAAGGAGTAAGGAGCAAGAAAGGGGGCATCACATTCCTTAAGGACAGTTTCTGGAAGCACCACATAATTCCATTTACACCCATTGGTCAGAACTTGGTCACCTGGCTGTATCTATCAGTAAGGAAGTCAGTCTTGTGATCAGTCAAAACACTAAATATCTTATTTCTGTGGAAGAAGGGAATAGTAAATATTAAAGGACACCAGCAGTCTCTGCCACACTCACCTGTATTTGTTCCAACTTCAATGTGTTTCTGTTTCTTGCCACTTCTTCTAGATTGATCTGGAGCATAGCAGAGAGAGATTCTTATTTAATCTTTCAAACAACAGAGTGAGGTAGGCATTACTATTACATTTATTCTACAGACAGAATAAAAATTTAAAGAAGTTACCTGACTTGTGTAAGTCACACAATTACAAAGTAGCGAAGCCAAGGTTTGAGCCAAGGTATATTAGACTCCTGTGCCCAAGCTATTAATCACATGGTAGTGAGAAGGGCAGAGAGCTAAAGGCAGGGTTTTCCTGGAAATGGCAGCATTTGAAGGGATGGAAGAGGAGGAACCCAGGAAGCATACTGAGAAGGAAAGGCTAGAGACATAGGAGTCAAAACAGGAGAAAGTGACATCACAGAACAGAATTAAAAAAAAAAAAACTTTCAGGGAAGGAGTGAAGACGTACAGCAAAGAGATCATATGTTAAAACAAACAAAAACAGGGCCAGACACAGTGGCTCACGCCTGTAATCCCAGCACTTTGAGAGGCTGAAATGGGAGGATCACTTGAGCCCCGGTGTTCAATTCCAGCCTGGGCAACATATAAGACCCTCGTCTCTAAAAAAATAATTTTAAAAATAAGATGGGCATGTTGGCACATTTCTGTAGTCCTAGCTCCTCATGAGGCTGAGTCAGGAGGATCACTAGAGCGCAGGAGTTTGAAACTGTAGTGAGCTATGGATATGGCATTTTGAGTTCATTGTTGACTGATAATTTGAGTACAATGGTAAGAGCAGAAGGCAAAATGCAGCAAGTGTAAGAGTGTGGAAGCCAAGCACAGAAGCCACAGTATAGGAGTGTGGGAGACAAATTGTCCAAAACAGGACAGTAGCTAGAGAGGTATATGGTGGGGCTAAAGGAAGGTTATTTCTTGTATCTTTAAGACCAGAGATGTCTTGAGCTGAGGACAAGAGAACAGTAGAAAAGGAGATAAGGAACATACAGAAAAGAAAATGCTTCCCTAAGGAAGCAGTATGGGATGGGGCCTAGAATACAGGTAAAGGGATTAACCTTGATCAGGAGGATGGGAAGCTCTTCCACTGAGAAGGGAAAGAGGACAAGATTGGTAAAGATGAAGGTTGGTATGTTGATGAGGAGAAGCAACTGACTGTTTTATGATGACCTTTGTTTTACTAGTTCTCTGGGAGACAAGGTCATTTGCCAAGAGTGAGGGGAGAGATGAGATATTCAGTTTGATGGGAGAGGTAAAAGTTTTGAATAGTTGCTGAGTGAAATAGTAACAGAAACTAGCAACTCATAAATGACCCAGCGGTTGAGAAGCTTGGCTCAGACCAGAGGCCATGAATTTGTAATGGTTCAGATTTGCATGCCTGTTTGATTTTGTTCTCTATCGGCACTCAGCAACCTAAAATAGGTGGATAATAGTCAAATGCATGAACTTTTACAGGGCTGAGATTTGCAAGGAAGGTGGGACAAAGGGGTAAGATAACTGGGGATGTTGGTGAAGGATTGAAATGATCAACAGTTGGGTTTAGGCTTGAGGGGCAAACAAGTGAAGCCAAAGAGTATCTGGTAGTTTGAGAGAGGATGTAATGGTCCAGAGATTGGAGGTCTCACTGTAATTGTAGAATTCTTTTAGTTTAAGAGAGCAACTGCTTCACACCCATTAGGATGGCTATTTTTTTTTTAAAGTAACCCAAAGTAAGTGTTGACAAGGATGTGAAGATATTAAGACCTGCATTGCTGGTAGGAACGTAAAATGGTGCAGCTGCAGTAGAAGACAGTAGGACAGTTCCTCAAAAAAAAAGTTAAACATAGAATTATATATCTAACAATTCCACTCCTACGTATATACCCCAAAGAATTGAAAACAGGGATTCAAATACTTTTACACCAGTGTTCATAGCAGCATCATTCACAATAGTTGAAAGGTGGAAACAACTCCAATGTCCATCAACAGGTGAATGTATAAATAAAATGTGCTATGTACATACAATGGAATATTATTCAATCTTAAATGAAATTATGATTAGCGATACAACATGGATGAATCTTGAAGACATTATGCTGCATGAAATAAGCCAATACAAAAGGACAAATATTGTATGATTCCATTTCTATGAGTTGTATAAAATAGGCAGGTTTATAGAGACAGAAAGTAGAATAGAGATTCCCAGGGCCTGGGGGTGAGGGGAATGAGAAGTTATTGTTTAATGGGTATAGAGTTTCTGTTTGGCATAATGAAAAATTTCTGGAAATGATTGTGGTGATGGTTAGACAACATTGTGATTGTACTTCATCCCATGGAATTTTATTAAAAATGGTTAAAATGGTAAATTTTAAGTTATGTATATTTACAACAATTAAGAAAAAGGGGGAAGAAGCATAGAAGGTGTTAGAGGGAGACACATGGAGTTTAGGATGGCAGGGTTTCAACATTAGCTCAGGCTGTTGATAAGGACTCAGGTGTAGCCATGAGGATGGGCAGCTAAATAAAATGTGCATAAAGATCACTGGCTTTGGGAGAATGGTCAAGTGAAGGAGCTTGGGTGATTTGTGCACTTGAGTATTGACCTGAAGCCTGTACCGTCCTACTGATCAGCAAGGATCAGATCCAAAGGTATTTTCCAATATCCTGATCCCCTTTTCCTTTTAACATCCTCCAACCTTAGACTCCCCTACTCCACCCCTACAGCATGGGGATTATGCTGTTGGGCAAGCAACCCACAGTACAGGACTTATAATAATTTAAGCATTTATTTTCTAATTACCTCATCAGTTTATCACAACTGCTTTTAGCACTTTGAGGTATTTGCTTCCAGTCTTTTCTTTGTGTGTCTGGTGTTTACATAGTTATAATAATACTTTTGCATTGTGCTTTTTCTCTTAGCATTATCACATATTTCTTAGCATTTTTCCATATTGCCAAATAGTCCTCATAGGATGCTATGTATTCTTAGTATCTTGGGCTCTCTGCTACCCAGGACTAAAACCACAAATAACTGTATGATGCTCAAAGACCTTGTAGGGAGAAGGGGGAAGATATGAGTGGGGACCAGGTGAAGGAGGTCGGGGGAACAGAAGAAAATTTTTAGTTATATGTCATGAAGAGGACCTACAGAGGTGCAGGATTCAGACTTGGGTGTTTTTCATCAGTATGAGTATCAGCTGATAATTAAAACCATTTATCATCTATAAATACTGTTGATGTGGAAATGGTAAGACTCTAGAAAACTTAGCAATCAAGGAGAAAAATAATAAAAATATGGTTTTGCTTTTAAAAAGCAAAATAGTATATTTATGTGGACTGAAGTACAATAACAATTATGTCTGTCACTGCAATTTGGGTCAGATTAACTTGGTTAAAAGTTGTATTTGATTAGAACAGCAAGTCCTATTAATAGTTAGTGGTTTTAATCACTTGAGGTCAGGAGTTCGAGACGAGCCTGACCAACATGGTGAAACCTCGTCTCTACTAAAAATACAAAAATTAGCCAGGTGTGGTGGCACACACCTGTAATCCCAGCTACTCAGGAGGCTGAGGCAGGAGAATCACTTGAACCCAGGAGGCAGAGGTACAGTGAGCTGAGATCACACCACTGCACTCCAGCCTGGGCAACAGAGGTAGACTCCATCTCAAAGAAAAAAAAATAGTTAGTGGCTCTAGTAACACAGATATCACTTCATCGATCAGCAGATATTTATCTTTCATATACTGTCATACTGCAAACTGTTATGTCATGATTACTTGCAACCTAAAAAAATTGATATTGATAGCAGGCTTAGACCAAGAAGTTGCAGAAAAGAACTGAATTAATGAGAAGTCAACATAAATTATAAGACATATTCTGTGAGTAAAATAAATCCTGGATAGTATAGAATTAGGGGCCTCTCTAGCTTCCAGAGGAATCCTTTTATTTCTAAATATGCAATAAAAGGAACAAAGACTTCTTTGGACTTTAAAAAAGAAACAAGAGCCCTTTGGGAGACTTTTCAGATAAAAGTTGCAAACTTTAGAACAGACAGAAAAGCTTTTTTTTTTTCCATTGTACATAATTTTCATTAAGTATATCATGTCATTTGTTATTTTAGAAGATACACAGTTGTTCAAAGCTTACATTTTTCGGTATTACCAGCTGTTTCATTTAAGTGCTCATAACTAGATAACAACAGGAAAAGTAAAATATACATTGTAGAGAGTCTGACTCTAGTCATATATACATAGACTTCTTTATTCCTGCTTTCAGTTTTCCTCACATAGCAGCTTTGTATGTGTATTGCCAGCTATATTTTGTTCTTTAGAAATATCTTGGATTTTCCAAGATATATATACATACACATACATAAGTGTGATGAAGGTTCAGGTAGCTTACTAGCTTTCTATTGCTAGTACCCTAAAGACTAGTACTCTAATAAGGAGACTAAGGTGGCACCCACATAGATATCTTGCATCCTCAGTTGTGTGTGTGTGTGTGTTCATATACATATGCTTATTTCTTCTATCAAGGGAAAAGTTCAGTTAGAAGACATACTTCACCATCTTGAAAAAGAAGAAATCAATCCCCTTGCTACTACAGAAGAACAACTCTGTTTGGTGCTTATTCCAGCCAGCACAGTGAAGACAGGCTGAGGACTGCTACCACAGATGTAGAAGAGCTTATAGTGAAGCACATGGGTGAAACAAAAGAAGTGAGAACTAATAGCATAGAATTTTAAAGACACCTGTGATTTTGTTCATTGCCCTTCATTAAATTGACATATTAAAAACTAATGTTTGGCTATCACTGTATAGTTTGAAAAGCACCCACGTGTAGACCTTTTTTTTTTTCTAATGAAACATGGCAACAGTCTGTGTTGGTTTCCATTAAGACTCCATGTATAGGATGTTGCCCAGTGATGACTGGCTGAACATCTAAACAGGACTGCTCCAGGTAGCTTTCATTATCTTGGTAAAGTCATCCTTCTCTCAGGAGCTGACCTTCTAGGTGACTCTTTTTTTTGAAGGCTTGGAAACTAATGTCGGCATAGTATCAGTGGATCTGCTTCTCAAAGGTGGGCTTGTATTAACCAAAGTCATAGAGATGAGACACCTCCTTTTTAATTGACAATAAGAAATATAATTGCCAGAGGAACTAAACATGTATTTTTGGTGGCTGATGTATTCTCTTACAGGCACATTATGTGGGAAGCCAACTTTTAATTAGATGTTTACTTGGTGAACAAATGATTCTAACTTTTTATAGCATTGGCTGAGATAGCCAGGTTTCCACAATAGGGCTATCTATATCTACCCTCGTTTCTGGACCTCATATCCTAGGACCAGGCACCTAGTGCTTAGAGGAGTAGATAAAGCTATTTTTTTTTTGGCCCTATTGTTACTCTCTTGGATGTTTCCAATACTCATCAACATACTTTCTTTAAATGAACTAATGAATTATCTCAGGTTGCCTGGGAATCACTCTGCTATGTTTTCACATCTCAGCTTCACACAGGTAACATTTTTAAATTTAATTCTTAAAGGACAATCCAATCTCCAAATTCTAAAGAAGAATGCAGCTCCTTTAGAATGAAAAGCAGTATAGCATCATAGAGTGTGAACTTTAACATTAGGCAGATGGGGGTGAAAAGTTGCCTTTAGCATTATCTTTCTGTTTAACTCTGGGCAAGTTACTCAACTGCTTTGAGCTTGAAATTTCTGTCTGTAAGATAGAGATGTTAATAGCATCTTCAAAGGGATTTGTGAGATTTATACAGGTTAGTGTGTATAAATTACCCATGTACTTGGCACCTAGCAAGTGTTCAATAAATGATAGCTATTATCATTAGAAATGGATATTGTTCCTGCCATTTTAAAGAGGAAACGAAAGTTTGCCAGGAAGTGATAAAGTTGAACTGTGATTCCTATGTTCCTTCTATACTATTCATCTTTCTGTACATATTTTAAGGAGTTTTCCTATAGGCTTCCAAAGAATTCACCAAAATGCAATTCAGTTATTTCGGTAGTCTACTTCTAAGCACTTTGGCGTACTAAGAACTCAGTCTCTGGTTTCTACCCATCAGAGTATGAATTCTAGCTCCTCCCCTTATTCCCTATGTGACAAGGCAAGTCTCTTAGCCTCTCTAAGCCTGCTTCTTCACCTCCAAAGTGGGAGAATAATAGTCCCATGTGGTTGTGGAGACAATTAAATATTTGATGTACTTAATATAGTGCCTGGAGCATATTCGCTTTCTACCTGTTATTATGCACATAAAAGTAGCTTTTTGTGAAGCCGTTATATTAACTGCAAGCTTTTCAAAGAATACACAACAATTTTTAATGTAATCTCCTGTTAACATTTAATCATCTTAGCCATCAGTTTCAGCATAGCAGTATAAACCTAATTATTATGTAGATTTTTTTCTGTTCATGGATATCATGACCATATTTCCTAAACCACAGAGAGGGAAACTTGATTTAAAACCTGGTATGTTGATAGAAAAAAATATTAGAGATTGGGACTGTCCCAGAAATTTGTGGTTACATGTCATCATACCTATGGGAAACATAGTGTATGATAATGTAAGACAGCTGGAAGGGAGTTTAGAGCCAGATGCCAACACTTGAGGAAAGCTGAGTTTTCTGTTGATTTCTCAGATTATAGTCATGATAGAATGGTGATCTCTTAATTGCTCTTTCACTTCCCGGACCTTTAATATGGATTAAAATATGAGCCATGGACTAAAAGTAAGAAAATGTGTTTTTTTTAGGTGGAAAATTATGCAAACTGTATTTGTAACCTAACAGAGGGAAGAGAAGCATTTTTTCATGGTTATGATGAAAAGGAAAATGAACAGCTTAGACATGAGTTTAAAGAGCTCCAACTCAAACAGAGTTGTTTTTCCTTTTGTGGGCATGTCATTTTAAAACTTCTTCCCTAATTCTAGAAATTAACATATGACATTATAGAAAATTTGAGAAATGTATGCTCTTATAAAGAAGGGAAAAATTATATCTTCTACCCCAAGAAAAGTATAATACTTCTAATGTTTTAAGTGTATTTTCTGCCTGTCTTTTAAAAAAGTATGTATTCTGAAATAGTCTGAAATGTGTATGAGAGTGCAGGGTATTTTCTTTCAGTGTCTATTACAGCACTTACCACACTATATTATAATCAGTATCAGCTCCTCTGGAGTAGAGATCATGTCCTAGTTTTAGTGATTTGTGTCTCTCACAGTACCTGGCTTGTAAAGTACCCAGTTTAGGGGAGGCAAAACTTTACCTCTTCCTCTTTAGGTTTTTTTTTTCCCAGCTGAGCCTGAGAATTAAGTTGATATAAAACAGATTAACAGGAGAAAAGCATACACATTTATTTAAATTGGAAATAAATGGAGATGAAGACCCAAAGAAGCACTTAGAATCAATCTCTCATATACTGAATTGGACAGACAATAGTAAGCTGTGAAATGCAACTAAATATATGGAAAGGCTGAAAAGATAAGAGTTACTTTAACAAGGTCTGTAAAGAATTCTCTTGGCCTCAACTTCCCATCCTTAATCAGAAGAGTGTTGTTTTCCTTCTAGCAAAGGGAGGGCATCTTTGAACATGGGAATTTCATCTCCTGCTTTTAAGAAATGGAAGATCAGAATGATCTTGCACCTGCTGTTTTTCAAGTGTGTTTAACTCAAAATAGTCAATATACCAGAGTAGTGTATTTTTAACTCCTTCACTAGCATATTAAGGACTTAGAAAATATTAAGTACTTCAAAGCTGCAAAGGAAAATACAGATAGAACCCTTTTAGAATATTCTATATTTGTGTAGGTACACACTTAGGTGCTATTAGGCCAGCACTTTGGGAGACTGAGGTGGGCGGATCACCTGAGGTGGGGAGTTCGAGACCAGCTTGACCAACATGGAGAAACCCTGTCTCTACTAAAAATACAAAATTAGCCGGATGTGGTGGTTCATGCCTGTAATCTCAGCTACTTGGGAGACTGAGGCAGGAGAATTGCTTGAACCTGGGAGGCAGAGGTTGTGGTGAGCGGAGATTGTGCCGTTGCACTCCAGCCTGGGCAAAAGGAGTGAAACTCCTTCTCAAAAAAAAAAAAAAGATAAAAAAATTAGGTGCTGTTATTATACTTATTATTATATATGGTCAGTGATTATATTTACCACACATTTATTATTTTCTGTACTCAGCATTTTTCCTTGCATCTCAGATATTCCATTCGGGATCATTTTCCTTTTTTCCTTTTAGAAATTTCTTTTACAAGAGTTCGTTGATGGAAGTTTTTTTTTTTGTTTTTTTTTTTTGCCTAGGTGTAGAGAAAATTGAGTTAATTATAGGACATATTACTGTACTGTACCCTCATTTTTTCCTTTCTTGCTTTCTACTGGGTAGACTGAATTTTCTTCTCATGATTTAAAGTTAATATTCTATTTTTGTTTGTATAATGGTTGCATTTTAAGAGTTTTCTTTAATTCTGGCTTTTTTTTTTCCCCCCTCTACAAAGCTTCTGGAAAATTTCTTCCGGCATTTCTGGTAATTCTCAGTAGGAAGGTTGTTCAAGGGCTCTAATCTGCCACACTGCAAGAAACAGAAGATATTGTATGTCCTACTGCCAACATGTGTTTTTCTTTGTTTTGTTTTTTTGAGATGGAGTCTCACTCTTTCACCCAGGCTGGAGTGCAGTGGTGTGATCTCGGCTCACTGCAACCTCTGCCTCCCGGCTTCAAGGGATTCTCCTGCCTCAGCCTCCCTAGTAGCTGGGACTACAGATGCACGCCACCATGCCTGGCTAATTTTTGTATTTTTAGTAAAGACGGGGTTTCACCATTTTGGCCAGGATGATCTTGATCTCTTGACCTTGTGATCCACTCGCCTCAGCCTCCCAAAGTGCTGGGATTACAGGCCACGTGTTTTTGCAATATAAATTAGCTCATGATGATTGATAAATAGGAGAATGATGTCATTATAATGCAAAAGTTCATATACAGTTTTCCCTAGCATGTTAATGATTTGGACTGCCAGTAAGCCTCAGTTTGTAAATCAATCCTATGCATCCCACATTCTTCAAATTAGACTTGATCTGGACTTGCAATAAATCTGTAAACTGTGAAGGAAAGAGATAAGCCAGTGGTTGTAGTTCAGTGTGGATAGTCCTATGCTAAGGGAAGGCACAGAATACTAGGAAAATTCAGGGGAGGTGATGAGAAAGACAGGATGGGTAGGGTGACCAGAAAAGGCTTCCAAAGGAGATTGCATTGAGTTGTGTTTTGAAAGGTGCTAGCTAGATTAAGAAGCTGGGAAAGGCATTCCTGGCAAAGGGAACAGAGTTGATAATACATAGTGGTTCACGTGAGTGAATGCTAAGAAGAAATGTGGCTGGAGATATTTTCAGGAACCACGTCATGGTGAAACCGTATGCTAAACTAAGGCATTTGGATTTGACACCTGGACTATGCTTGATGTTCCTGGACTATGCTAAAAGCATACAAATATTTTTGAACATATGAATTATTGACTTTGTTATAAAATATCTGGAGAATCACTAAATAATTTTAAGAGGGCAGCTAACATGATCTGATTCATGTTTTAGAAAAATTACTCTAGCAACAGTAGAGGGATGGATTACATAGGGACCAGATTGGAAGTGGGAAACTTAGGGGTAGTTTTGCAGTAATAATCAAAGAATGAGAACGAAAACAAGGCTCAGAGTGTAAATGGTGAGGGAAGATGAACTGATTTATTAATGAAAAGGAATCTATCAAACAAATTGAGAATGGTGGGTGAAATCTTGGATGACTCTAATACCAACTACTCAATCACTTTTGGATCATAGTTTTCCAATAATGGCCAGAAAGAATTAACACAGATTCTCTGGCCGTGCACGGTGGCTCACGCCTGTAATCCCAGCACTTTGTGAGGCCAAGGCAGGTAGATTGCTAGAGCCTAGGAATTTGAGACCAGCCAGGACAAAGGGGCGAAACCCCATCTCTACAAAAAATACAAAAATTAGCCAGGCATGGTGGCATGCACTTGTAGTCTCAGTTACTCGGGAGGCAGAGGTGGGAGGATCACCTGAGCCTGGGAGGTCGAGGCTGTGGTGAGCCTTGATTGCATCACTGCACTCCAGCCTGGGGAACGGAGTGAGATCCTGTCTCAAACAACAGAATAAAACAAAACAAAAACCAAACTGCGCCCCCCCAAGATACCCATTTTATGATAAAATATAGCCTGTAACATTTGTGTTGCATTCCTAATTTGGTTAAAGCTAATATTTTGTTTTAGCTAATGTTGTAAAGAGCCTGAGCATAAAATAATCAGCAAAGTCACTTTTTTTATTTGTAGAAACTGACAAACTGATTCTAAAGTTGATGTGGACATGCAAGGTCCTAGACTAGTAAAAAAACTGAAAAAGAACAAAGTTGGAGCACTAACACTTCCTGATTTCAAGACTTAACCATAAAGCTGTAGCAATCAAGAAAATATATTCTTGGGCTGGACGCGATGTTTCGCACCTGTAATCTCAGCACTTTGGGAGGCCGAGTTGGGCGGATCACCGGAGGTCAAGAGTTCAAGACTAGCCTGGCCAACATGGTGAAACCCCATCTCTACTAAAAGTACAAAAATTAGCCGGGCGTGGTTGTGGGTGCCTGTAATCCTAGCTATTCAGGAGGCTGAGTCAGGAGAATCGCTTGAACATGGGAGGTGGAGGTTGCAGTGAGCCAAGGTTGCACCATTGCATTCCAGCCTGGGCGAAAGAGTGAGACTCCATCTCAAAAAAAGAAAATGCATTCTTGGCATTCAGATAGATCTATAGATCAATGGAACTCTCAATAGAGAGTCCAGAAATAAGCCCACAAGTACACCATCAACAGATTTTCAACAAAGGTGACAAGGTAATTCAATGAGAAAAGGATAACCTTTTCAACAAATGATGCTGGAACAATTAGATATAGACATATGCTTAAAAAAAAAAAAAAAAGCCTCCCAAATCCTGATCGAAGTTCTGTTCCCCACTGGTGAGGAATGCCTGCTCTAAATACCACAAGATGGCCAAATACATGACACCTGACACTGGAGAGAGATGAGATTGATAGCAGCTTATTAGTCAGATACACTCAGCCCATGGGAAGAGGATAGATATGCTATGCTATGCAGGGCCACAAGGGGTTACTCTCAAGAATAGAATGAACTCATAGGGAGTATGGGAGGCAGGCTTTGTAGTAACAAGAAGATGAGGTGCCTCCTGGTTCCCATGGGAAGATGTGATTGGCTTGTCTGGAAAATTCCGTGGGCTGGCAGGGAAGTGAAACTCATTAGTTTAAGGACTGTGTGGAGTACAGCTGCTCCGGCTGATAGAGGAACTGGCCAGATGGGGACTCTTTCTCTCTGGATGGGGGACATCTCTGGTGCGAGCCGAGTAACTGATGGCTAGGCTTTTTTGGGGCTTCTGTGAGACTGAAAGATGTCAAGGCAATATATGAAATTTTAGACCTTGCAATAAATTTATCTCACACCATATATAAAAATTAACTCAAATTGTTTGATAGATATGATCTGTAATTATGAAATATCTATTCATTTTCTAATGTATATAGGTAAATTTTTATAATTTTCCCCACAAAGATCTTGCACATTTTTGTTAGATTTATTCCTAGGTGCTTCATATTTTTAGATGCTATTAATAATAAATGCTATCTTTTTAAAAAAATTAATTTTCTACTAATTTGTTACTGGTATTTTAAATTATAATTATTTTTATATATTGACCTTATATCTAGCAATCTTGCTAAAATTTATCATTCATTTTTATACTTTAGTTGAAGATTTAAACATTTTCTCTTTCTTTTTCTTGTCCAGGTTGGAGTGCTGGAGTGCAGTAGCATGATCTCCGTTCACTGCAGCCTCAACCTCCTGGGCTCAAGTAATCCTCCTGTCTTGTCCTCCCAAAATGCTGGAATTACAGGTGAGCCACCACACCCAGGCAAAATGACATTTTTGTTCATGAAGACTGATTTATGTACGTTTCATTTATATATTGAATTTTGTTAAGAAGAAATTGGAACAAATCCACCAGTCTCTACAAAGAGAACATCAAGAACCTGTGTAACAGTCTAAAAAAACTGAGTGAGGTAAAAAAGAAATTATAATCCTTTACTTAATAATTGTGGCTAATTACAAATCAGCTTTCACCTTAGAAGTATTTTGTTTGAATGTATGATAATGTATAGATTCATGGCCAGATGTGGTGGCTCATGCCTATAATCCCAGCACTTTGGGAGACCAAAACTGGAGGATGACCTGAGGCCAGGAGTTCAAGACCAGCCTGGGTAACATAGTGAGACTCAGTTTCTATGAAAAATAAAAAAAAATTAGCTGGGTGTGGTGTAGTTCCAGTTACAGGGGAGGCTGAGGTGGGAGGATTGCTTGAGCCCAGGAGTTGGAGTCTGCAGTGAGCTATGGTTGCGCCACTGCACTCTAGCCTGGGTGACAAAGCATGACCTCATCTCTTAAAAAAAAAAAAAGAGTCATGCTGTAAGAATTATCAAATTATGCATAAAAGTATTTTGAACACATCACAAAAATTTGAGGAGGAAAAAATCACTCATTTGACATGATAGCTGATTTTTTATTGAATGTATCAAAATTTAAACAATCTATGTTATGTCCTTTTAAAAATCACCATGGGACTAGGCCAGGTGCAGTGGCTCATACCTGTAATCCCAGCACTTTGGGAGGCCAAGGCAGACAGATCGCCTGAGGTCAGGAGTTCAAGACCTGCCTGGCCAACATGGTGAAACCCTGTCTCTACTAAAAAATACAAAAATTAGCCAGGCATCGTGGTGCACACCTGTAATCCCAGCTACTAGGGAGACTGAGGCAGGAGAATCACTTGAATCTGGGAGGCGTAGGTTGCAGTGAGCCGAGATTATGTCATTGCACTCCAGCCTGGGCGACAGAGCAAAACCCTGTCTCAAAAAAAAAAAAAAAAAAAAAAATCACCTTGGGACTATACATATTTTTTATTTACAAATATGTTTGTAGTTCCCCTTTTAAGGAGTTCTTTAGAATATATAGCACATTATTTTAAATATATTCAGTTCTGCTCATGGAATTTAATGTTTTTGATCTAGGGAAATGTTATTAAAAGGTAAGTCTGGTGAATAAAGTGTACACTGTGAATTTAAGTATGGGAGGTAACCCAAGATTAAACTGTACATCACAGTATTATTTTCAATAGCAAAAATCAGAAGCTATCCAAATTTTTAAGTGAGTACAGAAATAATGTTATAGCCATGCTGGAACACAGTACAGCCTTTAAAAATTATCATTACAAGCTGGGTGCGGTGGCTTATGCCTGTAATCCCAGCACTTTGGAAGGCCCAGGTGGGTGGATCACGAGGTCAGGAGTTCGAGACCAGCTTGGCCAACATGGTGACATCCCATCTCTACTAAAGATACAAAAAATGAGCCAGTCGTGGTGGTGCGTGCCTAAAATCCCAGCTACTTGGGAGTCTGAGGCAGGAGAATCGCTTGAACCTGGGAGGCGGAGGTTGCAGTTGTGCCATTAGAGACTGTGCCATTGCCCTCTAGCCTGGGGGACCAGGTGAGACTCCATCTCAAAAAAAAAAAAAAAATCATTACATTAGAAAATCTGTACAGCAATTTACAGAGAAGTGTTCCTGTATAATGTTAAATTTAAAAAGCCAGACAGAAACTTGTACATGTGTTGGTATTATGACTATGTAAAAATGTATATAAATAAAAAATACTGCAAAGAAATAGAACAATACACTCATATCTCTTGGATGTTAGGTTGAACCACATGAAACCAAATATTTATAAGTAAAAGCAATCAAATATCACCAGTTTTATTTGGTTCAACCTAAGAAAGGAAATACACAGACACACACACATACACACACACACTCACACACACAAAGAAATACACATAGATATTGTTTGCTAATTTATTGGCTTTTAAACATTAATAGAAAATAGCAAAATGTCATGAGAGTACATTTGCTCTTTGTTTTATTACTAATAGAAGTTTTATTTCAGTATCATAATGAAGACCTGGAAAAAGACAAAACATCACAAAACTGCCTAGGAAGAGGAATGGAACAAGTAGCAAAGAAGTTAGGGGTGGCTCATGAAGAGATTCAAAGGCTCACTGATGAACTACAAGTGAAGGAGAAGGAACAATGTAAATTAGGTAAGCTGTGGTTTCAGATGACCATTTCCGATCATGCTTTAACTGTACTGATCTCATCTCAGGGTGGAACATGAGAAAAAAAAAAAACACTGAGAAACAAGTCTTTAAGATAAACACATAAAAGTGATGAACAGCCTCATTTTCTACCATGCTAGGAATTTTTGTCAAAGCCCAAGCATATCTACCAAAAGTGCACAACTTGTAAGTGTATACCACTCACCACAAGAAATTCCCAGCCTCTCAGAAGTCCCCTGTGTTCCTTCTTTCTATCTCTACATCCTTCCTCCTCCTTCAGAGTAACTACTGTCCTGACTGAATGCAGTTTCTGCGTTTGACTATATGCAGTATGCCTTCTATGGTTTGCTTCTCCTGCTCAGTCTTATAAGATTCATTCATTTTGTTACACGTAGCAGTTGTTTGTTCACTCTGCTGTTTATAGTATTTCATTAATAAACATACTGCAATTTATCCATTCTACTGATGGACGATTGTGTTGTCAGTTTTTGTCTATTATGAATATTGCTGCTATAAACATTTTGGTATATGTCTCAGTGTGCTTATTACACATTTCTGATTGTGGTAAGAGCAGAATTACTGAATCAAAGGGCAGGTTCTACTTTGGTCTTCCAAGGTAATTATACTAATTTAAGCTTTCCTCAGTTGTATGTGAGATTTTAGTTCCTCCACCTTGGTTTTCAATACTTGGTACTGTCAGTCTTACCAACTTCACCTTTTATGTTGAGTGTATAGTGGTATTTAAGTGTGGCTTTAACTGGTATTCCCTGACTGCTAATTAAGTTGAAGATCTTTTCATATGTTTGTTGTTGTTGTTACTCGTTTGGATATACAACTTTGTGAAGTTCCTGCTCGAGTCTGTTGTATATTTTTCTATTTTATTTATTTGTGGGAGTTCTTTATATATTGTGGATATGAGCCTTTTGTTGGTTATAAATGTTATGTTGTTGTTATTGTTTTTTTACCATAAATGCTAATATTCATCAAGTTGGGTTTAAGTGAATTATTCTTTATGCTTTCTGAGTTTTCATGTTTAAAGCCTTTTCTTCACTACAAGGTTATTGAAAATATTTACCCCTGGTTTTGGGGGGGTACTTTTATTGTTTATATTTACATCTTTGCTTTATCTAGAATTTAGTATAAAAATTTTAAATTATAATTATCTCCTTTCTATATTTTTAATCCGTGACTGATTCTTTTACAAATGCAATGTATAGGTTACTTTAGAATCATAAACATTAAAAATGTTAAATGTATAAAACAATAATGATTATGCCTGTGTGATTAAAAACAAATAATAATAAAAAAAAGAATATCAGGATGTAAATTTTTTATAAGTACATTTTAAACAGTGGACACAAATAACTTTTCAGAATGATGGAAATGTTGCATATCCCATGTGGGTTGGTGGGTATACAATTGTACATATTTGTCAGAATTCTTCAAACTATACACTTAAAAGGGTGAATTTCACTGCATGCAATTTATTCCTCAGTAAACACTATCTAAAAAGAAAATAAATTTGGTCACATGAACACGATGAGAAGCAATATTTGCTGCTTGCCATACAAGAAGAAAAAAGGAAAGCAGGATATTCAGTACCCTTAGTAGTTACATTTGGACACAACAGAACACAATCACATAGCAACCTGTTCTATCAGCAGTTGCTCTGTAGGGTAAATCCCAGACGTATCAACTGAAAGCCATCTCCACAGTGAGTCTATTAGGACTGCTGGGAAGCTGAATTAGCAAGTCCTTTTGGAATGTTGTGTGCAGTATCAGTGTGTGCGCCATCTGTAACTTCCTGAGTCATCCACTTATAGCAGAATTTGTAGCTAGGCATGTGTTATATGACAGTGTTTCCCAAGTATTAGCTTGTTTCTTTCAACAAACTCTTTAAAATAAATCCCTTTAGTTCTCTTTAGTTTATTCTTTAGCTCTCTATCACATCATAAAATTTGGATGAAAATGAAAAATTTTTTCAGTGATAATTTTTTCAAGAATAAAAAAGAATTTATATAAAATATTTGTTCCTCAACAAATGAATATCAAGAAAAAAGATGAATTTTTAAAGATTTAAGAGACTTATTAACCAATTATGATGTGTGGCCTTTATTGAATCCTGATTCAAATTTTTAACATTAATAAAACAATTTGAAATTTGAACACTTGCTAGACATATGAGTTAAAGAATTATTGTTAAATTTTTGTTAAATTAATTTTTTGTTTAAAAAGAGTTCTTATTTTTTAGAGCTGTATAGTGAAATATTCATAAGTGAATGAAATGATGTCTAGGATTTGCTTCAAAATAATACAGGTCTCTACCTTACACCTACACAAAAATTAATTCAAAATGGATCATAGAGCTAAATGTAAGTTAAAACTGTAAAACTGTTAGAAGAAAACAAGGAAAACATCTTCATGATCTTGGGTTAAGCAGTGATACATTAAATATGACACCAAAAGCAAAAATGATGAGAAAAACTAATACATTGGACTAAATCAAAATTTAAAACCTTTACAGTTCAAAACATACCATCAGAAAGTGAAAAGACAACTCATAGACTAGAAGAAAATATTTGCAAATCATGTGTTTGATATGGATCTTACATCCAGAATATGTAACAAATTCTTACAATTTAATAATTAAAAGACAGCCCAATTTAAAAATGGGCAAAAGGGCTGGGCGTGGTGACATGCACCTGTAGTCCTAGCTACTTGGAAGGCTGAGGTGGAAGGATAGCTTGAGCCCAGAAGTTTGAGGCTGTAGTAGGCGATGATTGTTCCAGCCTGGGTGACAGAGCAAGACCCTGTCTCAAAGAAAAAAGATGGGCAAAGGATTTGAAAAGACATTTCCAGGAAGAAGATATGTGAATGACCAACAAGCACATGAAAAGATGCTCAGCACCTCCCATCATAAAAATTGATAAGTATGTGAGGTGATAGATGTGTTAATTAACTTGATTTAATCACCCCACAATATAAATATATAGCAAAACATTACATTGTACCCCATAAACATATACAATTATTATTTGTCGATTAAGAAGACGATGTTCGATACCATTAGTTATTAGGGAAGTGCAAAGCAAAACCACAATGAGCGTCTACTTCATACCCACTAGAATGGCCATGCTAAAAAAGACAGACAGTGACAACTGTTGGTAAGGATGTGGAAACATTGAAACCCTTATACATTGCTAGTAAGAAGGTAAAATAGTGAAGATACTTTGGAAAACATTTAACAGTTTCTCAAAATATTAAAGGCGACCCAGAAATTCTACTCCTAGCTACCTACCCAGGAGAAATGAAAACATGTATCAACACAGACTTGTATGTAAATGTTCATAACAATATTAGTTACAGTAGCCAAGAGTTAGAAACAACCCAACTGTCTGTCAGTTGGTGAACAGATAAACAAAATGCAGTATATCCATACTGTGCAGAAAGTAGCTAACAGCACACCCGACACTGCTATTCTTAAGAAAGGACTGCTTATAACAGTCACAAGCATCTGGCTGACATCTGGGAACCTGGATTTTGGGAGGGTTTCCACCATTCCTTAACCAATAGTGGCTCACTGTGCCTAAGCTGTTTATACAATGTGGTCCATGCAGAACACCTGCTTTCCTTTAAGAGTCTTGGTATATGCTAGGCAGAAAGTGTGTGTGTGACCAGCCCTCAACAAAACCTTAGGTGGTGAGTCTTTCATGAACTTCCCAGGTAGACATTTTACATGTATTGTCACAGTTCACTGCTGGAGACATATCCTTTGTGACTCCACTGGGAGCGGACTCTTGGAAGCTTGTTCCTGGTTTCTTCTGGCCTTTGCCCTATGCATCCTTTCCCTTTGCTGATTTTGCTTTATCCTTTTGCTGTAGGAAATCTTAGCTTTGAATATGAACATATGTTGAGACTTGTGAGTCCTCTTAGCACATCACCAAACCTGGGGGTGACCTTGGGAACTCCTGACACTCATATGATAGAATACTATCTGCCAGTAAAAAGGAAGGAAGTACTTACACCTGCTACATGGATGAATCTCAAAAACAAGCTAAGTAAAAGAAGTCAGATGCAAAAGATCATATATTGTGTGATTCCATTTAGATGAAATGTACATAAAAGGCAATCCTATAGAGATAGGAAGTAGATTGGCATAGCTGGGCACAGTAGCACATGCTTATGTCCCAACTACTTGCCACTTGGAAGGCTGAGGCAGAAGAATCACCTAGCCTATGAGTTTGAGTCCAACCTGAGCAACATAGTGATGCCCTGTCTCAAAAAAAAAAAAAAAAAAAAAAAGGAAAGTAGATTAGTGGTTGTCTAGGGCTAGGTATGAAAATTGGGATTGACTAAGTGCATATGATTTTCTTAATAGGGTGATGGAAATGTTCTAAAATTAGATTGCGATGGTTGCATACCTGTAGGTATACTAAAAACCATTGAATTGTCCACTTGAAATATGTAATTTTTAAGGTATGTAAACTGTACCTCAAAGCTGTTAAAAATATAAGAACTGGGGGAAATAAGTGTATTAGGTGAAAATCTAAGGTGGCCTCCAAGAGCCCCACCCCCTGGTATACACACATATTTTCCCAGTTATTCAACCAAATACAATCTAGATGCTGCTGTGAAGAGATTTTGTAAGCGTAGTTACGGTCCCAAACCAACTGACTTTAAAGAAGGGAGATTATCTTACTTGAGCCTGATCTAATCAGGTGAGCTCTTAAAAGAGTCAAGGCATTTCCTGGCAAAAGAGATTTGAAGTGCAAGAGGGATTTAACATGAGGGAGATTCTACATTAATGACTTTGAAGAACAAATAAATAATGACTTTGAAGATGGAGGAGACCAGGTAACAAAGAATGTGGGCAGCCTCCAAGAGCCAAGAGAGACCTCCAACTGACAGTCAGTGAGGAGATGGGGACCTCAGTCTTACACCCTCAAGGACTGATTTCAGCTAACAAGCTGAATCAGATTGGAAATGGATTCTTCTCCAGAGCCTTCAGAGAGAAACACAGCCTGGCCAACACCCTGATTTCACCCTTGTAAGACTTTGATCACAGAACCCCGGCACACCATGCCCGGACTCCTGACCTAGAGAAACGTGAACTAGTAGATGGATGCTGTTGTAAGCCACTAAGTTTGTGGCAATTTGTTATACGACATTAGAAAATTAATATAATATGTAAGGGTATAAGTGAAACAAGATTGACCATAAGTTGGTAATTGTTAAAAGCTGGGTGATGGATGTAGGTATTACCATAACTCTGCCCTAGCTACTTTTGTATATATTTGAAATCTTCCATAAGTAAAAAAGTTTTTTTTTTTAAATCGATGCTAACCAGACTTAGAAAGAGACTTAGAAATAGACTAAGAAAGTAAAACTCTTAATCTGGTAGAGAGATCTCAAGAAAAGTTACAACCAATACAGTTTTAGAAATATTACTGGTTTAGGAGGACTGTTGGAAAGCTAAAATTTTCTTTTTTTTCTTTCTTTTTTTAGAGACAGGGTTTCACTCTGTTGCCCAGATTGGAGTACAGTGGCACGATCATCACTTACTCACTGAGTTCCTGGGTTCAAGTGACCCTCCTGCCTCAGTCTCATGAGTAGCTAGGACTACAGGCGTGTAGTGCCACAGTTGGCTAAGTTTTAAATCTTTTGTAGAGAAGGTGGTTTTACTTGCCCAGGCTGATCTCAAACTCCTGGCCTCAAGCAATCCTCATGCCTCAGCCTCCCAAGTGTTGTATAGGTGTGAGCCACTGTGCCCAACCCCAGAAAGCTACAGTTTTCAAGTATCTTCACAAACATGGCAGAAACTAACCTGACCATAGAAGTTAATAAATTTGGTAGTCTGATATTATCTAAATTTGGAGCAATATATTTCACTATGTGTGCTATTCCAGAAATAGTTATTTTTTTCAAATGGCAATTAAGTCAAATGTTTTCAGAACACCTGAAGTCTTCAGAACTTAGAGGTTCATAGAATACAGTTTGGAAGCCCCTGGTTCACATAATAAATTCTGAGCTCTCTTATGTAGCAAATAAGGTCTTTCTGGTTTGGCCTCTGCCTATGTATCCAGGTCATATCCCACACTGTCCTAATTCTCTGCACTACAGACCAGGCAGTATT
Organism: Homo sapiens; assembly: GCF_000001405.40. Classification (NCBI taxonomy): domain Eukaryota; kingdom Metazoa; phylum Chordata; class Mammalia; order Primates; family Hominidae; genus Homo; species Homo sapiens. The sequence continues at coordinate 42,488,965 of NC_000001.11, forward strand.
AGACTATATGTAGTTCCAGAACTACTCAGTGTTCCCTCCTATGTCGTCTCCTTTGTTCTGTCCTACCTCCTATATTACTCGTCTTATTCCCTCTTTCCAGAATATCCTTTCCACCTGCCCTCACTTTACTTTCTCTCCTTCTTCCATAGAGGAATACATTTAGAAAACTGTTCTTTTAGTAAAAACAAAAGCTATTTTTACATCTTTGGCTCAGTGTAAACAGACTTAGGTTCACATCCCAGCCATACAGTTTACTAGTTGTGTAATGTTGAGCAACTTGCTTAACTTTTCTGAGTCTTGTTTATCTCATCTATAAAATGGAAACATGAATATCTACTTTGCAGATTTGTTATGATGGTACATATATCTGGCACTGGTAGTTACTGCTATGGTAACAGCAGTAGTAATAGTATTGCTATAGTTAGGAATGCAGTTTTAGGTGAATCTGGTGGGTTATCCTGGGATTTACTCTAAAGAACTGAGTGTTACGGATGTAATAATAAAACCTTCACAATTGTGCTGATGTGCTCACTCTGTGGTTAGAAGTGACCTGTTATAAAATTCATGTTAGTCTCTTACTTCTGGGAGGTTCTTCATTCTGATAATATAGGCGATCCACTAGCAATATCGCTGGTGATGAGGAGACCGTAGGAGACAAAGGGATAAAACCTGAAGTAGAGAGCCCAAATCCAATAGTCTTCCTAAATATCACTGTGCCATCCTTATACAATTCTTGCATAGCACCAAAAGCTATTTCCTGAAATTTTGTTATTTTGATATTTCTAGCAGCTATTGGCAAAATTCTAAATATGATTGATTGCAGGAATTATTTTTACTTATTTCTGGGTGTAATTTCTTTTTACTAAACTGGTAGTACCATACCTAAAAACTTTCAGCTTTTCCTGTTGTTTACAGTGGTTTAAATTCCTCTTCATCATGAAATCTGATGGAGGAAACTATTAAGGAAAGACAATTACAAGATCAGATAATCAGGGATAGGGCTAAATATAGGGTGCAGTAGGAACTCTAAGAGAGAAGTCTGGGAAAATTCCCTGAGGAGCTGACATTTAAGCAGAAACTCCTAGGACAGTAGCCAGGTGAAAGAAAGTGTTCCAGAGAGAGAGAGTCATTTGAAATTTGATTATTATACTAATCATTTGTTCCTTATACAAATATTTTATTTCTTTTTTTAGATTCTGCACTTAAGAAGGCTCAACTAGAAATTGACAAATTGAAGGAAAATTTGGTAAAGCTGAAAGAAAATGGTAAGTCATTCTAGAAGATATGATGATTATTATTTAGTAGCCAAGAATGGTGGTACACGCCTGCAGTCCCAAAGACTTGGGAGGCTTGGGCCCAGGAGTTGGAGGTTGCAGTGAGCCATGTCTGTGCCACTGCACTCCAGCCTGGGTGATAATGCAAGACCGCATCTCAAAAGAATAAATTTTTTAAAAAATTATTATTTAATAATAATACATTAAGAAATAATATAATATACATTAATAATATGCTTTAAAATAATATTTAGGAATTAAAATAATAAGTACTACTACTATTATTGCTGTTGCTACTACTGTTATTATTACTACTACTACTACCACTACTACTACCATTTATTGCTTACTAAGTGACAGGTACTCTGCCAGGCACTTCACATGCGTTATCTCTAATCCTCACAACAGTCTATGGCCATACCACCCTGAACACACATATCTCATCTAATCCTCATAGCAGTTCCAAGTAGTGAGTAGTAGTATCCCTATTTCTTAGATAAGCAAACTGAGTCATGGCAGAGTTAAGAGTTATCCAGTAGCTACATTAAGTATCAGAGCTGGTATTTGAATCTTTATATGTCTGACTCCCAAACCTGTGATCAATACAAATCATGCATATTTTACTGGGACCACTGACACCAATATACTTTATAATGCATTTAACAATACTTTATACATATTTGTTCACTGGAAAGCCAGTAGGCTTGAATCAGTGGTGAATTAATCTGACCCTAGCTTGCCTATATAAAAATGCTACCAGTTATCAATAATATAATGAAATTTGACTATTTTAACGGTAACAGCTAAAAAATTTTTAAATACGTTTACCAATTTTTAAATTCTAAAACTACACATAGCCTCCTTTTAAAAATGTATGAATAGAATTATAAAATGAACACTGCTTTCTTAGTAATTAATAGTACAAGTAAACAGAAAAAAATCAGTAAGGATATAAAAGTCCTAAAAATACTAGCAGTCAACATGACCTAATTGATATTTATAGAAAATTTTACCAGAATACACATTCTTTTCATATACCCATGAAACATTCACCAAGAGGGACCATCCTGGTGGAACTGGAAGTCATTATGCTAACAGAAATAAGCCAGGCACAGAAAGACAAACATTGCATGTTCTCACTTATTTGTGGAATCTAAAAATCAAAACAGTTGAACTCATGGACATAGAGAGCAGAAAGATTGTTACCAGAGGATGGGAAGGAGAATAAAGGGGCAGTTTCAGTGGGAGGTGGGGAATGGTTAATGGGTAAAAAAAAAAAAAGAAAGAATAAGACCTAGTATTTGATAGCACAACAGGGTGACTATAGTCAATAATAATTTAATTGTACCTTTTAAAATAACTTAAAGAGTATAATTGGATTGTTTGTAACACAAAGGATAAATACTTGAGGAGATGGATAACCTATTTTCCATGACATGATTATTACGCATTGCATGCCTGTATCAAAACATGTAGCCTTTTGGCTCTGTGAGCAGCACCATGGCTGTTGGCAAGAACAAGCACCTTATGAAAGGTGGCAAAAAGGGAGCCGAAAATAGAGTGGTTGATCCATTTTCTAAGAAAGATTGGTGTGATGTAAAAGCACTTGCTATGTTCAATATAAGAAATATTGGAGAGACGCTAGTCACCAGGACTCGAGGAACCAAAATTGCATCTGATAGCCTCAAGCGTCGTGTGTTTGAAGTGAGTCTTGCTGATCTGCAGAATGATGAAGTTGCATTTAGAAAATTCAAGCTGATTGCTGAAGATGTTCAGGAAAAAAACTAACTTCCAGGGCATGGATTTACCCCTGACGAAATGTGTTCCGTGGTCAAAAAATGGCAGACCATGATTGAACCTCACATTGATGTCAAGACTACCGATGGTTATTTGTTTCATCTACTCTGTTGATTTTACTAAAAAACACAATCTGATACAGAAGGCCTCTTATGCTCAGCACCAACAGGTCTGCGAAATCCAGAAGAAAATGATGGAAATTATGACCTGAAAGGTGCAAATGACTTGAAAGAAGTGGTCAATAAATTGATTCCAGGCAGCACTGGAAAAGAGAAAAGCTTTGCCTATCTATTTATCTTCTCCATGATGTCTTTGTTAGAAAAGTAAAAATGCTGAAGATGCCCAAGTTTGATTTGGGAAAATTCATGAAGGTAATTGTTCTGGAAAAGCCACTGGGGATGAGACAGGTGCTAAAGTCGAATTAGCTGATGGATATGAAGCACTGGTCCAAGAATCTGTTTAAAGTTCAAAATTTAAAAAAAAGGCCATCCTGGGCCATAAAGCAAATCTCTGTGAAAAAAATGAAATCATACAAATTATTTTCTCTGATCATAATGGAATTAAACTAAAAATTGGTAACAGAAGTAGATTCGTTGGAAATATTTGGAAATTAAAAAGATTTTTTTTTTTGAGACGGATTCTCACGTTGTCGCCCAGGCTGGAGTGTAGTGGCATGACCTCAGCTCACTGCAACCTCTACCTCCTAGGTTCAAGCAATTCTCTGCCTCAGCCTCCCGAGTAGCTGGAATTACAGGAAACTGCCACCATGCCCAGCTAATTTTTGTATTTTTAGTAGAGATGGGGTTTCACCATGTTGGCCAGGCTGGTCTTGAACTCCTGACCTTGTGATCCACCCGCCTCAGCCTCCCAAAGTGCTGGGATTACAGGCGTGAGCCACCGCACCCGGCCTAAAAAGATATTTATAAAAAGACCATGCCTTCAGAGAAAAAAATTAAGAGAGATATTAGAAAATATTTTGAATTTAAGAAAATGAAAATGCAACAATATCATCATTTCTGTGACATAGCTAAATCAGTACTTAGAGGGAATTTTATAGTATTTAATGTTTATACTAGAAATCAAGAAAGGACTCAAAATAATCTAAGTCTATACCTCAGAAACCCAGAATAAGGTGAGCAGAATAAGAACAATAAGAATATAATTAAATATAATAAGAATAAGAAGAATAAGAACAGAATAAGAAGAGAAAATTAAATCCAAGGCATGCAGAAGGAAGGAGATATTAAAATAAGAGTTAGAATCAACAAAAGTGGCTGAGCGCAGTGGCTCACGCCTGTAATCCCAGCACTTTGGGAGGCTGAAGCAGGTGGATCACGAGGTCAAGAGATCAAGACTATCCTGGCCAACATGGTGAAACCCCGTGTCTACTAAAAATACAAAAATTAGCTGGGTGTGGTGGCGCATGCCTGTAATCCCAGCTAACTCGGGAGGCTGAGGCAGTAGAATCTCGAACCTGGGAGGCAGAGGTTGCAGTGACCGGAGATTGTGCCACTGCACTCCAGCCTGGCCACAGATGGAGACTCCATCTCAAAAAAGAAAAAAAAATCAACAAAACTAAAGACAGAACCGCAATAGAGTAAATCAGTGGAACCAAGAGCTGCTTCTTCAGAAAGAACAACATTGATAAACTTTTAGCTAGATTGGTCATGAAAAAAGAGAGAAGTCACAAATTACCAATATAAAAAATAACAGAATAATTCTACACAATAAAAAGATAATACAGGAATATTATGAATAACTTTATGCCAGTAAATTGATGACCTGGATGACGTGGACACATTCCTTAAAAGACACAAACTACCAAACCTCAGCTAAGAAGAAATAGCTCTAAATCTATGTAAAGAGGCGGAATTTTTAGTTAAAAACCTTCCCATGGGCTGGACATCGTGGCTCATGCCTGTAATCCCAGCACTTTGGGAGGCCAAGGGGGGTGAATCACTTGAAGTCAAGAGTTCAAGACCAGCCTGGTGAGCATGGCGAAACCCCATCTCTACTAAAAATACAAAAAAAGAACAAAGCTGGAGGCATCATGCTACCTGACTTCAAACTATACTACAAGGCTACAGTAACCAAAACAGCATGGTACTGGTACCAAAACAGATATAGATCAATGGAACAGAACAGAGCCCTCAGAAATAACACCGCATATCTACAACTATCTGATCTTTGACAAATCTGAGAAAAACAAGCAATGGGGAAAGGATTCCCTATTTAATAAATGGTGCTGGGAAAACTGGCTAGCCATGTGTAGAAAGCTGAAACTGGATTCCTTCCTTACACCTTATATGAAAATTAATTCAAGATGGGTTAAAGACTTACATGTTAGACCTAAAACCATAAAAACCCTAGAAGAAAACTTAGGCAATACCATTCAGGACATAGGCATGGGCAAGGACTTCATGTCTAAAACACCAAAAGCAATGGCAACAAAAGCCAAAATTGACAAATGGGATCTAATTAAACTAAAGAGCTTCTGCACAGCAGGAGAAACTACCATCAGAGTGAACAGGCAACCCACAAAATGGGAGAAAATTTTCACAACCTACTCATCTGACAAAGGGCTAATATCCAGAATCTACAATGAACTCAAACAAATTTACAAGAAAAAAACAAACAACCCCATCAAAAAGTGGGCGAAGGACATGAACAGACACTTCTCAAAAGAAGACATTTATGCAGCCAAAAAACACATGAAAAAATGCTCACCATCACTGGCCATCAGAGAAATGCAAATCAAAACCACAATGAGATACCATCTCACACCAGTTAGAATGGCAATCATTAAAAAGTCAGGAAACAACAGGTGCTGGAGAGGATGTGGAGAAATAGGAACACTTTTACACTGTTGGTGGGACTGTAAACTAGTTCAACCATTGTGGAAGTCAGTGTGGCGATTCCTCAGGGATCTAGAACTAGAAATACCATTTGACCCAGCCATCCCATTACTGGGTATATACCCAAAGGACTATAAATCATGCTGCTATAAAGACACATGCACACATATGTTTATTGCGGCACTATTCACAATAGCAAAGACTTGGAACCAACCCAAATGTCCAACAATGATAGACTGGATTAAGAAAATGTGGCACATGTACACCATGGAATACTATGCAGCCATAAAAAATGATGAGTTCATGTCCTTTGTAGGGACATGGATGAAATTGGAAATCATCATTCTCAGTAAACTATTGCAAGAACAAAAAACCAAACACCACATATTCTCACTCATAGGTGGGAATTGAACAGTGAGAACACATGGACACAGGAAGGGGAACATGACACTCTGGGGACTGTTGTGGGGTGGGGAGAGAGGGGAGGGATAGCATTGGGAGATATACCTAATGCTAGATGCTGAGTTAGTGGGTGCAGCACACCAGCATGTCACATGTATACATATGTAACTAACCTGCACATTGTGCACATGTACCCTAAAACTTAAAGTATGATAATAAAAAAATAAAAATAAAAAAGCAAAAAAAAAAAAAATTAGCCAGGTTTGGTGGCCTATGCCTGTAGTCCCAGCTACTCAGGAGGCTGAGGCAGGAAAATCACTTGAACCCAGGAGGCAGAGGCTGCAGTGAGATTGCACCACTGCACTCCAGCCTAGGCAACAGAGCAAGATTCTGACTCAAATAAAAAATAAAACAAAATTAAAAAATAAAAATAAAAATCTTCCCATGAGGAAAACTCCAGGCTCAGATTGCTTCATTAGTGAATTCTAATAAGAGGAATTATTTAAGGAATAAATAATACTAAATTTACATAATTTCTTCCAGAAAATTGAAGAAGAGAATACTTCCCACCTTTTTAAGTGGCCAGTTAACAAATAAGTACAGAGAGTAAGAAATAACTTGTTGGATAGTAAAATTAAATGCAGTATGTTTACCAACAATAGATTGTTAAATAAGTGACTATACGAGGCATACTTTGCAGCTGTTAAAGACGACATGGAGCCAAGTGTGCACTGACATGAATAGATTTCTGTGATATATTATCAAGTGAATAAGGCAAGTTGTAGAGTAAGATGTGTGGTATAATGTCATTTGGGTTTTTTATTTGTGGAGTGTGTGTGTGTGTGTGTGTGTGTGTGTGTGTGTGTGTACTCACAGGACCTCTGTGAGCTGGTATATACTAGTATGGCAGTAATGTTGTGAAGATACTGGAATAATTCTGTGTTGAGTTGTAAGTAGCTGTTGTCCTGAGTCTTCCAAGCATTTCTACCTGCCCTAATTGTCTTAGCTCCTTCTAGCCCCATGTCTTCCCAGCTACTAAAGAGATAATATTTAGCACAGCAAAATGTTCTCTAGAACTCTACTTCAGAGCTACATTCTTATAGATGAGGGTACATGCTTAACCAGTTGTTAAATATTTTTAACACAACTTTGTCTGTTTGTATATTACTATAAATATATATATATAAATGTCTGAAAATATTTACTATGTGTTAAAAATATTATTTTGGGACATGGTACTAGGTGAAGGTGGGATAAAAATATTCACTTTGAACAAAACTATGTAGTTTGATTAACAAAAAGCCTATGTTCCATTTGTGATCAATAAAATTTGAGGTATTAACACTTTACAATTCAAGACTTACAATAAAGCTACAGCATGGAATTGTTCTAAGAACAGATATATAAACTAATGGACTAGGAGGTATGTAAAAGAGACAGGACTGAAAGGCATTTTTTTTGGTCATTTAACTTTTAAAAGGTAGGCTAGGCTAAATTGTTTTAAAATTCTAGGTCCTAGAAGAACCTCTATTGCTGCAAACCCTACACTCAAAAAGTCCAATTCATTGGTCTGGTGTGAGTAATATAAAACTTTCTCTGTTATTTCTTTGGGTTGGTAGAATATTCTAGGACTAGACTTGAGAGCCTAGTGGCTCTCCTGCACAGAGAGCCAGCCACATATGCAGAGACATGGTAGGACTGACAAGAAGGGCAGGCTAAATAGCACTTCCTTCGTTTTTAGAGTTAGTGCCCCTGAAACTAAAACTTTGATCCAGTTGAGTAAACTGTGTTCTTCTCTGTTTTAGATGCAGCTGACCTACAGAAAGCAAAGGAACAAAATCAGAGACTGGATGAGGAAATTCTGGCTTTAAGAAATAGGGTTCGATCACTTGACTCAGAAAAAAAGGTGCTTGGTGAAATGGTAAGTTTAATTTACTTCTTAGAACGTATTTAAATGTGTCTACCATAACAATCAACAGCATAAGCAACACAGGTATACAACATGTAAGTTGGTCTTTAGCAGGGACCAATACTGGTGGCTGTAATATCTCAGGGGGATGCCATGCTTTGACCTAGATGCATTCTATCTGTACTTATATTTTATACATTTTAACTACCTATGCTAAACAGCAACATTGTTGCTATCATGTAAATCTAGGATCTTTTAAATAAGGAATTAGATAATAGTTTATAGTTAACACGTTCACCACATAGAAAATATTACTCTATTATATTGGATAAGTTTAAGATTATTAATACTAAATCTTTAACTGTTTATATTTTTAACCATTTCTTCTTAGCAATTTACTGATTTTTAAAAATATGTACTTCCAAATTTTAAATACATCTCTTCAATTTTAGTTTATATTCATTAAATAATCATATATCTAATATCTAAGAAAATACCTGGCATAATACTAGGTGCTTTAGAAATTTTTTTGCAAGAGTGACTAAAGACCCATCAGGATGGCTAATATCAAAACAACAGAGAATAACAAATGTTGATGTGGAAAAATTGGAACCCTTTTGCATTGCTGGTGAGAATCTAAAGTAGTGCAGCCACCATGGAAAACAGTTACTCTAAAAGTTAAATATAGAATCACCATGTGGTCTGACAATTCCACTTCTGGATATATGCCCCAGAGAATTGAAAACAGAGACTCATACATAGATTTGTACATCCATATTCATAGTAGCATTATTCACAATAGCCAGAAGTTGGAAGCAGCTCAGATGCTCGTTGATAGAGGAACAGATAAGCAAAATGTGGTATAGCCATACAATGGAATATTATTCAGCATTAAAAAGGAAAGAAATTCATACACATGCTGCAACATGAATGAACATTGAAGACATTATTCTAAATGAAATAATACAGTCACAAAAGGACAAATAATATGTGATTACACTTATATGGCATGCTTAGAGTAGTGAAAGTCATAGAGACAGAAAGTATTAATAGAATGGTCATTGCCAGTGGCTGGGGAGAGGGAGTAACGGGAGTTATTGTTTAATGGGTATAGAGTTTCAGTGCAAGATGAAGAGTTCTGGAGATGGATGGTGGTGATGGTTGCACAACAGTGTGCCTGACAATGTACTTAATAATATGCTTAATGATGCTTAATGCCACTGAACTGTACACTTAAAAATGGCTAACATGGTAAATTTTGTTATGTGTATTTTACCACAATAAAAATGCAATCATAAAAAGAATGAATAAAAAGTGAAGATTGGTAAGTTGTCTAAGTCTTCATAAATTTATGTATCTAATACATTTATATATTTAATACATGTGTGTATACGTGAAAAAGTTCAGGTAGGGTACATTCCAAGCAGTGTTATTTCTGGAAAGGGAGGACCAGTTGTGATATGAAGGAAAATACCATTTTTTATTCTGTATACCTATGTGTTGAAGATTTACAAGGAGAATGTATTTATATATTACTTGTATAATTAAAAAACAAAACAATAATTTATCCAAACAAAAATTGAGAAGTCTACAAGGTGTTTACTTTTGTATTTAAGGTTGAAAGACTTAAAGGAGAGGTGTGTGAATCTCAAGAGAATAAGCAACTTGGAAACCACTCCCCTGGAAAAACTGTGGGTGGTGAACAGAGAGAACAGGTATTGTATTTTAAAGTTCTGTTCTTTCTGATCTCTAATTTTTGAGTTGCATTTTTACAGAGTATACTAGAGTGATTGGTGCTAATCATTTGCTACTCTTTCTTATTGGGCTGTCTTTTTCTAATGCTCAGCTAATTAGAGTGGAAGAGGAAAGAGGGCTACAGAGGATGTGTTTCTGTTTACTTCTTCCTCATAGAGAACAATTAATTTGGAGAATATAGTAGATTGTTTCTCTGAAGAGAAAAGAATCTTATAAAGATACAATTTGAGCATATCATGGAGAACTAATAAGATGTAGGCTCCAGTGTGTACAGTGTCTACTATATTCAGCATGATCAGCCTCTGAAGTGGTGAGCAAAGCAATCAAACCCAAGACAGACTGATACAAGTGCCAGGGTATATCTAGTAAATAGTGGTTTTAATTTGCCTTTTGAGGGTGTCTAATGGCCATGAATATGTTTTGGCCATTTATATATGTTCTTTTGTGAAGCATCTGTTCAAATCTTTTATACATTTTTAATGGAGTGGTCTGCATTCTTAAAAAATTTATTTTATTTTTATTATTATATTTTTTTTAGAGATAGGTTTTCACTCTGTTGCCCAGGCTGGAGTACAGGGGTGCAGTCCTGGCTCGCTGCAGCCTCAACCTTCCAGGCCCAAGCCATCCTCCTGCTCCAGCCTCTCAAGTAGCTGGGACTATAGGCATGCAGCACCACACTCAACTAATTTTAAAAAATCTTTTTTGTAGAGATGAGGTCTCACTATGTTGTCCAGGCCAGTCTCAAACTCCTGGCCTCAGGTAATCTTCTTGCCTCCCAAAGTGCTGGGATTACAGGCATGTGCCACTGTTTCTGGCTTGTATTCTTTTTTTTTTTTAAGTTTTTAAACTTTTTATTTGCGTATTTAAAATATTGTGCATTCCAATAATTAAAATCATTTGAACAAAAAAAATGGCACTCTGATTAAACCGCATTACAGCCTGCAGGACACCTTGGGCCAGCTTGGTTTTACTCTAGATTTCACTGTCGTCCCACCCCACTTCTTCTACCCCAGAAGGTTGTTCCTTAACCAACATGCAAGTTCTTTCCTTCCCTGCCAGCCAGATAGACAGATGGGAGAGACAGGCACAGCCTTCGTTGTCAGTAGTTCTTTGATGTGAAAGGGGCAGCACAGTCATTTAAACTTGATCCAACCTCTTTGCATCTTACAAAGTTAAACAGCTAAAAGAAGTAAAATAAGAAGGCAATGCTTGTGGAACGTACAGTGCATATTGGCGGTGCACGCCTCATTATGATTCGCCTGCTTGCTTCTCCTGTTCAATCGTTTCTTTGGAAGGCAGTGGATTTTTCTCTTGCGTCTCTGTCTTCTTCAGTTTCGACTTATCGAATTTCTCCATCTCAGCCATATCGGGTTTGTCAGACATAGTTGCCGAGGAAAAGCGGAGTGAGGTGCGTGAGAACGAGCGAAGTCTGGTCTGCGCAGTGGCCACCACCGAGTTCTCTCTTTTTTTTTTTTGAGACAGAGTCTCGCTCTGTCGCCCAGGCTAGAGTGCAGTGGCGTGATGTCGGCTCACTGTAAGCTCCGCCTCCCGGGTTCACACCATTCTCTTGCCTCAGCTTCCCGAGTAGCTGGGACTACAGGCACCCGCCACCACGCCCGGCTAATTTTTTGTATTTTTAGTAGAGACAGGGTTTCACCGTGTTAGCCAGGATGGTCTCAATCTCCTGACCTCGTGATCCACCCGCCTCAGCCTCCCAAAGTGCTGGGATTACAGGTGAAAGCCACCGTGCCCAGCCTCTGGCTTGTATTCTTTCTTTATATTGAGTTGTAGAAGTAGTTTTGTTTTGTTTTTTTACATATTAGAGATGATGTCTCACCATGTTGCCCAAGCTCTCAAACACCTGGCCTGAAGTGATTCTCCATCTTTGGCTTCTTAAAGTGCTGGGATTACATGCATAAGCCGCTACACCTGGCCAAGAGTTCTTTATATATTTTCAATACCAGTCCTTTGTTTTAGATATATGTATTATAAATCTTTTCTTATTCTATGACATGTCTTTCATTTTCTTAATAGTGTTTTATAAAGAGTAGAAGTTTTAAAATTTTGATGGAGGTGAATTCATCAATGTTTTCTTTTATAATTTTGTGATAGGACACAAAAAGCCTATTTAAGAAATCTTTATCTACTCTAAGGTCACAAAATATGTTTCTTATACTTTCTTCTAAATTTTTTATAGTTTTAGTTGCTACATTTAGGTTTATTATCTACTGCAGGTAATTTTTGTATATACTGTGAGGTAAAATTGAGAGGTTCATTCATTTTTAGTGTATATCCAGTTATTCCAGAAAGATTTGGTAAAAAGAGTTATTTCCTTATGGATTAAGGTTGGTGCCTTTATTAAAAACATTTATAAAGATCCACTTCTGGTCTCTGTATTCCATTCTGTTAACCCATGTGTTTATTCTTAGAACAATTCCATTCTGTAACTTTATTGTAAGTCTTGAAATTATAAGGTGTAACACCTTCTTCTCTCAACTCATCAAAGTCATTCTGTGTCCATCTTTGTTCCATTGCTGGTGAGGAGCTGTGTTCCTTTGGAGGAGAAGAGGTGCTCTGATTTTTAGAATTTTCAGCTTTTCTGCTCTGGTTTCTCCCCATCTTTGTGGTTTTATCTACCTTTGGTCTTTGATGATGGTGATGTACAGATGGGGTTTTGGTGTGGATGTCCTTTCTGTTTGTTAGTTTTCCTTCTAACAGTCAGGACCCTCAGCTGCAGGTCTCTTGGAGTTTGCTGGAGGTCCACTCCAGACCCTGTTTGTCTGGGTATCACCAGCAGAGGCTGCAGAACAGCAAATATTGCAGAACAGCAAATGTTGCTGCCTGATCCTTCCTCTGGAAGCTTTGTCTCAGAGGGGCACCCGGCCATATGAGGTGTCAGTCTGCCCCTACTGAGAGGTGCCTCCCAGTTAGGCTACTCAGGTGTCAGGGACCCAATTGAGGAGGCAGTCTGTCTGTTCTCAGATCTCAAACTCCGTGCTGGGAGAACCACTACTCTCTTCAAAGCTGTCAGACAGGGACGTTTAAGTCTGCAGAAGTTTCTGCTGCCTTTTTTGTTCAGCTATGCCCTGCCCCCAGAGGTGGAGTCTACAGAGGCAGGCAGGCCTCCTTGAGCTGCGGTGGGCTTCACCCAGTTTGAGCTTCCCGGCTTCTTTGTTTACCTACTCAAGCCTCAGCAATGGTGGGCACCCCTCCCCAAGCCTCACTGCTGCCTTGCAGTTCGATCTCAGACTGCTGTGCTAGCAGTGAGCAAGGCTCCATGGGCGTGGGACCCTCCGAGCCGGGCGTGGGACCCTCCGAGCCATGCGTGGGATATAATCTCCTGGTGTGCCATTTGCTAAGACCATTGGAAAAGCACAGTATTAGGGTGGGAGTGTCCCAATTTTCCAGGTACCGTCTGTCATGGCTTCCCTTGGCTAGGAAAGGGAATTCCCTGACCCCTTGCTCTTCCCGGGTGAGAAGATGCCCCGCCCTGCTTCGGCTCGTGCTCCGTGGGCTGCACCCACTGTCTGAGAAGCCCCAGTAAGATGAACCCAGTACCTCAGTTGGAAATGCAGAAATCACCCATCTTCTGCGTCGCTCATGCTGGGAGCTGTAGACTGGAGCTGTTCCTATTCGGCCATCTTGGAACCTCCCTCGTGAATTCTTGTCAGGAAATTTTTATCCCCCAAGAGAGAAACTCTATCCATTATCCATTAGTATCCATTTCTTATTTTTCTACCTGCCCCCTCCCCCCAGCCTCTGGCAACCACTAAAGTACTTTCTGCCTTTGAATTTGGCTATCTTGTACATTTTACATAAGTGGAACCATACAATATGTGGACATTTGTGTCTGCCTTCTTTCACTTAGCATAATGTTTTCAAAGTTCATATTGTAGTATGAATTAGTACTTTATCCCTTTCTGTGGCTGACTATTTTATTGTATGGATTTTCTTTTTGAGACAGGGTCTCACTCTGTCACCCAGGCTGGAGTGCATGCTCACTGCAGCCTTGACCTTCCAGGCTCAAGCAATTTTCCCACCTCAGCCTCCTGAGTAGCTAGGACTATAAATGCGCACCACCACACTCAACTAATTTTTGTGATTTTTTAGTAAAGACAAGGTCTGGCTATGTCACCCAGGCTAGTTTCAAACTCCTGAGCTCAAGCAATCATTCCACTTGGCCTCCCAAAATGCTGGGATTATAGACATGAGCCAGTACACCCCACCCTTAGTGAAGTGGCATTGTTGTCAGGGGTAAATACCTGGGGTTCGTCATCTTACACTAAGAAGATTAAAGACAGAGACACACGTGGGTGGGCTAAGGAGTGGAAAGTTTAATAGGCAGAGGAAAAGAGAGAGGAGAGCAGCTTTCTCTTTTGTGAGAGAGAGGGGCATCCAAAAGATAAAAGCTGGCCTGCAGCAGACTGCATCAGATTTTATAGGCAAGCTTGAGGAGGCAGTGTCTGATTTATGTAGGGCCTACAGATTGGTTCAACTAGGTGTGACGTTTACATAGCATGTGGGGAAGGCTTGTCACCCCACCCTAATCTTAATATGCAAATGGGCTTTCTACTTGGCCAGCGCCATCTTGTCTGCTCCATACTGTACACGTGGCTGGCAAAGAGAAGAGAAGATGGAGCTGCCATTTTGATCATGCCTAGTCCCAGGTAGCCTTTTCCTATTGGCACAACTGCTGGCATTCACCTTTGCAAGCTTCCAGCTTATTTGTCTATGTCTGCAGCTCAATTTTACAGGCTGCTCTTTGTTAGAGAAGAAAATGATTTGGGGGCTGCTTTTCATTAAAATTAAAACCTTAATGAGGACTTCCTTACCCTCACTATCTGCCTAAATAATTTCTTTTTAACTCCTATCTTATTCCCCCCTCAGGAGTGGTAACCCTAACTGTGGAGACCAGCTCAGTCAGGGAGACCCTCACCCAGTGGCGCTAGAGGAATTAAAGACACACACACAGAAATATAGAGGTGTGAAGTGGGAAAGCAGGGGTCTCACAGCCTTCAGAGCTGAGAGCCCCGAACAGAGATTTACCCACATATTTATTAACAGCAAGCCAGTCATTAGCATTGTTTCTACAGATATTAAATTAACTAAAAGTATCCCTTATGGGAAACGAAGGGATGGGCTAAATTAAAGGAATAGGTTGGGCTAGTTAACTGCAGCAGGAGCATGTCCTTAAGGCACAGATCGCTCATGCTATTGTTTGTGGCTTAAGAATGCCTTTAAGCGGTTTTCCGCCCTGGGTGGGCCAAAACATGAGGGCATGTTCCTTGCCCTCATTCCGGTAAGCCCACCACCTTCCAGCGTGGGCATTATGGCCATGATGAACATGTCACAGTGCAGCAGAGATTTTGTTTATGGTCAGTTTTGGGGCCAGATTTCAGGGGGCTTGTTCCCAACACCTGTTATCAAGGGGTTTTAGGTGATGACTCTTTCTCACTACTTTCTGCAGAAAAGGGGTGCCCTGTGGAGAACACCAGCTGGGGCTTCTCTTAGGGTCCTCAGAAGAAAGGCATGTCGATGCATGGTTCTGTCTGCAGCACCATTTGGAGTTTGATTGCTATCTGCCATTCCAATGGGTTGTAATACTCATTTGCCTCCACCAGATGCTGCTGAAATGTTAATAGTGTTAATATAAAAGTAACATTAACAAATGTTAATAATGTTAGTATAAAAGGATAAGTGGCATTGGATTTGGGTGGCTAGAGTAACTAGTGTTAACCTTGGCTAAATCTTTCCTGCAATTATTAATTCTTTTGTGACTTCCACAGACCGTTTATGACATGTTTAAACTTTCTGACTTTTCCTAAACATCCCTCTTTTTAAACAAGCAGTTATTCTCTTCAGGATAAAATTTTACCATACAAGATCCTTTCTTATATAAAATCTATTTTCTTTATAAACTTCTTTGCATAGCTAGGGTGTGACATATTACCAAACCCAATAAAAAGTCCTGGTGGACTCAGCAATAGTGAAACCTTCATGTTTACCTCTTGTCAGTAGCTATTATTCCTGCTATAAGGATAATAATTAAGCAAAATACTACAGCAGTGGAAACTCTCTGTCCAATATTTCAGTTAGAAGGTGCTACCATGTATAACTCTACCACAAATAGTAGAGTGTGTGTAGCGATTCCCACAAGGGTGGTGTAGTAGATCATTTCCATCTAAAATTTTAGTTGCCAAGATATAGAATTTCCCTTTTGGAAGGTCTATGAAGTTCCTTGGTTTTATTTTCCTAAAGAAATTTCTGCGTTATGAGCAACCTACTCACTTTTATTACATGGCAGGATTTGCAGGATAATTGGCCAGAACTATCTGGCCAATTATTTGCAGGATAATTGATCCAGATTTTTACATTACCCATACATTTTTCTTTTTCCCAAGCTGCAGGAAATCATTACTTGATTCACAAGAATAAGCAGGGCTAGCCTAAAATGTAGGGAAAAAAAACTTAAAAATAACCAATGAAACTAGAATTTAATGACAAATGTATAAGTTTTGGAGCATAATTTTTTTCTCTCTAGTCCTCATTTTCAGTAAAAACAAATTATGATAGGACCATGTTGTTTGTAGAATAAAGTTTAGTCATATACTTGGCCTGATTATTTGCATAAAGTGCAACAAGAATAATTATTTCTACATAGGCCTTTTGGATTGGATTTGATGAAACTCTGTTCCAGGAGGAATCTCAAATAATACCTTTTAAAGCCAAGTCCAGCCATGGGTTTTTATCCTTAAATACCTGTGAGTTGGGTGATCCTTTCCTCTTAAGTTCCTAAGATAAGCTTGGAGCACCTGGACCTGTTAGAAAGTGACATTTTTTACTGACCATAGGTCAGGAATCTGCCTGGGGGACTGTGTAGGCAACAATATGAGGCTAGTCTTCCCCAAAGGGCTTTTATTGGCTCTTCAAGTCAAGCTTGATTCCTTTAGAAGAAATACAGCCTTCCAGTCAAAGTCTTGATAAAGACAACCAGTTTCTCCAATTGTATTCTGTTGAAAAAGAAAATGGATTCTTATTGTACTGATGCAAATAACTATATTGCCATAAGTTAAGAATACGTTTCCAAATTTTAGAGGAACCAGGCAATGAGAAAGAAGTATGCCTTAAATTTTATTCACAAGAGTATACCTTACTTAATTGTTAAAAGCTGTAGATAGCTTAAAATAAAAGTTTCCTTGACACTGAAGGACAAAATAAGGATGAGCAATGTTTCAAGCAAAAAGTTAAAAAAGATTATGTCAGACTTCTTTTAGTGTAGTTCATGCAGTTATCTCCTGTTTGATATTCATGAACATTTCAGCTCCTCATGAATCCTGTGTGTTTTTTCTCTATTCCAATGTTAGAAACCTGCATTTGAGAACACCTGTAAAAGTCCTATAGCTTGATTATAAACTATCTTTTGAAAAGGAACAAAGCAATACAACAATTGCCTGCAGATGACAAAATTTCCAGCATAGTTACAGTTAAAAACACGACTGACAAAGAGATTTGGTTATCTTTGTGGTTTACAATAACTTCAATCTTAATTATGATTAATAGCATATACATAGACATTAGAATTTTAGAAATCCCATACAATTTTGGAACATGTATTAGTATTGTTCAACAAAATATAACCTAAAGAAGATTGGACATCATTTTAGCAATTCCATGTAATTAAATATGTCAAATAATCCTGTTTACCTCTTCTTTGGATGGTTTAGAGACCCTCTGAACCATCCAGAAAGCCAGGCATCAGGAGAGACAATTTTGAAACTTGAAGTTTGATTTTTGGAAGCCTGATAAATATGTTAGAGGTTTAAAACACTTGATATTATGAAATGGAAGTCTAGATTACCATAAATTATTTTGCCAAAATGATAAGTCAAAAAGCAAAAATCTTTCATTAACCTTTACTATTACGTGAAAATCCTGTTCAAAGCCAAAATTTATCCTTGCATTGGTTTAATGTTAACCCCATTTTTTTTAGATGGAATTTTGCTCTTGTTGCCCAGGCTGGAGTGCAATGGTGCAATCTCAGCTCACTGCAACCTCTGCCTCTCAGATTCGAGTGATTCTCCTGCCTCAGCCTCCCAAGTAGTTGGGATTACTGGTATGTGCCACCACACCTGGGTAATTTTTGTATTTTTAGTAGAGACGGGGTTTCACCGTGTTGTTCAGGCTGGTCTCTAACTCCTGACCTCAGGTGATCCATCCGCCTTGGCCTCCCAGAGTGCTGGGATTACAGACATGAGCCACCGTGCCCAGCCTCAATTTTTTAATGAAACCTCATAGACAATACCATCTAATCTTAACCAATTTGACCATGAGGTGAAATCTTTGCAAACCTTTTGTAACCCTTTTGCTGAAATGCGAATTAGTGTCTTAAGACAACTTTGCTGTGCTTTTATTTCAATGCTCAATTTATGAAAAAATGATATAATACCCTTTTGAATTTAGTTAAGGTTTACACATGGGATTTTTGCCAGATTAATTTTTATAATCTTTCCATAACTTGCTTAAACCTTCAGCTTTATCTTATCTAATTTAAGACAATTCTTTATGACTAGGTAAAATTTACATTTCCATACTTTCTTATAATCTCTTACTAAAAAACATATTTTACTGTTTTTACACACCTTGCATGTAAATCTATTTTTAGTAGTCAAAATTACATATTATGATAGTAACTCATAGCAATTTTTAACTTTAATGTGAAACCTGGTAAGTTGTTTTGATTATGTACTAGGCACAGAGAAAATCACTTACTTTTTCCAGCATAGTTAGGGGGTTGTTAATTTTGTATGTCCCCAGCCCTTACCAAATTGTGAAGCAGGTGGTTTACAACCTTGAAACCTTTAGCAAACCTAGTATTTGACTTACATGATTTAGATCACCTGTTTATATTGATAACACTTGTATTTTACCAATAATCTTGAAGACTTTTTTATTTCTTAAAAATTAAAGTCACATTAACTAAGAAGCATTACAGCTTTTATCTTTCCTTTAAAATATTTAAGCATTTATTTTTCTCTAAGACAATTAATTAGAGCTCTTTTTATAGATATTACACACAACACATATATAGCTACCCAGACAGAAGATTTAGCACTTGTAAAATTTTTCATTTGCTAGTTTCTTAATTGGATTACTGGCTTCAGGGTGGAGACCTTGGAGGAACACGACTAGGAAAGCATGCATTTTTATGGCTGAATAAGCTGGCACAGCTGAAGGCAAAGACAGATCCTCAAAATAAAGGGTGCCATTTTATAGTGGATCCTGGATTCCCAAAAGGAGGGAAATACTATGGGGAGAAGACAGTGTAGTGCTTCTACCACGCATCTCATTGCAAGGCAACCCAAAGGCAATCAGCCCATTTTGTAATCAGCCCACTCCCCATGGGAGCCTTATCCCTTAATTTGGGGTGGGGATGTTTCCAAATCTTCCGGGTAGCCAACAGCATGCTTCTCTGATCCAGATGTGCAAAGAAGTAAGTATCCCTCCATAACTTCTATTAGCCATCCCTTAAGGTATATTTTTTACCTAGTTATTACACAAAGCCCTC
This sequence comes from Homo sapiens, assembly GCF_000001405.40. Taxonomy (NCBI): domain Eukaryota; kingdom Metazoa; phylum Chordata; class Mammalia; order Primates; family Hominidae; genus Homo; species Homo sapiens. The sequence goes on from NC_000001.11 coordinate 42,508,522, forward strand.
TCATAATGCAAAGTAATTTGATAGCCCCAAAACTTAAAACCATCAGATAACACAATGCGAAACAGAACAGCACCTTTGATTTTGAGAGAGATGTAGCTGCTTTTAATTCCTGGGGTTTCATGAGGGAAACAGAGGGTGTGTACGTGTGTGTGTGTATGTGTTTTCCCAAAACAGGGTCTGTGGCACCTCCTCTGTTTTTCCCAAGAAGTCCCAGACTACCAGAAGTTATCTTAGGGCCTCTTATGTGTGCATTAAGAGTGGCAAGACAAAAAAAATGGAGAAAAATAGTTCAGTTGACTGAAGAAAAAAGCCCTTTTTCAAAAAAACAGGCTCCAAGAAGAGAAAAGCATAAAGGTTTTTAAAATATACCCTTGCTTGGATATCCGCTTTTAATCAAACTGAGCACTCTTTAAGAAAATCCTTTTAAGTCCCTTGTTACTTGACTTTAGCCACACCTAGCAGTTAAGTTTTTCAGCTTTTGAACTTTACAAAAAGTAACCTCACAGGTGAAACCAACCAGCCTAAATTAGGTTATGACTTAGCTGCGAGTGTATGAGGTATTTTCAAAGGGGTGGTAAGCAGCTTTTGAAACCTTCATTGCAAAACTGTGACTGAGACAGTGAAAGAGTTTTGACCCAACCAACTCCATCTTGCTTCCAGCCCCAAAGCTGCCCTTCCCCATCCCTAGACATAGGCTGAACCAACTCTGGAAGGAGTGTGATTTACAGTTTATAGTCTAAAACAAAGATGATAACCATCCCTCTTTCCTGGGGAGCAGACCAAGAAACTAGTCACAAGATTAGAAACCATTGCTTGGGAGCCATGCAGCTGGAGGCTACAAGATTTTGACTCTCTCTAAACTGCTCTCAAGGTCAGTGCTTAAGATATTTTGCAAACCCCGCCCTTGATAGATCAACTAGCACCACCCAGATCGATAAAATGGCTTATCTGAGTTTGAGACCCCCACCCAGGAACTGACTTAGCACAGAAGACAGTCACCATTTTACAATGGTGGGGACTAAAACAAAGTATTGCCATGTGGTTACAGGTCATGTTCCGAAGGACATAAAACAAGAAGAGGCCTGTAGCAAAGTTTGTTACTGAACACTTTGTTGAGCTGGCTTGATCAACAGGCTTATGAGGTCCTGGGCCTGTATCCTAACCTAAGGTACCCTTTCTTTTAACAGAATCATGCAGAAAGACACACAATGCACACTAGACTGGCTGCAACTTAAGACCAACCTCACAAATCCTCTTTCATTAATTAAAACTTAACAGAGAATATAAACAGTGATTCTTATTATTCATTTTACCAGTTTGCACAGAGAGAGAGAAGCCAAAAGCCCACTGGTTAAAAAAAAAACCGTAAAACTTTTACCCTTTTGCCAGTATGTCAAGCTTCTGGGTTCCCTTCCTCCAAGCTCAACTCTAAGCAAAGCATTTTAAGGTTTGGGGAAATTAACTTTTCCCAGTTTGGAGGAACATTATAAACCATGAAAAAAGGAAGGAAAAATACCATAGAAAAGTCTCGGGGTTTGTGTTGTAGAATTGGAGGAGCTGACAATGTAGATGGTGGGCAGGAAGAACCAGGGCATCTGGAAGTTGCATTTGAGGGTTTCAATTAGGGTTGTCAATAAGTACTGCCTCTCTTCCAATTGGGAATGATGATTCCCCTGTTTCTTTACTCTCTCTATTTTCTCTTTTCCTTTTGACCTACCATAGGAGACAGATTGCTCATCTCCAAATTTCTCTGCTGTCTGCGGAGCTGCCTGGTTTTCAACCTTGGTTAGGGTTTGGCTTAGGAATAGCATAATATCCCTTTGTGAGAGGTTAAACACTTGAGTTAAATTTTGGAGGCCAGGTGTGGTGGCTCATGCCTGTAATCCCAGCACTTTGGGGGGCCAAGGTGGGCAGATCACGAGGTCAGGAGATCAAGACCATCCTTGCCAATATGGTGAAAACCCGTCTTTACTAAAAATACAATAATTAGCTGGATGTGGTGGCACACGCCTGTGGTCCCAGCTACTTGGGAGGCTGAGGCAGGAGAATCACTTGAACCTGGGAAGTGGAGGTTGCAGTGAGGTGAGATCGCGCCACTGCACTCCAGCCTGGGTGAGAGAGCAAGACTCCGTTTCAAAAAAAAAAAAAAATGTGGAAAGCTTCTATATACTTATCAGCATCGTCAGAAAATTGGCCTAAGTCTCCCTTTATTTGCCTAAGGTCCTGCAATGAGAAGGGAACTTGAGGGGGGCCCCAAATAAGGGGGATCCTCAGATGGTTTCCCTGGAAGTTGCTTCTCTAATTTGGGGGAATCATTCTCTGTAGGTCGCCTGATATGACTGCTATAAGGGCTGGGTTGATTGTGCAACTCTTGTGAAGATCTAGTAAAAAGGCCATGCTCTTGTGTAAAAGAAAATGAGCCACTTTTTCTTCAAAGTCTCAGGGTCAAAGGAGTCCTTGTGCTTCAGAAAGCACTACAGAGAGGTGCAAGCTGAAGATGGTCTGTTACCCATTTAGAAAGAGAAGCGAGAAAAAGGCGTCCCTTTAATCCTATTCCTTTCAGTGTGACCCAGGGTGGAGGGGAAGACAGTGAGGGCATCCCCCTTACTGTTTTCCCTCCTTGGTTCCTGGGTCCCAGCACCTTGTTAAATGTGCCACTCATGGTTGCGGGCATGACCCCCAGTTGTGGAACCAGAGGAACTAAGCAACTGGGATTAGTCACGATTACCCATGTGACTCTAGTCCTCCACTTGTGATTTCCCTTTGACTTCCTAGACTTATGTGATCTGCATCCTCCCTCAAAGATGGATCTCAGGAAATACTATGTAATAGTTGCATTTGGACAAGGCCCCTTTAATGGAGAAAGGGTACTAGATTGAACTCTATATCCTACTATCATGGCCCATGCTAAAGCGTTTCCCCTTAGAGAATGGTTCCAGTTAACTTCTGGACCTAAAATTCCCTTACTATTTAAGTACTGTTCTAATTGGAGGTAGAATAGGTGCCTTAAAAGAACGTAGGGACCAAATGGCATTTTTCCTGCCGATGGGACAGTGTCAAGACTAAAATTTGGTGCCAGAGGCCATTTGTGGCCAATTAGGACTCCTAATTGTCAAAAGCAGAGTTTTCCCATTTACAGAAGGGGCATAGAGCCTGATTTTTAGTATATTGGTGCAAAAAGGGAGGAGAATTGGGAGGAGAATTTGGCAAAGGGACGACATTGTGCCTCATGGAGAGGATTTTTATTCCTCTAGGTGGCGCTATTGACCTTGAAATGCCATGTGCTCTCCAGACTAAGGGCAGAGAGTGACCTGTCTGAGACCAGCTTGGTCGTGGAGACCCTAACCCAGCAGTGCTAGAGGAATTAAAGACACACACAGAAATATAGAGTGTGAAGTGGGAAATCAGGTGTCTCACAGCCTTCAGAGCTGACAGCCTTGAACAGAGATTTACCCACATATTTATTGACAGTAAGCCAGTGATAAACATTGTTTCTATAGATTGTAGATTAACTAAAAGTATTCCTTACGGGAAACAAAGGGATGGGCCGAAATAAAGGGATGGGCTCTGGCTAGTTATCTGCAGCATGAACATGTCCTCAAGGCACAGATCGCTCATGCTATTGTTTGTGGTTTAAGAACACCTTAAGTGGTTTTCCACCCTGGGTGGGCCAGGTGTTCCTTGCCCTCATTCTGGTAAACCGACAACCTTCCAGTGTGGGCGTCAAGGGCATCATGAGCATGTCACAGTGCTGCTCAAAGAGATTTTGTTTATGGCCAGTTTTGGGGCCAGTTTATGGCCAGATTTGGGGGCCCATTCCCAACAGACCTGGAAATGCCATATGCTTTCCTGACCAAGGGCAGAGAGTGACCTGGAAATGCCATGTGCTCTCCAGACTAAGGGCAGGGAGTGACCTCACTGTGGCGGGTGGGGGGAGACCCTCTGATCCTAGAAAATCACAACAGCATTCCCCTGAGTTATATCCTTTGTTACTATAGAATTTCCTGATCTTGCCTAACAGGATCACTTCCCTGAGCTGTAAAACTTCCCGCATATTGCACATAGAGAGAGGATAGGAGACATGGCAACCATGGATAGAAAAGAAGGAAATTTTGCAACAGGATAGCTGGAGATCCTTTTTGCCAACACCCAGTCAAGCAGTCAGAGGCTGGGATTAGTCCAGAAGCCTTTGGATAATAGCAGGTTGTTGCCCTGACCAGAAATCCTCAGTTGTTTCAGGACCTCACTCAGCCCCATGCGGTGGCTAGGCCCAACATGAAAAGTAACTCATTCAAACATGGCCAACATGCCCAGCAACCCGTGGTTTCTGGGGGATTCTCCATGTTCTCCTCAGTACACCTCACCCCTGTGTCTTGTAAGGCTGGCAGCCACGCTAACCGTGTTTTTAAATGGTTGATGGGAGCCCAGTATTTTTTATTTAGTTTGATTTGATTCTAAAATGGAGGCCAAGAACCTCAAAATTAAAGGACAGATTTGAGATTTGCTCCCATTCTTACCACTCTGATGGTTATACCTTCTGTTCCTGTTCTGATCCTGGACAAGCCACCAAGGGAAGTAGCATCATTGTCTGGGGAAATATCCAGGGTTCATTGTCTCATGCCAAGAAGATTAAGGACATGGACATACATGGGTGGGTTAAGGAGGGGAAAGTTTAATAGGCAGAAGAAAGGAGAGAGGAGAGCAGCTCTCTCTTGTGAGAGAGAGGGGCATCTGAAAGGGAAAAGCTGACCTGCAGCAGACTGCAGCAGATTTTATAGGCAGGATTGAGGAGGCAGTGTCTGATTTATGTAGGGCCAACAGATTGTCCTGACCAGGTATAATATTTACATAGTGTGTGGGGAAGGTTTGTCACCCCACCCTGATCTTAATATGCAAATGGGTTTTCTACTTGGCCAGCGCCATCTTGTCTGCTCCTTACTGTATATGTGGCTGGCAAAGAGAAGGGAAGATGGAGCCGCCATTTTGATCATGCCTAGTCCCAGGTAGCCTTTTCCTATTGGCACAACTGCCGGCATTCACCTGTGCAAGTTTTCAGTTTGCTTGTCTATGTCTGCAGCTCAATTTTACAGACTGCTCTTTGTTAGAAAAGAAAATGATTTTGGGGGTGCTTTTCATGAAAAGTAAAACCTTAATGAGGACTTCCTTACCCTCAAAATCTTCCTAAATAATTTCTTTTTAACTCCTATATCATTAGTGTATTTTATGTCGCTATAAAGGAGTACCCGAGGCTGGTTAATTTATAAAGACGAGGTTTATTTTGGCTTACAGTTCTGCAAGCTGTACAAGAAGCATAATGATGGCATCTGCTTCTGGTGAGGGCCTTAGGAAGCTTACAGTCATGGCTGAAGGCAAAGAAGTAGTAGGTCTGTCTCATGGTGAGAGAGGGGGAAGGGCTTAGCCTCTTTTTAACAACCATATCTCATGTGAACTTATTACTGTGGGGAGGGTACTAAGCCATTCATGAAGGATTCCCCCTCATGATCAAAATGCCTCCCACTAATGCCCCACCTCCAACATTGGAGATCACATTTCAACATGAGATTTGGTGAGGACAAATATCCAAACTATATCAGATATACATCACATTTTGTTTATTTATTCATCAATTGGACATTTGATAGTTTCTACTTTGTGATTATTATGAATAATTCTGTTATGAATGTTCATTTATAAGTTTTTGTATGGACATATGTTTTCATGTCTCTTGGGGATATTCCTAGAAGTGGAATTATTGGGTCATATGCTAACTCTACATTTAACCTTCTGAGGAACTACCAGACTGTTTTCCAATGAAGATGTACTATTTTACATCTCATCAGCAGTGTATGAGGGTTGCAGTTTCTCCATATCTTCTCCAACACTTATCCTTCTTTTTTATTATAACCATCCTAGCTGGTGTGAAGTAGTGTCTCAATGTGGTTTTGATTTATATTTCCTGAATGACTAATGATACTGAGTATCTGCCTTTTCAAGTGCTTGTTAGCCATTTGCATATCTTCTTTGGTGAAAATTTTTTCAAATCCTTTACCAATTTTAATGGAGTTATTTATTCTTTTTGTTGAGTCTCAGGAGCTCTTTATATATTTTGTATATTAGTCTCTTATGTGTTTTGTTTTCGTTTTTGTTTTTGAGATGGAGTCATGCTCTGTCGCCCAGGCTGGAGTGCAATGGCGAGATCTCAGCTCACTGCAACCTCAGCCTACCAGGTTCAAGTGATTCTCCTGCCTCACCCTCCCAAGTAGCTGAGATTATAGGCACCTGCCATCATACCCAGCTAATTTTTGTATTTTTGTATAGATGGGGTTTCACCATGTTGGCCAGGCTGGTCTTGAACTCCTGACCTCAGGTGATCCACACACCTTGGCCTCCCAAAGTGCTGGGATTACAGGCATAAGCCACTGTGCTTGGCCTCTTAGGTGTTGAATTGTGTCCTGTACCCTGAAATATATTGAAGTCCTAACCCCCAGGACCTGTAAATGTGACATTATTTGGAAATAGTACTTTTGAAGAAGTAATCAAATTAAGATGAGTTAATTAGGGTGGGCCTTAATCCAATATGACTGGTACAATTATAACAAGAAGAAATGCCATGTGAAGACAGTCATACACAGAGAGAATGCCATGTGATTACAGAGGCAGAGACTGGAATGATGCAGCTGCAAGCCAAAAAAAAAAAAACAAGAATAAGCAGCCATCATCAGAAGCTAGGAAGAGTCAAGAAATGATGCTACCCAGAGTCTCAAAAGGAATATGGCCCTACTAATACCTTGATTTCAGATTTCTAGCCTTCAAAACTGTGAGATAATACATTTCTATTGTTTTAAGACCCCAGTTTGTGGGATTTTGTTATGGTAACTAGAATGCAACAGTATTAAGAGATGTGGCCTTTGGGAGATGATTTGGCAGAGCCCTCATGAATGGCATTAGCATTTTTGTAAAAGGCCTTGAGGTTGAAATGAGACTGTGTGTGGACACTGTGTTCATTTCTTCTGGAAAATGCAGCAACAAGGTGCCAACTTGGAAGCAGAAAGGTGCCTCACCAGACACCAAACCTACTAGTACCTTAATCTTAAACTTCTCGCCTCTAGAACTCTGATAAATAAACTTCTATTGTTTGTAAATTACCTAGTCTATGGTATTTTGTTATAATAGTCCAAAGGGACTAAGATACTCCCTGCATCCAGCCTCTGGAAACCACCATTTTACTATCTGTCTCTATGATTTTGACTACTCTAGATATTTCATATAAGGGGAATCATGTACTATTTATCTTTTTGTGATTGGCTTATTTAATTTAGAATGATGTCTTCAAGGTTCATCCATGTTATAGCATGTGTCAGAATTTCCTTCTTTTTTAAGGCTGAATCATATTGCATTGAATGTATATACCACATTTTGCTGATCTATTTGTCTGTCAGTGGATACTTGGGTGGCTTCCACATTTTAGCTAGTGTAAATAATGGGTGTACAAATACATATTTGCATCCCTGCTTTAAATTCTTTGGGGTATATAACCAGAAGTGAAATTGTCAGATGATATGGAAATTCTGTGTCTACTTTTTCTTGAGGAACTGTCATACTATTCTCCACAGGAACTATATCACTTTACATTTCCACCAACCGTGTAGAATCATACTAATTTCTCCACATCATTGCCAACATTTGTTGTTGTCTGTTTTTTTCATGGTAGCCATCCTAAGTGTGTGAAGTGGTACTATGGTTTGGATATGGCTTGTCCCTGCCAAAACTCCTTTTCATGTTGAAATTTGATTCCCAGTGTGGTGGTATTGGGAGGTGGTACCGAGTGACAGGTGTTTGGGTCATGGGGAAGATCCCTCATGAATAGATTAAGGCCTTCCTGTGGAGGTGAGTCTTGCTCTTGCAAGATTTAGTTTATGTGAAGAATCTGAATTCCTCGGGAGGCTGAGGCAAGAGAATCACTTGAACCCAGGAGGTGGAGGTTGCAGTGAGCTGGGATTGCGCCACTGCACTGCACTGCAGCCTGGACGAGAGAGCAAGACTCCATCTCAAAAAAAAAAAAAAAAAAAGAATCTGACTTCCTTGGTTTCTCTCTTGCCTTCTCTTTTTCCACGTGCTCTTCTTGCTCATATCTGCTCCTCTTCCATTTTTCACCATAAGCTGAAATAGCATAAGGCCCTTACCACATGCAGCTGCTCAGTCTTGAACTTGCTAGCCACCAGAAGCATGAACCAAATAACCCCCTTTTCTTTATAAATTATCCAGCTCAGGTATTGTTATAGCAATACAAAATGGACTAAGGTAGTATCTCATAGTGGTTTTGATTTGCATTTCCCTAGTGATTATTAATGTTAGCATCTTTTGAGGTGTTTATTAGTCATTTGTTTATCTTCTTTGGAGAAATATCTATTAAATTATTTCCTCATTATTGAATTAGGTTTGGTTTTTCTTATAAGTTTTAAAGTTCTCTGTATATTCTAGATGTTAATATTCCTTATCAGATACATGATTTGCAAATATTTTCTCCTACTTTGTAGGTTGCCTTTCTACTTTGTTGACAGTGTTATTTTATTTATTTATGACACAGGGTCTTGCTCTGTCACTCAGGCAGGAGTGCAATGGTAAGATCATAGCTCACCGTAACCTCCAACTCCTGTGCTCAAGGAATCCTCCTGCCATAGCCTCCTGAGTAGCTAGGACCAAAGACAAATGCCACCATGCCTAGCTAATTAAAAAGAAATTGTAGAGATGGGATCTTGTTGTGTTGCCCAGGCTGGTCTCAAATTCCTGGCCTCAAGCAATCCTCCCACCTTGGCCTCCCAAAGTGGTAGGATTACAGGTGTGAGCCACCACACTTGGCCAGTAGTGTTATTTCCATATTCAAAAGTTTTTAGTTTTTATGCAATACAGTTTTTAAATTTTTCTTTTGTTGCCTGTGTCTTTGATGTCATATCCAAGAAATCATTGCCAAATCCATAGTCATGGAGAGTTCCCCCTAAGTTTTCTGCAAAAGAATTTTACAGTTTTAGCTCTTGTGTTTAGGTCTTTTTATCCTTTTTGAATTAATTTTTGTGAATAGTGTAAGGTAAGTGTCTAACTTAGTTTTTTTCATGTGGATGTTGTTTTATCACCATTTACTAGAAAACTTTCTTTCCTCCATCGTCTTTGCACTCTTGTTGAAAATCATTCAACAAAGAAAAGCCCTAGACTTGATGGCTTCGTTCTACCAAACATTTAAATATCAAATATGCAAGATCAAATATGCGAGAGTTTGTTTCTGGGATGTCTATTGTATTCCCTTGGTCTATATATTTGTCTTTATTCAATTATGACACTGTTTTGAACACTGCAGCTTTGTAGTAAGTTTTGAAATCAGAAAGTGTGAGTCCTCCAACTTTTGTTTTTCTTTTTCAAGATTGTTGTGGCTGTTTGGGGTCCCTTTAGGCTCTGTACAAATTTTAGGATGGATTGTTTTATTTCTGCAAAAAATATTGTTGGAATTTTGATAGGGATTATATTGAATCTGTAGATAGCTTTGGATAGTATTTACATTGTAACAATAGTTTTCCAATCATGAACATGAATGTCTTTCCATTTATTTTCATCTTCCTAATTTTTTCACCAATGTTTTCTATCTTTTATTGTACAAGTCTTTCACCTCTCTTCATTAAGCTAATTCCTAAGTATTTCATTCTTTTTCATGCTATTATAAATAGAATTGTTTTCTTAATTTCCTTTCCAGATTGTTCATTGTTAGAGTATAGAAATGCAACTAATTTATGTGTGTTGACTTCATGTCCTACTACTTTTTGAATTTATTAGCTCTAAGAAGTTTTTTTGGTGAAATATTTAGGTTTCTATTTATGAGATCATATAATCTGCAAACAGAGATATCGTTATGCAGCATAATGGACTACATTTGTGACAGTAGTCCCATATGGTTATAATACTGTGTTTTCATTGTACCTTTTCTGATTAGATATGTTTAGATATACAAATACCATTTTGTTTAATTGCCTATAGTATTTAATACAGTAACATGCTGTACAGATTTGTAGCCTGGGAGCACTAGGCTAAACCATATAGCCTAGGTGTGTAATAGGATATACCATCTAGGTTTGTGTAAGTACATTCTATGATGTTTGCACACTGACAAAATCACCTACCGACACATTTCTTAGGATGTATTCCTGTCATTAAACAATACATGACTGTAATTTTACTTCTTCCTTTTCAATTTGGATACCTTTTATTTTTGTTGTTGTTGTTGTCTAATAGCTCTGGCTAAGACTTCCAGTACTTTGTTGGATAGAAATAACAAGTGCAGGCATCCTTGTCTGATCTTGGAGCAAAAGCTTTCAGTCTTTCCACCATTGAGTATAATGTTCACTGTGGATTTTTCATATGGATTTTTATATTGAAGCAGATTCTTTCTGTTCCATGTTTGTTAAGTGTTTTTATCATGAAAGGATGTTGGATTTTGTTAAATGCTTTTTCTGTATCAACTGAGATTATTATATGGGTGTTTTTCTGTTCATTCTGTTAACCTGATGTATTACATTGATTTAGTTTCAATATGTTGAACCATCCTTGCATTCCAGGACTGAATTCTACTTGGTCATGGTTTATAATCCTTTTAATATGCTACTGAATTCAATTTGCTAGTATATTGTTGAGGATTTTTTCATCAACGTTCTTAAGGGGCATTGGCCTGTAGTTTACTTTTCCTGTGGTATCTTTATCTGGCTTTGCTGTTAGAGTAATTATGTCCTCTTCAAATGTGTTAAGAAGTATTTCTTCCCCTTCATTTTCTTAAAGGAACATTGGGAAAAAGGATATTAGTTCTTTTTTAAATGTTTGGTAGAATTCACTAATGAAGCCATCAGATCTAGGGTTTTTCTTTGTTGGGAGATTTTACTTACTGATTCATTCTTCTTACTAGTTAGTCTATTCAGATTTTCTGTTTCTTTGTGATTTAGTCTTGGTAGGCTTTGTGTTTTTAGAATTTCTTTTTTGTTGTTTGTTTGTTTGTTTGTTTTGTTTTATTGAGATGGAGTTTCTCTCTTGTTGTCCAGGCTGGAGTGCAATGATGCCGTCTCGGCTCACTGCATCCTCCACCTCCTGGGTTCAAGCAATTCTCCTGCCTCAGGCTCCCAAGTACCTGGGATTACAGGCACCTGCCACCATGCCTGGCTAATTTTTTTTGTATTTTTAGTAGAGACAGGGTTTCACCATGTTGGCCAGGCTGGTCTCAAACTCCTGACCTTGTGATTCGCCCACCTCAGCCTCCCAAAGTGCTGTGATTACAGGCGTGAGCCACCATGCCTGGCCATGTTTTTAGAAATTTCTGCATTTCATTTAGGTCATCCAGTTTCTAGATATGCAATTATTCATAGTACACTCTTAAAATCACTTTTATTTCTCTAGTATCTGTTGTAATGCCCTCACTTCCTAATTTAATAATTTGAGTCTTCTCTCTTTTTTCTTAGTAAATATAATTAAAGATTTGTCAATTTTGTTGATCTTTTCAAAGAACAAAGCTTTTTGTATATTTTCTTGATTGTTTTTCATTTCTGTCTTTCATTTATCTCTTTTCTAATCTTTATTTCCTTCCTTTTGCTACCTTCAGGTTTGTTTTGTTTTCCTTTTCTAGTTCTTTAAGTTGTGAAGTTAGCTTGTTGATTTGAGATCTTTCTTATTTTTTACTGTAAGCAGTTACAAATTTCCCGCCTTCACTTTGCTTTTTCTGTATCTGTAAGTTTTGGTGTGTTATGATTTCATTTTCATTGATCTTTAAGTATTTTCTTTCTTTTCTCTTTTTTTTTTTTGAGACAGAGTCTCACTCTGTTGCCCAGGTTGGAGTGCAGTGGCATGATCTTGGCTCACTGCAACCTCCACCTCCCAGATTCAAGCAATTCTGCTGCCTCAGCCTCCTGAGTAGCTGGGATTACAGGCATGCACCACCATGCCCGGCTAATTTTTGTATTTTTAGTAGAGACAGGGTTTCACCATGTTGGTCAGGCTGGTCTCAAACTCCTGACCTCGTGATCTGCCCATCTCGGCCTCTCAAAGTGCTAAGATTACAGGCATGAGCCACCACGCCCGGCCTCATCTTTTTTTTTTTTTTTTTTTTTTTTGAGACAGAGTCTCACTCTGTCACCCAGGCTGGATTGCAGTGGCGTGATCGTGGCTTACTGCAGGCTCTGCCTCCTGGGTTCATGCCATTCTCCTGCCTCAGCCTCCCGGGTAGCTGGGACTACAGGCACCTGCCACCACACCCAGCTAATTTTTTTTTCTTTGTATTTTTAGTAGAGACGGGGTTTCACTGTATTAGCCAGGATGGTCTTGATCTCCTGACCTCGTGATCCACCTGCCTCAGCCTCCCAAAGTGCTGGGATTACAGGCGTGAGCCACCGCACCCAGCCCCCAGCCTCATCTTTAAGTATTTTCTTTTTTCTTTTTTTTTTTTTGAGACGGAGTCTCGCTCTTTTGCCCAGGCTGGAGTGCAGTGGTGCAATCTTGGCTCACTGCAAGCTCCGCCCCCCGGGTTCACGCCATTCTCCTGCCTCAGCCTCCCAAGTAGCTGGGACTACAGGCGCCCGCCACCACGACTGGCTAACTTTTTTTTTTTGTATTTTTAGTAGAGACGGGGTTTCACCATGTTAGCCAGGATGGTCTCAATCTCCTGACCTCATGATCCACCCGCCTCGGCCTCCCAAAGTGCTGGGATTACAGGTATGAGCCACCACACCTGGCCAAGTATTTTCTAATTTCTTTGTGACTTATTTTTTGATCCATTGGTTTTTTAAAAGTGTGTTGTTTAGTTTCTACAAATTGTGAATTTTTCTGTTTTCCTCCTGTTAATTTCTAACTTTATCCTGTTTCAGTTGGAGAAGATACTTTGTATGATATCTGTTTTTTAAAATCTATTGAGACTTAATTTGTGGTTTAACATATGATCTATCTTGTAGATTGTCCTGTGTGCAGTTGAGAAGAATGTGTAAGCTATTGCTGTTGGTTATAGCATCTTGTATATGTCTGTTAGCTCTAGTTGGCTTATTGTGTTGTTCAAGTCCTCTATTTCCTTACCTACTTTTGGTCTGGTTATTTAATACATCATTGAGAGTAGGGTATTGACTCCATTTATTCTTGAACAGTCTGTTTCTCCCTTCAATTCTGTAAATTTTTTCTTTTGTTTTTTGATGGTCTTATTATTTGCCAAAATATGTGTAATTATGATATATTTTTACTATATTGAGCCTTTTATTAATATATAATATATTTTACAATATTTTGTAACCTTTTTGAAATTGAATGTTTATTTTGTCTGATATTAGTATAGTGTAGTAATTTCCCTGTTCTAATTTGGTTACTATTTGCATGAAATGTCTTTTTTTATTCTTTCACATTCAGTCTACTTTTATCTTTTAGACTGTATATACAGTCATCCTGCAGTATCATAAGGGGATTTATTCCAGGACCCCTCACAGATACAAAATTTTCAAGGCCTTTATATAAAATGGTGTAGGTATTTGCATAGAACTTATGCACATTCTCCCATATATTTTAAATTATCTCTAGATTACTTACAATACTTAATACAATGTAAGTGTTGTATAAATAGTTGTTATGCTGTATCATTTTTATTTGCATTTTATTGTCATATTGTTATTTTTATTTTTTTTAATATTTTCAATCCAGGGTTGGTTGAAATGGCAGATATGGAACCCACAGATGCAGAGAGCCAACTGTAGTTGGACTTTTTTAATCCAATTTGCCAATCTCTGTCTTTTTATTGTAGAGTTTAATCCATTTACATTTAAAATAATTACAGAAAAGGGGGGTCTTACTTCTGTCATTTTGCTATTTGTCTTCTATATGCTTTGTTAGCTTCCCCCACTTATTTCCTGCATTACCCTTTTATGTTTAGTTGACTTTGGATAGTAAAACACTTTTCTTTTCTTCTCATTTCCATTTGTGTATATTCTGTAACTATTTTACTTAAGGTTAATGTGAAAGTTACATTTAACATCTTAAAGTTATGATACTCTAAATTGAATTTCTTTAGGTTAACTTCAGTATCATACAAAAACTCTGCTCATTTACAGCCATCACTATCCCTTTCAGTTTTGATGTCCCAAAATTACATCTTTGTACAAATGTGTTTCCAAAAACATAAACTAACAACTAAAAAATAAATGAATCTTTTCAATTATGTGGAAGCCAAAATGTGGAGTTATAAACCAAAGTTACAATAATACTAGCTTTTAGACCAATAATTTTCTTAAATATATTCTTTCTTAAATCATGTAGACAACAAAAAGTGGAGTTACAAACCATTGTTACAATATTACTTTTTTTTCTTTTTTTTTGAGATGGAGTCTCACTCTGTTGCCCAGGCTGGAGTGTGTGATTTTCCCACCTCAGCCTCCCGAGTAGCTGGGATTACAGGTGCACACCACTACACCTGGCTAATTTTTGTATTTTTAGTAGAGACAGGCTTTCACCATGTTGGCTAGGCTGGTCACAAACTCCTGACCTCAGGTAATCTGCCCACCTCAGCCTCCCAAAGTGCTGGGATTACAGGCATGAGCCACTGCACCCAGCTAGTACTGGTTTTTATAATAGCCGGTGTATTTACTTTTACTGAGATCTTTATTAATTTCATATGGCTTTGGGTTGTTGTCTACTGTCCTTTCATTTCAACCTGTAGGTCTCCTTTTAGCATTTCTTGAATAGCAGGTATAACGTAAACAACTTTACAGCTTTTCTCCCCCAGACATACCTAGGAATGTCTTAAATTCTGTCTCATTTCTGAAGGACCAGTTTTGCCAGATATAGGATTCTTGACTGACAATTTTTTCCTGTTAGAATTTAGAATATTTCAGCCCACTGCCTTCTGGTTGCCAAAGTTTCTGAGGAGAATTTTGCTGTTAATCTCATTGAGGATTCCTTGTGTGTGATAAGTTGCTTCTCTCTTGCTGCTTTCAACATTTTCTTTTGGTTTTGTCTTTCAACGGTTTGATTATAATGTGTCTTGGTGTGGTCGTCTCTGAGCCCATCTTATTTCAAGTTGGTTGAGCCTCTTGGTTGTTTGTATTCATGCCTTTCATCAAATTTAGGAAGTTTTCACCCATTATTTCTTCAAATAATCTCTCTGCCCTCTCTTTCTTCTGGGACTCCCCAGTGTGTATGTTGGCCCACCTGATGATGTCCCACAGCTGCCTTAGCCTCTGTTCACTTTTCTTCAATTTTGTTTTGTTGTTATTGTTCCTCAAACTCAGTAATTTCAATTGTCATATCTTCAGGTTCACTGATTATTTCTTCTGCCTGCTCAAATTTGCCTTTGAATCCCTATAGTGAATTTTTTATTTCAGTTGTTGTACTTTTCAGTTCTAGACATTCTTTTTGTTTCTTTTTAGGTTTTCTATCTCTTTACTGATATTTCTGTTTTGTTCATACATTATTTTCTTGACTTTCTCCATGTGTCCATAAGCTTCCTTAATATAGTTTTTTAAAAGTCTTTGTGTAGTAGATCTGCCATATGGTCTTTTTCAGGGACAGTTTCTGTTGGTTTTGTTTTCTTTTTTTTTTTAAGTTTTAAATGGGCCACACCTTCATGTTTCTTTGTATTTTTTTTTCTTAAAAATTGAACATCTGAATCTAATGTGGTAACTCTCGAAATCAGATTCGCCACCCTCCCAGGGATTGCTGTTTTTGCTTTATTTTGTTTTGTTTTTTATTGTTGTGGCATTAGCCTGATGTATAAGCTTAAGGTCTTCTGGAGTCTTTTCTGAGTGTGTGCCTTTCCCTTATCATATGCAGTGGATTTTCCAGTTTCCTCTCTATACGCAGTTGCTTTCAAATGTTCTGCTCTTTAATGACTGGCTTCCAAAAAGGGAAAAAGAGAAAAATTAAGGAGAGAAGAAAAAGGATGCTAGCCCTTTGAATCTCCTGAATGTCACCTCTGCCAGAGGGGGAGGGGCTTGCAACAATGGGTGGAGGTGCAAAAACAATGGCCACCTGACTCTGTCTGTACCTACATGAGCGAAAGCAGCAATCACCCATCAGAACACAAATCCCCAATACTTAAAGGAAAGCATCCTTGTTGTCCATTTTGACTCCCACACGTTGCATGCAAGCTGTTCCAGGAACTCATGCACACTGCCTGCCACAGGGGTGGAGGAGAGGAGATGGCTGCTGCAGGGCTAAGAGCTTAAACTGATAGAAATTAACAGCAATTTACCATCCAACCCTTTCTCTAGAAGTTTCAAGCCTTTAATAGACTCCAGAGTTCAAAAATATTCGTATCAGACAGATGCCACCAGCAGGATTATTGTTTAGGTGGAGAGACAGATTTCTGGTGTTTCCCAATCTGTCATCTCTCCTGGCCTTCATTTTTGAAGAATGTTTTCACTGGATATAGAATTTTAAGTTGACTTTCTTTTAACAATACTTTATAGATATCATTCCTTTGTCTTCTTGCTTTCATAGTTTTTGACAAGCTCATAGTCATTCTTATCTTTGTTTTTCTATATTTACTATTTCTTTTTTCTCTGGCATTTATGAAATTTTTTTAGCAGTTTGATTACAGTTTCTCTTGGTTTTCTTAGTACTTATCTTGCTTGGGAGTATTTGAGCTTCTAGATTCTGTGAGTTTATAGTTTTCCTCAAATATGGAAAAAGTTTAGCCATTATTTCTTCACTTCTTCAAAATTTTTTGTATTGCTCCACTTCTGTGAATCCAACTACATGTGTTTACATCCTTTGGTATTTTCACAAAGGCTCTGTTCATTTTTTCCCCAGTTTTTCTCTCTTTGTTCTAGTTTGATAATTTCTATTGTTGTTTTCAAGTTCACTCATTTTTTTTCTGTAGTGTTTATTGTGTTTTTAATCCCATCCCATGAATCACTCATTTAAAGTGTTGAAAATTTTATCTCTAGAAATTTCATTAGTTCTTTTTTGAATATCTTTTATCTTTTATTCATTAGGTCTCTTAAAAAATACATTGTCACTTCTAGGTCTGTTTCTATTCACTGATTTTTTTCCTAGTTGTGTTGCACTTGTTTCTTTGAAGGTTTAATAATATTTTACTGGATATTGGACATTATGAATTTTATATTGTCGAGGACTGAATTTTATTGTCTTGCTTAAATAATATTAAACTTTGTTTTCACAGTAGGTTAAGTTACTTGCTGAATAGCTTAATTCTTTCTGGATTGTTTTTAAGCTTCCTTAGGGCAGATTTATAGGAACTTTTATTCTAGGGCTAGAATAGTCCTACCCTTATGGTGTGACCCTGGGTGTTCAATAAGGACTCTCTGATCTAGCTGGTCAGAACTCAAACATCTCCCAACCCTGCTGACCTCTGAGAATTGTTCTTACAGCTCTCTCATTGTTCTTTGCTTATCTTTGTGGAGTTTTGCCCTACTCATGTGTGGCTCAGTATTCAGGAAAGACTTGAAAAACTGCAGATTTCTGCAGTTCTTTTCTCTGTGTGGCTCCCTTTTCTGTGGTACTCTATCCCACGTATTTCTGCCATTTCATCTTTCTGAACTCCTTTCTCTGTCTCCTCAATTCCACAAGATTGCTATGCTCTATACAGGATTTCCCTCATATCACCACACTCTAGAAAGTATTTCAAGGCAGAAATCCCTGGCAGTTGTAGTGTCACCTAATTTCCACCCATCTCTAGTGGAGTAAAGTCCCCCAATGTCTCTTGTCAAGTGTCTGAGAAGAGTTGTTTTATAAGTATTTTTCCACTCTTCCATGTGTAAGGGTGAGGAAAATCTCATCCTCATTATTCCGTCATGGCCCTTTTTTTCTTTTTCCATGACCTGTTTTTCATGTCTATTTTTTTGTTGGAGGGTTGGGTTTTGAGGTCGTTTTCTTCTCGCTGAGTAATTTCTAAGTTCTGGCTCATTTTGTCAAATCATACAAATGATATCATCCCAGAACTATCTCTGCTTGACTACCTGAATAATTCATATCCTTTTCCCAGGCCTTGTTTTTATTTGGATCTCTTTTCCAGGTGCTAAAGAAATTGATCTTTTAAATATGGATCTCCAAGGTTTTTGTCCTCTGTATCAGAGGGAATGACTCTCTAGACTTAATGTTCTGTGGTTTAAAATCAATTTTTTTTATTTTTTATGTGAATACACCAAAATTTATCTACCCTAATATTGTATCTCCTTCAGTACAGTTTTCCTGGGGTGCTTTAGTCATGTTTGCCACATGCATTGGATAAAAACTATTTTTAAATTTTTCTTTACAAATTGACTGCATAGTTACATAAGATAGTTTGTCTTATAGAATGAAACTTCCCCCAAACTGTTACACAAGTAAATTTTCAAATTTGTCTCTGAATATCTGAACATATTAACTGTTCCCCCTAAAAATCAACCTTTCCCAGAAAGATGATTACTTATTATCTGGGTTTGTTTTTGTTTTTGTTTTTTTGCGTGTGTTCACCATTTCAGAGGTGATTTTAAACATGGATTTCCAACATACTTTGTGTTCATCATTTTTCAAAATAACTGCTCTGAAGGGTGTAAAGCTGACCAGGAAGGTAACCTGAAAATAAATACATGTGTTTCTAGTAAAACTTCTTTCAAGTATAAGGATTTGGGTCAATACATAATGTCCTCTGACTGCCTCAGTACTTGTTGTACACCCCTACTACAGAGCTGATAACTTTACAGGGTAACTTATCTGCTTGCATATCTGTGCTTTCCCACTGTGACAATCTACTAGGATAGGACCACAGGGGTATTTGTAACACAGAAAGATGTGATCAAGCAACTTTAGTTTAGATGTTGGGAGCACACTTTGGAAACAGTCTGCCTGGGTTCACATCCTAGCTCTTATCAACTACATTGTGACCTTGAACACATTACTTAGCTCTCTGTCCTTAACTTCCTTACCTGTAAAATGAGAATAATAATGTCCCTAGGACTCAGCAAAGAATGAAGGCATATTTTGTACTCAGTAATCATTGAGTGAATTAATGAGTAAACATACAAACAAATCAATAAGAAGAAAGGTGATTTTATTTAACAGGATAACATTTTCTTTAGAATTACTGAAGGAAACTATTGTACACATGTAACACTACAGTTTTTAAAAGGTCAAATTTTTCAAACAAAACATAAAGAAAAGCAGACTGAATCTCTTATGCAAATCTCACTAACCTCCCATTCTTCCTTCCCACATTCTAGGAAAAAGATTAATGATGTTGAGTATTGCTCCTTCCTGTGGTGTCTGGGAAGGAGGGTAGTTGTGTTTTCTAATCTTTTAACCTCATCTTCTCTACTCTTTCTTTTTTTTTCTTTTTCTTTCTTTCTTTCTTTTTTTATTTTTTTGAAACCGAGTTTTGCTCTTGTCACCAAGGCTGGAGTGCAATGGCGCGATACCGACTCACTGGAACCTCTGCCTCCCGGGTTCAAGTGATTCTCCTGCCTCAGCCTCCCGAGTAGCTGGGATTACAGGTGCCCACCACCACGTCCAGCTAATTTTTGTATTTTTGGTAGAGATGGGGTTTCACCACATTGGCCAGGCTGGTCTCGAACTCCTGACCTCAGGTGATCCACCTTCCTTGGCCTCCAAAAGTGCTGGGATTACAGGCATGAGCCACTGAGCCCGGCCTCCTCTACCTTTTCTAGTGGCAATGAAGTCTAGAACAAACCAGTTGGAACATAGAATAGGTGTGCTAGCTCTGATAAGTTGTCTTCCAAAAGAGAAATATTTTTCCAAAGACTACCTATGTGAGAATGGCTTAAACTCTGACTTCTTTTTTCTTTCATGGTGACCACAATTGTGGCCCACACCTTGCTCTGTCATTCATATATCCGTGTGAAGGAGGCTTGATATGGGAAGCAGGCCCCACGATGAACATAGAATTTCAAGAGTTATTGAGGGGGCATCTATGAAGTATAAAGGTAAGGAGCAGACATGGCCAGGGAAAGCCTTCAGATCACAATGCAGGTCTGACATCTGTTAAATGAGAGGGAGAAAGAAGGAAGATTGATTGGGTAGGAAGAGCCTCAAACTGTAGTGTAGCTCTGAGAAAGTCTCTGCCAGCCCAACAGACGATTTTGGAACATTGATAACCTGTAGAGGAATTACACATTGGGCAGAATTGGGTGGGCCTTAATATTCCCACCATGCTCAGTCATTCACTGGAGGCTACCTGGGAAGAGAAGCAAGTACTTTTTTGAAGGGAGGTATCAGTGGTGTACCTCCACATGGCTGTCTGTATCGTAGAACTTATGCTTGGAGAAGATCATTGGAGAATACCTGGTTAATCTACCTCCCTCTTTGACAAATGTTATCTGTGACATTCTGGATAAATGAGCATCTGTTTTATTTCAAAAGATGTTCAGAAAAGATCACATGGTTTTCCCTAACGTTTAACATTAAGTACCAGAATAGTGTATGTGTGTCTAACCTCAATCCTCTAAGCTGTGATGTAAACCAGTTTTCTTTTCCTTGTCATCTAGACTGAAGTTTGTGTGGATTTCTAAAATTAGAAAATAAAGCTTTATATTGACTCTAATAATCCTTTCACTTACATCATCCCACATAAAGCAAGCTGGATTGGACTAATGAACACTGTAAATATTTCTTCTTTTTAAAGATGTTAGCAAGTAGAAATCTTTAAAACCGGAAAATGAGTTGCTGCGGTGGCTCACGCCTGTAATCCCAGTACTTTGGAAAGCCAAGGTGGGCGGATCATAAGGTCAGGAGTTCGAGACCAACCTGGCCAACATGGTGAAAATACAAAAATACTAAAAATACAAAAATTAGCTGGGCGTGGTGGCGGACGCCTGTAATCCTAGCTACTTGGGGGGCTGAGGCAGGAGAATAGCTTGAAACCAGAAGACAGAGGTTGCAGTGAGCTGAGATCATGCCACTGCACTCCAGTCTGGGTGAAAGAGCAAAACTCCATCTCAAAATAAATAAATAAATAAATAAATAAATGGTCTCAGTTAGTAATAATCAATTAGAGTTAAATGACCTTCTAAAATCATTTCCTAAAGAAAGATTTTGCCTTCCAAGTTCTCTCTTAATCTTTCATGAAGGAAAAGCCTCAAGATTTCTTGATGGTGTTTGGCAGCCAGGTGATGGTGATAGCAACAAGTATTAACTGAAGGATCATTTTCAGCATAGGAATTAAGTGAACTGAGTGCTGTAGTCAGCAGGTAAGGAGTAACAGCCCATTCCCATTAACTTGTTTCCAGACCTTGACCTAGTAATATGCTATTCCTGGCATGGGTTGTTTCCTTCAGTCATTCCTTCCTTATCGCTGACTACAGTAGTTCCCTCTTATTTTCAGTTTCGCTTTCCACAGTTTCAGCTACCTGCAGTCAACTGCAGACTGAAAATATTAAATGCAAAATTCCATAAATAAGCAACTCATAAGTTTTAAGTTGTGAACCATTCTGAGTACCATGATGAAATCTTACACTGTCCTGCTGGGATGGGAATCATCCCTTCGACCAGTGCACCTACAACATACACACTGTATACCCATTAGTCATGGGCATTAGTCAGCCTGCTCCTGACATGCAACCATGGACATCATCATGGCTCAGTGATCCAAGATCACTCAAAGCAGATGACTCTACTTTTCAAGTATCATCAGAAGGTCAGTAGTAGTCTAATGCCATGTCATAATGCCTAAGTCATTCACCTTCACCTCATTATTTAGGCATTGTGCCATCTCACATCATCTCAAGAAGGATAAGTACAGTACAATAAGATATTTAGAGAGAGACCACATTCACATAACTTTTATTACAGTATATTTTTATTATTATTGTTGCTAATCTCTTACTATGCCTAATTTACAAATAAAACTTTATCTTAGTTATGTATACATGGAAAAAACAGTACAGTTGGCTCTTCATATCTGTAGGTTCCACATCTCCCAATTCAACCAATCATGAGTTGAAAATATTAAAATAAAAAATAACAATACAACAATAAAATAATATAAAATTTAAAGTATAGAACAGGCTGGCCATGGTAGCTCACTCCCAGCACTTTGGGAGGCTGAGGTAGGAGGATTGCTTGAGCCCAGGAGTTTGAGACTAGCCTGGGAAATATAATGAGACTCATCTCTCAATTTAACATTTTAAAAATAGTGTAACAACAATTTACATAGCTTTTACATTATATTAGGCATTGTAAGTAATCTAGAGATGATTTAAAATATATGAGAGGATGTGTATAGGTTATATGTAAAATACTATACCATCTTATATGAGGGACTTGAGCATCCATGGATTTTGGTATCTTCAGTGATCTTGGAACCAATCTCCCTCAGATATCAAGGGAGGACTGTATAGAGGGTTTGGTACCATTGGGAGTTTCAGGTGTCCACTGGAGGTTTTGGAACATATCTTCCAAAGATTAGGGGGACTGCTGTACTTTATTTTCTGTTTCTTACAAAAAGGAAGTAAAAAGATGGTGGTATTGTTTGGATTTGTGTTCCCACCCAAATTTCATGTTGAATTGTAATATTAAATAAAAACCCCAATGTTGGAGGAGTGGCCTGGTGGGAGGTGATTGGATCATGGGGGCACACCTTCCTCCTTGCTGTTTTAGTAATAGTGAGTGAGTGAGTTCTCACGAGATCTGGTTGTTTAAAAGTGTGTAGCACCTCACCCTCTCTCTCTTCCTCCTGCTCTGGCCATGTAACACGTGCCTCCTTCCTCTTCCCTTTTTTGCCATGATTGTAAGCTTCCTGAGGCCTCCCCAGCCATGCTTCCTGTAGAGCCTGAGGAACTGTGAGTCAATTAGACCTCTTTTCTTTATAAATTACCCAGTCTCAGGTAGTTTTTTATACTATTATAAATGCAAGAATGAACTAGCATAGATGGTGTACTGGTTAACTTCATATGTCAACTTGACTGAGGTTTGGGATGCCCAGATACCTGATTAAACATTATTTTTGGGCTGGGCACAATGACTCACACCTGTAATCCTAGCATTTTGGAAGGCCAAGGCAGGTAGATCACTTGAGTCCAGGAGTTTGAGACCAGCCTGGGCAACATGGCAAAACCCCACCTCCACAAAAAAATACAAAAATTAGCTAGGCGTGGCGGCGCATGCCTGTAGTTCCAACTACTCAGGAGGCTGAGGTGGGAGGATTGCTTGTGCCGAGAGACAGAGGTTGCAGTGAGCTGTGATCATACAACTGCACTTCAGCCTGAATGATAGTGAGATCATACTATATATATATAAAATCTTCTGTTGGTTCTGTTTCTCCAAAGAACCCTGTCAAATACAGATAGAAACTAATATATGAGTCTCTTCAGTGTTGTAATGACTCTCCTGGGGGTTTGACATAACTTATTTTAACAGAAATTCAGAGAGGGTAGGTATTGTTCACCCTGATTTACACATGAGAAAACCAAGATCACAGATTTGTAAAATGTGAAAGTCAAGATTTCAAATCTCAACCTAACTACAAGACCTATGTTTTGGCCGGGTGCAGTGGCTCATACCTATAATCCTAGCACTTCGGGAGGCCAAAGTGGGAGGATTGCTTGAGCCTAGGAGTTTAAGATCAACCTGGGCAACATGGTGAGACCCTGTCTCTTAAAAAACAAACAAAAAAAGACTTAATGTTTTTGCCATCGTAGTTTCCAAACTGTGTTCCAGGGATCTTTGATGTTTCATAAATAGAAAGCTGTGGGTCTTCTACCTCCACATCAGTCAGAGAAATCTCCACTTCTGGGAACTCTGTAAAGGGCTTTTCCATAAGAATTATTATGAAAATAAAGGGGAGATGGGAGTCCTGTGACTTAAAAAGGAAAAATAATTTAGGAAATCATTCCCTTATATCAAGCACTCTTCTCAAGATGTAACTGTGTTCCTTACCCATTTCTCTATGGAGACAGACTTATCACTAAATAGACCATCTTAGTGCTGTTATTACACGTGTTCTCAGAGAACATGCTTAAAATAGAAGAAATGCTAGGTATCTGGTAGGAAAATAATAGCCACAATATATTGAGCATCTATCATGTGTCATGATCTGTTCTAGGTGTCTAACAAACATAATCTCATTTAATCCCAATAACAGCGTTAGAAATAGACCTTGGAGTTGTAAGGAAAATGAGCACTTAGATAAAGGATTTTTCAGCAAAGCAAATTTACTTTTGTGCAGGGGGGTGCCGCCCATATGGCTGGTCGTTATGAGAGCGTATACAATAAAGGAGGGTGAAAGTTTTTATTTATTTATTTATTTATTTTTTGAGACGGAGTCTCCCTCTGTCGCCCAGGCTGGAGTGTAGTGGCACCGTCTGGCTTATTGCAAGCTCCGCCTCCCGGGTTCACGCCATTCTCCTGCCTCAGCCTCCCAAGTAGCTGGGACTACAGGCGCCCGCCACCGCGCCCGGCTAATTTTGTTTTTGTATTTTTAGTAGAGACGGCGTTTCACTGTGGTATCGATCTCCTGACCTCGTGATCCACCCGCCTCGGCCTCCCAAAGTGCTGGGATTACAGGCGTGAGCCACCTTGCCCGGCCAAAAGCTTTTAGTTTTGACGTAAATCTTGTCCCTGTGCCCTTTCCCCACTGGGTGGGGTTGGACTGTATAATTTAAACTAGACTTGATTGGATAAACATTTAAACTTTTTTTTAGATAAGGTGGGCACGTAAGGGAGAGAGGAGAGAGAGGGAAGGGGTTGTCTGTGGCAAGTTAGAGAGTCAGTTTTTTAAAAAATAAGGAAAGGAATGTGAGCTGGTGTTGATAACGTCACTGGTGTTGTGGCATGCCTGGGCATGTAGTAAAAGCAGAAAGAAAGAAGAAGAAAGAGAGGTGGAGGGGTATTGAGAATTAAAGAATAAAGGATTAATTAGGTTGGTTGAAGAGAAACCTTGTCATATTTTACACAGCCCTCCCCAGAGTAAGCAGGAGTATTCCCATTACATATTTGTGAGAACTTAAGGGAACTTGACCAAAGTAATAGTTGCAGCCAGGAGCTGATCCAGGTTTATCTGGCCCCAGGGCTCATTTTCTACACCATAACAACTCTTGGGGCAACTTACAGAGGAGATTTATATAGGGGACTTATTATAACTCATGAGGGCTACAGCATACCCAGCACTGAGCACATAAACCGCTTCCACCTACAGGTGATGACCAGGCAGTATTTTATTTTCTACAGTGCCTGCATTCATCTTTTCATTTGACTGTGCCTGTGAGAGGGCGCAGCACAACGCAAGCACACAGTGGGACGACAATAAAACTTGTCATACTATGCAGGGAGGCACAGTTTAGTTCAGAGCATTAGGTGATCCCCACCTTTCAGAGAGTAGAACATTGAAAGTGGAAAATTCTGAGCTGTTACACCATCTCCAGAGTCGTTGGTGGCTACCCATGCTAAGTCATTAGTCCTCTTTGCTTACTGCTGGCTGGCAGGTGAGGTAGGCTCCCTCAAGCTACTCAGAGATCTCTGTATCCTATTGCTCATCTCTCACATTATTTATTGCCCCTTTCTTGTGTTTTTCTGCTTTAAACTTTGGTTACTGGGCTCATTAAGTATATAAATTGCCTAAAGGCATAACTATATTCAATGTGCCACGTATTATGGTAAATTTTAAATATATATTCTTTGGGAAAGCTATCTTTTAAAAATTATAGCATTGAAATACATGACATTCTTACTCTAGGAAAAGACAAAGAAAATGAGGGGGGGGGTTCATATTTAAGAGTTGAGATGTTTCTTCTACTTTGTACTGAAGCATCTCAGGTGCCATAAGGGTGGGGCTAAAGGAATTCTTGCCTTGAGTGTTGAATGCATCAGCATGTCATGTGTGAATCTGAAAAAATATTCACCAGTGCAGATGGTGGCTGATGGGAGAAGGTACTCTGGGAAAAAAACATTTATTCTTCTCCATTTCCTTGTGCAGTGCTGCTAAGCTGACATGATTCTTGACTACATCTTTTGTCCATACCACTGGACAGGAGGAATTATAAAAGTTACACTAGGATTTTAGTATCCATTTTTCTAATAGCATTCCCCATTCTTTCTAACTCATCAGCTTTGGATTGTTATTTCTGTTTTATTGACATTAAACATAAGAAAGGTAAATTAGTAGTTTGATTAATTCAGAACAATCAGGATTCTGTAGTGTATTTTTCTAATACTTGTTCCCTTTGGCTCAGCTACCAAACAACAGCAAAGTCTCAAATCCATAATAAAGCAAATCTCTTAAGGATCCAAGACCAGATAGGAGGTGAAACTTGTTGCTAGGAAGCGATTTCAGGGCTACTACCTCAGAAGAAGATGCTTAAGAAATGTCGCTTTTTTTCAGTATTTTTTAAAATGACATTTTGTAACTGGTGATTTATTTAGATTGAGGCTTCCATGTTAGAGCCTGAATTATCAGTAACATAGGAAGATAGAAGAGAAACCAGTACAAAAGATCAAGAGACAAAGTACAAGATTTGAATGAGGTAAGAAAAAAGGGATAATTTTCAGTTACGTTTTCTAATAGAGGTAAGGCAGACACCATAAGGATGCTCAAGAATCACTGAAAATAGGCAAAAGGAGAAAGCACACTTCTAGGAATGTACATCCTATGATTGTGACCAGTGGTTACAGAAAACCTTGCCAGGAGTACTCAATCAGTAAGGAGCCCATTTACTAATGTATTTAGGATAAACTGGTATGTTGAAATTATAAGGATGGTTTAAAGGTATTGCCTTACTAACGAATGAATGTAAAAATTTGGAACAATCCAATAATAATATAAACTGCCACTTACAGAGCATTTTCTATAAGTGAGGAGCCCATATATGTCCAGGCATCATTATCTGTATTTTTAATATGAGGAACTAAGGCTAAGAAAAGTGAGGTAACTAGCTCGGGATGCCATTGTTGGAAACCAGTAGAACAGGACTGGGAGGGCTGTTCCTACATACCACTCTGCATTTCCCAAGTTACAAAATATAGATGTGCCAATTTCAGCTGCTTCCTGACTGGCCAAACCAAATGTGCAATTAGTTCATTTGACAGGTTGGCTTTTACAATGGAGAGGGGTCGGCCGGGCACGGTGGCTCACACCTGTAATCCCAGCACTTTGGGAGGCCGAGGTGAGTGGATCGCTTGAGCCCAGGAGTTTGAGAACAGGCTGGGCAACATGGTGAAATCCCATCACTACTATATATATATATTATATATATAAATTTTAAAAAATTAAAAAAATAAACAATGGAGAGGGGTCTGCTGCTTGGTGATAGTGTGCTCATCAAAGAAATTGGCTCAGTTTTTGTTGTGTTCCTAAGTTGTATTTTGATCTCAATTTTATCTCCTAATAGGTTTTTTTACATAACAGAAAATTCACTTTGGCAAGGCTGAATAGAGTAGATATTAAAAGTAAGAGATTTAAGTTAGACTTGACTTAGAATTCCAGTACTGACTGTGTGAACTTGGACAAATTATGTAACATATCTGAGCCTCACCTGTCTCCTCTGTAAAAATAATGTAATAATAATTCCAATCTCATAGGGGTCCTAGGAAAACAAAATGAAATAATGCATCTAACATACTTACCATAGTCTCTGACATGTGGTAAGTCCTCAATATAAAGTAGCTGTTATCATTATGAGTCCAATTTTTATTATTTTCAAATAATTTGGAAAGATTTCAATACTGCCTTATATTTGATAAGTGATTAAATTTTATAAAATACTTTCAAAATCACATTTTATTCCTACTGTGATGGCTATAATGTAGGTAGAACAAGTGTTACTACATTTTACCATTGTGTAAATTAAGGCTTAGAGAGAAAAATGTATCTTATGAGCTATAAACTAGTTTTCCTAGGTTCATAAATCCCCTGGATGATTTCATTATTGAGTTAGAAAGTTGTTATTATCAGAATTTGTAGGAAACACTGCTATTATATATAAAATTAATTATGTAAAATGCTTTTTACAGATCCTGAAAATGAGCCAAGAAAAAAATGAAATGTTTGAAAGTGAGTGGTCAAAAGAGAGAGAGAGAGAGAAGCAGTTGGCATCTGGTCTTGACACTGCAGAGAAGGCCTTGAAAGTTGAAAGTGAGGTATTACCATTCAGGAAGCTGTTTTCTTCTTCTTGTAGTTCTAATTTAGGGATTTCATGTTATCATTTTTAAATAAAGTATAACTATGTGTCTCAGCTTGGGCTGCCATAACCAAACACCACAGACTAGGTGGCTCAAAGAACAGAATTTTATTTTCTCACAGTTATGGAGGAGGGGAAGTCCAAGATCAAGGTGCCAGCCAAGTCAGTTCCTGGTGAGGGTTCTCTTCCTGGCTTGCAGATGGCCACCTTCTTGCTGTGTCCTCACATGACAGAGTGAGCAAGCTCTGGTGTCTCTTCCTCTTCCTATAAAGGCACTAACCCTATTGGATTAAGGCCCCACCCTTATATCCTCATTTGACCTTTATCACCTCCTTATCAACCCTATCTATCTCCAAATACAGTCCATATTGGGAATTAGGGTTTCAACAATATGAATAGGGAGGGAGAGCACAATTCAGTCCATAGCACTGTAGAATACGTGTTTCTATAATAATAATGGGGTAGCTCTGTTGTTTCTCCAAGCTGAGTTCTAGCACTAAGCAAAGAGTCCTTTATTTAGCAGACGTTTGATTGTTGTAGTGTTCATAGAGTCATGGGCTTATCGCTCGTTTTAACTTCTTGTCCTGCCATCTTGGAAAGATCTATCAGGAGACATAATCAGCCTATATTATGAAAAGAGACCTGGAAGTGAGTTCATGGAAGTCTAAATCAGTAATTTAGAGGATAGTGACACTCAATCAGTTTGTAGTTTGCAGTGCCCCTAATCTCATCCTAATGACCTACAGGAATTTTCAGTGAAATAAGATAGGAAATCAATTATCATTTACCCTCTTCCTGTGGTTTTGGGAGGCCACCCTCTACCTTCTTGCCTTTTTGTCTAAGCCTTTCTAATCAGCATTTACCTCCCACTTTGACTTCAAGGCTTTGGGAAAATACCAAGTAGCTCCTCTCCTGAAGTAAATTTTATGTAACCTATTCCCTTCATTGAGCACCACAGACTGACTCTCAACCCAAAGTCTTCCACCAGTCAATCAGTGCACATCCTGTGTCATCAATGTAAAAATCTGTTAAAAATCTGCATTTAGGTTGGGCACGGTGGCTCACGCTTGTAATCCCAGCACTTTGGGAGGCCAAGGTGGGCGGATCACCTGAGGTCAGGAGTTCGAGACCAGCCTGACCAACATGGAGAAACCCCATCTCTCCCGAAAATACAAAATTAGCCAGGCGTGGTGGTGCATGCCTATAATCCCAGGTACTTGGGAGGCTGAGGCAGGAGAATCACTTGAACCCAGGAGGCAGAGATTGCAGTGAGCTGAGATCATGCCATTGCACTCCAGCCTGGGCAACAAGAGCGAAACTCCATCTCAAAAAAAAAAAAAAAATCTGCATTTAGCCAAAGTGTTTTCTCTTGTGGATATATATTTTTAAAAATCATGCTGGGCACAATGGCTCACATCTGTAATCCCAGCACTTTGGGAGGCTGAGGCAAGAGGATCACTAGGAGCTCAAGACCAGCCTAGGCAACATAGTGGGACACTGTCTCCACAAAAAAAAAAAAAAAAAAAAAAAAAAAAAAATTAGCCAGGTGTGGTGGCATGTGTCTGTAATCCCAGCTACACAGGAGGCTAAGGTGGGAGGATCACTTGAGCCCAGGAGGTCAAGGCTTCAGTGAGCTGTGATCGCACCACTGCACTCCAGTGTGGGTGACAGAGGGAGACCCTGTCTCAAAAAAGAAAAAAAAAAGAGAAAGAGAAAAAAACATCAGAGGATTAAAGAAAACCCTGGTTAATTAAGTCACTGAATATAATTAAATAAGCATAATTTGTAGTTAGGAACACAGAGTTTAAGCTGTCCATCATGGCACCCTTATAGTACCAGGTACTTGGGAGGCTGAGACAGGAGGATGGTTTGAGCCCAGGAGTTGAGGACTATAGTTCACCATGATCACACCTGTAAATAGCTACTGCACTCTAGCCTGGGCAACATAGCGAGACCGCATCAATATAAATAAATAAATTTTTTTTAAAAAACCACAGAGTTTAAAGTCAGACAGATTTATGGATTTGGAATCTCAGCTTTATACTTCCTGGCTATGTGAATTTAGGCAGGTCACTTAAGATCTCTGAGCCTTACTTTCAGCAATTCCCTTATAAAGTTGTCAGAACATTAAAGGTAAACCACATAGCACTTTGTTCTATAAATGGTACTTCTAAAAAGATACATCTTAGAAACAGATAATATAACTATTGATAGTCATTGCAAGCATTGCCAAAGAATTTACCTGTATATAAGCCTTGCTTAATGTAGGAAGGACTCTAGAAACTAAATCTTTCAACCTGTGAATGATAGAAACTAAGAATGCTCAGTTTATTTAATTGATTTAATTGATTTAGGTAAACTTTGTTTTAACTACTAAGAAAGGCATCGGTCTGCCAGAAGGATAGGTTGGAATATTTAAAACAAAAAATTTGTCAGGACCATTTCAAGATTCATTCTTAAAAATATTATATCTTTTATGGGGGAAAATAGTCTTATTTTATTCTACTAAATGTCTTCATTTCTTAATCAGGAATTGCAAAAATCAAAGTCAGAGCTTATATGCCTTTATAATGAAGTTCACAATCTTCCAGGGGAATCAGAAAGCAAAGACCATTTTTTAATAGCATGTGACCTGTTACAAAGAGAGAATTCTGAATTAGAAACAAAGGTGAGACTGAGTTAGGTATTTAAATGTTCAATATTTAATGTAGCTTTTATGAGGATAGGTTAAAAGGAAATTAATTTTAAGCAACAGATGATTTGGGAATTGGAGTTTCTTCTATTATTATAGCATAAATTGCCATATACTGCCATATACTGTGGATTATGAGTCAAGCTATATGTCAAGATAAATATTCAGACTTCAACCAGCACTTGGCAATTAGGATTAATCTGCAAATTTTTTTACTTTAAATCAGCTTCCCACCAACTTAATTTTTGGAGTACATATTATAATGTAAAATATTTATTTAAATGTCTTCAATTTAAAAATTTAGGATCAAAGCATCTTTCTATAATGTAAAAGATTTATTTAAATGTCTTCAATTTAAAAATTTAGGACCAAAGCGTCTTTCTCAGTTACACTGAAAATTGGGCTTAGAATTAGGAAAATGTTCAAATGTCCTGATTCAAGCTTGTTCCTTAAGTTTAAAAATGGCTTCCAGGGAGCCTAAGTTTAAAAATGTGCCCAGGAGTTAGAGGCTGTAGTGTGCTGTGATTGTGCCTGTGAATAGCCACTGCATTTCAGCCTGGGCAGCACAGTGAGACCCCATCTCTAAAAAAAAAAAAAAAGAAAAGGCTACCTGGCCAGGGCAAAGGATTCCCATCTAGTCCAATACTAGACTGAAAGGTTGCCTGTATAATTTCTAGAGTCCCACCTATTAGGTTATCACTATCTCCTCCTGGCTGAAAATTCCTTTCCTCGATCACTCTTTTGACCTAGACTAAAGATTAAGGAGCAAAGTCTTGAATACAGCAGTTAAAATATATTAGGCTATATTTTAACACCATATGTAAGGTGAGTAACTAAATCAAAGCCTAATTTAACCTATGTGTAGTTATCCCAGAAAATCAGGAGCAGGTTGCTGAGGGATTGGGACATAGATCAGATAGCATGTGACATGGGAGGGAAAGGTCCAGAACATAGGGTTTGCTGCCTGGGAGAGTAGCTATGTAGAGCATAATATACAACTAAGCCTTTTTTGTGGGACCTTGTCAGCAAGGTAAGTTATCATCACGTTGTACAGTTAAAGGGCCAGGCCTTTTAAAATATCATTGAAAAAGTTAACAACAGATGAGCTGAAATGAGAAGAATATAATATAAAATAAAGAGATCCAGATCTGCTCTTCTGGTAATCTGGGTCTCCTTTTTTCTTAAACTTTTTATGTTGAAATAATATCAGACTCACAGAAAAAATTATGAAAGTACAAAGACTTCCCATATACTTTCACTCTTCCAAATGTTAACATGGTATCGTGTTTACCTTATCATTGTCTCTCTTTCCCTCTACACACACACACACACACATACACATACACACACACACACACAGTTTTTTATAAACTCTTTGAGAGTAAGTTGGAGACATAATCTCCTTTACCCTTAAATATTTCCATGTGGGTTTACTAAAAACAATAACATCTCCTATTACCACAGTACAAGTCTCAAAATCAGGAAATTGACATTGACACAATACCATTATCTAATCTATAGCTCGTATTCAGATTTTATTCTGATTCCCCTCTATAGCAAGAGAATAACTTTTTTCCTAGTCTGAGATCCAACCCAGGATCATACATTGCATTTAATTGTCATGTCTCTATAGCTCCTTCAATCTGCAAAAGTTCCTCAGTCTGTCTTTGTCTTTTATGATTTTGATATTTTCGAAGAGTACTGTCTCAGTCAGTTTGGGCTGCTATAACATAATACAATAGACTGGGTAGATTAAACAACAAATATTTATTTCTCTCAGTTCTAGAGGCTGGGAAATCAAAGATCAAGATGTTGGCATATCTGGCATATTCAGTGTCTGGTGAGGGCATTCTTCCTGATTTGCAGACAGCTATCTTCTCATTGTATCTTCACATGGCCAACAGCAAAGAGAGAGAGAGAGTGCAAGCTTTTTCCTGTCTCTTCTCAAAAGGGCACTACTACAATCATGAGGGCTGCACCCTTGTGCATTAGTTACTTGCCAATGTGTCCTCCTAATACCATCCCATTGAGGGTAAGGCTTTCAACATATGAACTTTGAGTCAACACAAACATGCAGTGCATAACAAGACCATTGATTTTGAAGAATGTCTCTTAATTTGGATTTGTCTGATGTTTTCTCACGATGTAATTCAGATTACCCACACTACAGAGATAATGTTGTATCCTTCTCAGTGTATTTTATCAGGAGACATGACATTTTTGTTCTATTCCTCATGATATTAACTTGGATCATTTGGTTAAGGTACTGTCTGCTAGATTTCTACACTACAAAGTTATTACTTTTGCCTTTGCAATAGATACATATCTTGTGGGGAGATACTTTGAGACTATGTGTTATGTTTCCCATCAAACTTTTACTCATTAAAAGTTTCTGTTTTGAATCTTTGATTTTTAAGTTATATTCTAGTTTTTCTTCAGAATATAGAGTGCTTTAGACTTAAAGATAGTCTTGCTAAAGAAGCTGTATGTATTTGCTGAAGCCCACATTTTACAGGCTGTCATTTTTGTTTGGGTTACAACATCTAGACTCATACAGAATTTTAGAGCTGAAATGAGTATGATCATGTAGACCAACTCCTTCAGTTTACACATAAGAACACCAAGGCCCAGGGATATTAGACTGCTGCCAAGTTACATGGTGATTCTCAGCCTATGCTCTTTCTACCCTAGCCTAAGGCCTCAATCAGAAAGTGGAACCATAAGCTTAATTCTTATGCTACTTAAACATGGCTGATTATTAAACTGAGCTATATCACTAAGATACAATTTTGGTAGGAAGAAGTCTGTGGAACAGAGTTGGTCCTGTTCCACAATAGCCATGTCATGGAGGGTCTGATGGCTTTAACTTTCTTTGTTATAAAGAATAAAGCTTCTACTCACTTAAGATATACACTACTTTGTCATGTGAGAATTCAGAATACCTAGAAAATGCTTTGTGTTAGTGTCACCATCCTTTGCAGAAACCCTCAGCAGCTTTCAGTTTGCTATAACGTCAAATCTAAACTCCACTGTTTTATCCTTTTTTTTTCTGAGATGAGGTCTCTCTATCACCCAGATTGGAATGCAGCGGCAAGATCATAGCTCACCTCCCCCTCCTGGCCTCAGGTGATTGTCCTGCCTCAGCCTCCCAAGGAGCTGAGACCACAGGCACATGGCACCACACCTGGCTAATTTTAAATTTTTCTTTTTTTTTTTTTTTTTTTTTTGAGACGGAGTCTCGCTCTGTCGCCCAGGCCGGACTGCGGACTGCAGTGGCGCAATCTCGGCTCACTGCAAGCTCCGCTTCCCGGGTTCACGCCATTCTCCTGCCTCAGCCTCCCGAGTAGCTGGGACTACAGGCGCCCGCCACCGCGCCCGGCTAATTTTTTTTTGTATTTTTAGTAGAGACGGGGTTTCACCTTGTTAGCCAGGATGGTCTCGATCTCCTGACCTCATGATCCACCCGCCTCGGCCTCCCAAAGTGCTGGGATTACAGGCGTGAGCCACCGCGCCCGGCCTAAATTTTTCTTTAATAAAGACAGGGTCTCCCTATTTTGCCAGGCTGCCTTTCTTTACTACTTAAGTGACTAACATTTATTATCTGTAATGTTTACATTTTTACAATGACCACAAAGATTAGTGATTAAGTAGCATTTTGGAATATTTTTTCCTGCTTACAAAAATAATGCAAGCTCATTAATAAAATTGTCTTTTACGTTCCTTTATAATCTGACCTCTCCCTTCAATCTTGCCTTATTCCTTCTGAGTAGCTGGGACTACAGGCACCTGCCACCACGCCCAGCTAATTTTTTGTATTTTTAGTAGAGACGGGATTTCACTATGTTGGCCAGGCTGGTCTTGAACTCCTGACCTCATGATCTGCCCACCTCAGCCTCCCAAAGTGCTGGGATTACAGGTGTGAGCCACCACAACTGGCCTTCTTTTTTTTTTTTTCCCCTCCTTCCCTCCCTCCCTTCCTTCCTACCTTGCTTTCTTTTCTTTCTTTCTCACTCAGTTGTCTTTCTCACTCACGCTGGAGTGCTGTGGCACGATCTTGGCTCATTGCAATCTCCACCTCACAGGTTCAAGTGATTTTCATGCCTCAGCCATCCGAGTAACTGGGGTTGCAGCATGTACCACCACACCTGGCTAATTTTTCTATTTTTAGTAGAGATGGGGATTCACCATGTTGGCCAGGCTGGTCTCAAACTCCGGCAATCTTGCCTTATTTCTGCAGCTCCTTACTTTGTAGCCTCTATTCCAATGAAATCATCCTCCTTACTTTCCCCCAAATTACTCTATACTCAGTTCTATGTCAGTGCCTTTGGCCATATTGCTCCCCATGCTTAAAATGTGCTATTTGTAGTCTCTTCTCTTATCTATATCTTCCCAACTTGAAAGGACTAGTTCAAGACCAACCTTCTCCCCTAGAAAGGTTATAGTCCATATGAGATTTTATGGATTTTATGAGATTATAGTCCATTTTACACACTGTAGTTTCTCTTCAGAGAATTGAAAAGGCATAGGAAACCAAAGGGATCTCTTAAAGTAAACTTAAATTGATCTTTATAATTAAGTCCATTGTGTTCTTAGAATCAAACATGTAGAAGCTTTGCATTTTCAGACAGGCTCAGGATATGAATCAGGCAGGCTATTGTCTACCTTAGCACAATACTTTGATGGGGATCCATTTTCCTTTCTTATTTTTTATTCCATTCTATTTGTTTGTTTATTTGGGTACAGACACGGGGTCTTGCTATGTTGCTTAGGCTGGACTCAAACTCCTGGCCTCAAGCAGTCCTCCCACCTCAGCCTCCCAAAGTGCTAGGATTACAGGCATGAGCCACTGCGCCTAGCCCATCTTCCTTTCTTAGAATCATTCCCCACCCATCCTTTCTACTCCCTGAAGGAAATGTTTTTTCATTTTATATGAAGATATAGAGTAACCTTTCAGGAAAGGAAATCTTTAGAATCTGTTTGTCAAAACAAAACAAAAAGACTGAGCAAATGGTTTGCCAAATCACAAAAGGCAGTGATTCTCAAAGCATCTACTTACAGAATTACATGGGAGGCTTATTTAAAGTACAGATTTCCATTTCCGCCCCCAGACCACTGATAGTGAGTCTTACTCAGGGTAGGGGCTACAATATAAGATTGCATTTTCTTTAACAAATATTTTATTTTTTATTTTTATTTTTGAGACAGGGTCTCACTCTGTCATATAGGCTGGAGTGCGGTGGCCTGATCTCGGCTCATTGCAATCTCCACCTCCCAGGCTCAAGCCATTTTTCCATCTCAGCCTGCTGAGTAGCTGGGCCTACAGGTGCACACCACCATGCCCAGCTAATTTTTCATAGAGACAGGATCTTTCCATGTTGCCCAGGCTGGTCTTGAACTCCTGGACTCAAGCAATCTGCCTGCCTTGGCCTCCCAAAGTGCTGGGATTACAGATGTGAGCCATTGCACCCGGCCAAGACTGCGCTTTTAATAAATTCTTCAGCTGATGCTTTTATATCATAGTGGTTTGAGAACCACTATGGAAGAAAGTTCTTCTCTGTAAGATATATCTAATATTCTTATAGATATAGAAGATATCTCCGTAAGATATATCTAATATTCTTTCTAATGTTTTCTGGCAGCAATATATTTTTGTTTTTATTATATATTATTGCTTTTATGAATCAATGAAGTACATTCAAAACTTGAAAACAAAAATGTGTGGTGATCATGTAAAACTCTGTAGATCACATATTTGTGCTTGTTAAAAGGTATAACCAAATGCTAAACAGCACTCTGAGAACCCAACCCCAGAGTCCAAAAATACCTTTAAAAAAAAAAAAAAAAAAAAAAAAAAGGGAATTTACATACCCTTATGCCTATGGTAAAAAAAAAATCGATTAAGTAATATAACAACTGCAAAGTATTAAATTAAGTTGGAATCAGCCTTCAATTAGGATGTCATTTTATATTATATAAGCCAATAGTTAAGCATTTAATGAAATCAGTATACTTTTTTTCACAGCTATAAATAAAAGTATGCAAAATAGAATATTTGTCTTTCACTTAATTTTGCAGGTCTTGAAGCTTTCACAAGAATTTGCACAATTAAATCATTTTACTCTAGGGGGAAAAACTGCACCTTCTAATTTAATTACAAGTGAAAATACCTGTAAAGATCCTGAATCTAATGAACCAATTTTGGAAACAGAAATTCAAAGCCGAAAGGAAGAGACAGAGGAACTCTGGTAAATTGGGAAAATCCTATATCACATTAATTATTCAGAGAGGGTATATTTTATTTGGCTTGATCATTATAAGAATTTGACATTCGGCTGGGTGCAGTGGCTTAAGTCTGTAATCCCAGCACTTCGGGAGACTGAGGCAGGCAGATCGCTTGAGCTCAGGAGTTTGAGACCAGCCTGGGCAACATGGCAAACCCCATCTCTACAAAAAACAAAAATTAGCCTGGCATGATGATGTGTGTCTGCAGTCCCACCTACTCGGGAGGCTGAGGTGGGAAGATTGCTTGAGCGTGGGAGGTGGAGGTTGTAGTGCGCCATGATTGTGTCACTGCACTGCAGCCTGGGCAACAGAGCTAGACCCTGTTTCAAAATTAATAATAATAATAATAATAATTTAATATTCATTTCCAAATTATGTGAGTGGAAAAATTAGTTATAAGCATTCTCCAAAAAGTTCGTCTTTTGATATATTATTACATTTTAAAACTTTTTTCCTGCTTTCAAACAACGAATGTATGCGGCCTGTTACATATGCACAGTTGCTCATGCCTGTAATCCCAGCACTTTGGGAGGCCAAGGCGGGCGGATCACCTGAGGCCAAGAGTTCGAGATCAGCATGACCAACATGGAGAAACCCCATCTCTACTAAAAATACAAAATTAGCTGGGCGTGGTGGTGCATGACTGTAATCCCAGCTACTCGGGAGGCTGAGGCAGGAGAATCACTTGAACCCAGAAGGTGGAGGTTGCGGTGAGCCGAGATCACGCCATTGCACTCCAGCCTGGGCAACAAGAGTGAAATTCTGTCTCAAAAAAAAAAAAAAATATATATATATATATATATATATATATATATATATATATATAGTATTCTAATAAAAGGATATATATATATCCTTTTATTAGAAGACTTAGAAAGCATGCAAAAGTATAAGGAAATTATAACAACCCTTAATTCTCACCAGGGAAAGATGTTAAGATGTTAACATCCTAATTTGTCTTTCTTTTTTCTATATACATACACATATATGTATATTTTTACATAATTATGACTATACTCTGCAGAGTTTGTTTTTTGCTGTCTCTATTTTACATTGCAAATGATAATTTTTTGACCACTTTTCTCTTATTTATCTATCTATCTGTCTATCTATCTATCTATCTTGTTAATTTTGCCCTCTAAAGGTACTTCTACTTTTCTAACCAAAAGTATCTTTCACAGAAACGTGAGGCTTTGGCAAGTGCACTACTCTTCCTGGGCACATAAGTTAATAGTTGCAATCAAATTTTGTCTGGGAAAAAGTCTAGAACTAAATAATCAAAAGGAAACAATGATGTCAATTTTGACATATACCATACTAAAGGATACATTCATCAATGAAGTGAGAAAATATAGTCTAGATGTAGACAAAGTTATATCTTTGTAAATGTTCTAAAGATAGAAGGAGATTATTTTGCGAGTTTGGGGCTCCTAAATATTATGCCCTCTTAAAAGTTGCTTTAACTTTAGAGTAAGCTTTGAGTCCAAGATTCACAATTATGAAACCTAGTTGCAGATGTGGGAGAGCATCTTGGAGTGACGATGGGGAAGGGGTATGATAATGGTCACAAAAACAGAGAGCCAAGAAGCAACATCACAGCATTTAGGTTTGCTGTAGGGAAAGAGAAAGTCTAGTTCTTGAGCACTGGAACAGTGTCTTACAGGATTTTTGAGGAAGATTGTTCTAGTATCTCTTTATTAGATAAAATGGAGATGGAAGATAGACCAATTAATCTATATATGAGTGATAGATGAAGAGATGGTTGCCTACATTGAGTAAGTGGCAATGAAGATGAAATGGTCAATCTGAAAGTTCTTCAAAAAGGAGCTGACATAAATAATCAAATCTGACAAAAGTCCACCCAGGTGATTTTGGGTAATTGGCAGGGATACTTGCCGTGGGGAGCAAGGATGTGGCTTTAATTCATCTAGGGGTGGGAAACCTTGCCATAAGAAAGATAATGGCCTTCCCTCTTAAGAGCTCCTTGATGCCACCTGTTTCCAGGACTTGGTCCAATCTGCTTCCCATAACTGGGACTCTGAAAAGTCTAGGTATCTGCCATCTGCCTCCTTCTCCTTTTTTTCTCATAATGTTTTCCTACTTGTTTATCTCCTATTCCCCTCTTCACAGCCTCCCCTCATCATGGGTCCATAACACAACCACATTTGGCAAGACATTGTGTATCTACCATGTGTCAGGCACTGTAGGGAGGTACCGAAGATGTAAAATAAGACACAGTTTCTTATCCTTATGGTCCACATAGTCTGATGGAGAAAAATGGTTAAACAAGGCAGTACTGAGTACTATGGGAACACAAAGCATGGGCTCTGGCCCAGGCTAATGAATCAAAAAATATTCTTAAAGGAAGTCTGAGTAATCAGGGGCCAAGCAAAAAGATGGGAGAATAATTTTCAGGGGAGATATGGCATGTTCAAGAGAAAGCATGGTTTGTTTGAGGCCCTAAAAGTGACCTCTATGCTGCT
Organism: Homo sapiens; assembly: GCF_000001405.40. Classification (NCBI taxonomy): domain Eukaryota; kingdom Metazoa; phylum Chordata; class Mammalia; order Primates; family Hominidae; genus Homo; species Homo sapiens. Next base: position 42,548,100 of record NC_000001.11, read on the forward strand.
ATAGCATGGAGTGTGAAGAGAGGAAATGGGGAACAGGATGATGAGAATGAAGAGGCAGGCAGAGGCCTGATCATGAAGGGACACGAAGACCTGTATTAGGGAGTTTGGACAGTGGGAAACTACTACAGTGTTTGGTAGCGTGGAGGATACTAGAACAGGCTAGAGAAGCTGAATTTATTTGGCTCATCTGTCTTTGAGAATAGATGATATTCTTTAGTAATATTCAGCAGTTTAGTATAGGCAAGAGAAGACAGTTGGATTTATCCAGGGTTGGGGTTTTGCCATGTGAGTGCAGTGGAAAGACAATGGGGTAAGAGAGTTGACCATTTTATTTAGACAGTGATTGAAATAATGAACTCTAAACTCTATATTGGATTTGGAAGCAAGTAAAACAAGGGCTTTTTATCAGTAAAATGGATAGAAAAATAGACAAGGAATTGCAGATACTATGATTGCCTTGGGACCAAGTTATATAAAAAGGAAAAGCTGGAATGCAATATTTAATTTTAATATTTCAGAAGTGAAATAGTTGCTGCTGCTGACAACTCATGACATGGTCATGCAATTAGTTGACAAAATAGGAGAGATGAGAAGGTAATTGGAGAGAAGGAGATGGAAGAAGCGATGCCAAGGCATTCATGGGTGGTCTCTATGGGACTTGCAATCTTCCAGTATGATGGCAGGACTTGGGGTGAAGAAGGTGACAGAAAGCCATGAGCCAGAGTCTTCAATTGAAGTGAAGTAGCAAGTGGTACAGCATACCTAGCATGGGCACATGCACACAGAAGCTGCTTATAAGCCAAGTTGATTGATTGATCCTTACAGTACATCTCTTCTACTAGATTTTAAGCTCCTTTAAGGTATTAAGGTAATGGGCCGTGTCTTGTTTTTCTGTTTATAGTTCTTTTGTCATAGAGTAACGGACTCTTAGAACTGGAAGGACCTTCAGGAGATCTTCCAACTTAGCAGTTTTCAAACTTCTACTTCCCAAAACTTTAGGAATTCTGCAGAGGGGCCTCAGAAATTACCTTGTAAGATGAGGAAGGACTGATGAGCGGGACCATTGAGCCCTCCATTCCCATTTCACCCAGAGAAGCTCCACTTTTATGTTTCATATATTGGGTTTTGTGTAAGATTTTTAATTCAATAAAGGGTCCACAGCTAAAATAAGTTTGAAAACCACTGATATTTAGCTAAGTCTTCTTTTTTCACAAATGAGGTCTCTGAGACCAAGAAAACTGAAATGACTATTTCATTCACAATCACATACACAGCAAGCTACCAGCAGGACTGGGATGAGGACCCAAGTCTCCTAACGCTGAGTCACGAGAAGTACTACTTTATCTGCTTTGGAGAAGATGTAGTCACAAATATCGCAAGGGCAAGAAGGTCTTGGGACACTTGGGTTCTAGGTCACTTTCTCAGAAAATGAGCTTTATGGTGCTGAAAAATCGCTTAGGGCACAGTCTCTCTATATGTATAACATGAGAGGTAGGGTGGGAGGAACTCTTCTAAGCCCAGACTCTCTTGTTCTTGACTATGTCTCCAGTGTCTAGAACAATGCCAGACACATAGTAGGTACTCACAAAATATTTGAGTAAATGAAAATTTCCCCCTACTCCTACTGTGTACAATGGGTATACAATTGCACTATCTTGCAACTGAATCCGAAGTTGGAATTCCAATAGCAGCCCCAAGCTTATAGAGCCCAGCTGATCTCAGCCTGTCCTTGTTTTATTAGGAAGCTTGGGCCAGAACAGCCAGTGGCTTCCTTGACCTTAATGAGCTTTGTTCTTTCCAACACACTCTCATTCACTATTTCATTGCATCGTTTCTACCTTTATCAAGGGTTGTTTGATAAGTGTTCAAGTCCATTTTAATTTCAAGTTCAACTTGATGTTGACTTTCTGTCTCCTTCACAGACTACCAATGTATTTTTCATCCTCCTCCAAACTATTTCTTCCCCAGTCCAATCTGTTCAGTGAATAGCCCCTCCATTCACACATTGATCAAGCCAAAACCTAGGAGTCACCTTTGATTCTTCCCCACATCTGTTCCACCAACACATCCTGTCACTTCTACCATGAAAACATAAAATATTGAATCTGTTCACTTCTATCTATATTTCCACTGTTGCTACCCTACTCCATAGCACTGATATCACTCATCAGGACTGTTACATATCTTCCTAATTGTCCTCCCTGCTTCCATACCCTCCTCCCAATCCATTCTCCATGGAGTAGCCAAATGGTCTTTTCTAAATGCAAATCGAATAATATTGTTCTCTCTCTTAAAACCCTCTCCATGGCTTCCTATTGCACTTAAAATCTAAACCATTACCATGACCCATAAGGCCCTCCATGACTTGGCCTCTACCTACCTCCTCCTCATCTTGCTGCCTTTTAGATCCTCCAACTTTTAAAGGACTTTCCTGCTTCAGGACCTTTGCACTAAAAGGTTCCCCTGTTCAGAATAGTCCTCCCCCAGCTTTTCATGTGGCTAACTCCTTCTCAGAGTGGTAATTCCTAACTGCCATGTCTAGGCAAATTATAACTCCTACTTTCCAAATACTTTACCATGTCACCTTGTTTGTGACTTATCATAGTTGGTAATTATCTTATTTGTTTGTGTGTTTGTTTCTTGTCCTCCTCTAGATGTAGGCTATGTGAGGGCACAGACCTGGCTGTGTTGATCACTTATTTGAATCCTTAGTATGTGGAGTAGTGCTTGTCATATAGTTGATATTCAACATATATTTGACAAATAAATGACTGAATCTTTTTCTTCCTCTGTGGGAACAAAGTTTCATCGTTAGCCACCCCTATTCTGTTCTACTAGGCTTTAATTCACTTTAATGATATCTTTTTTATTTTTTATTCATTTTTTATTATACTTTAAGTTCTAGGGTACATGTGCACAATGTGCTGGTTTGTTACATATGTATACATGTGCCATGTTGGTGTGCTGCCTTGCAGGTTTTCAAAATGCCTTTACATTTTACTTCAAAAATCCCAAAAAGCTTATGAGAAAGGAAAGACCACCTTGCAAATGAAGAGATTGAGACTCTGAGTGATTGTGCCTTGTAGAAGGTTACGTAAATAGTAGGTGGAAGATACAGGACTAGCACTCATGGTTTCTACTGTACTGTGCTCTTTCTTGAATCTGTATATGTTTGAGACTGCTGTGCATGTATGCTACTAGAAAAGGAATAGGACAGGGTTGCTGCCTAGATACCTCCCACCAGTTGAAGACTGGTGACAATTGCAGAAGTATTGCATGATGTAAAAAAGCAGAAGCTGGGGGAAGGGAGGTGTTTCAATAAGAACTAGGTAATAAATCCTTTCAGTTAAAAATTAAGAACTACAACAGGAGGAAGCAAAAATTTGAGAGTCATGGTGGGTTTTCCGGTTTTTAAGATGCAGACGTGCTGGCTATAGGACATGTTCTCAACTCCATATAATTTTTGGCTGATAGTCTGCTTTTGCCCACACAACTTTAATGCAATACATAATATTATTATTATGTGAACATAATAATAAAGTAATACATACTATTAGGTATTACTTTTAAAAATCTGTTCAGCCTTCCTTTGGTTTCTAAGTATACACATTTTCTCTTATACCTTTTGAAAGGATAAATTCTGGTGTGTGTGTGTGTGTGTGTGTGTGTGTGTGTGACTGGAACTTGCTGTGTCATCCAGGTTGGAGTGCAGTGGTGCCATCACAGCTCACTACAACATCGACCTTCTGGGCTCAAGTGATCCTCCCACCTCAGCCTCCTGAGTAGTTGGGACCACAGGCACATAGGTACATGCCACCACATCCAGCTAATTTTTAAAATTTTTTTGTAGAGACGGAGGTTTCCCTATGTTGCCCAGGCTGGTCTCGAACTCCTGGGCTCAAGTGATCCTCCCACTTTGGCCTCCCAAAGTGCTGGGATTACAAGCATGAGCCACTGTACCTAGCCAAATTCTGTTCTTTTGGGGGAGCATTTATTTTCATGGATTCTTGTCCTGATGTATCAATATCACTTAAATATTAAATCCCTGTATTCCCAGGTATTGCTAGTTCTCCTTAATTTACTAATTAACTGATTCATGTGAATGCAATTTATTTATCCAGCCCATTAATAAAAATGTAAAATGGCATTAGCCCAGAATTGTATCCTGGAGAGCACTGCTCATTCCTTCCAAGTCAGGGAAAACTCCTTGACCGCCATGCTCTGAATGTGGCTGTACAGGCACATCTCATGGACCCACCAAAGAGGAGGGACACTTAAACCTTGTCTTTAAACTATGGAAACATAACAAAGGCCACTTCTGTTCTTCTATGGCCATTATGTATTTACAGAAGGAAATTAAATTGGTCTGGTTAAGTCTGGTCTTTATAAAGTCATTCATCCTTCTTAATGTGACAAATGAGACACCTTCATATATATTAAATTTAAAGCACCAATTCATGGATTTTCCATTTTTTAAATGGAAAAATATACTTTAAATGGAAAAATTTTAAAAAAAATTATTTTGAGGTAATTGCAGGAGGAAGGGTTCCTTATTACAGCTGGTGAGGATGGGAATTCCTTTTCTCCAGTAGCCTCCACTTACAGCACATGGCTGAGAAGGGGAGGAGTGACTTGTGACTTCTCTCCCCGGGGCCGCCACTGATACCACAAGGCAGGTGGGTGGGGGTGGCTTATTGTGCTAGGTGGTGGCCTCCTCTGACACCGCCCCAGTGGAAAGGGAGAAGTGTGCCTCCTCCCTTCCAGGTGGGTTGGAATTCTAAACTCACCACCTGGTCTCCCCTCACACTGCAGGGTAGGGGAGCTCTTTATTATTCGGCAGGGATAAAAGTCCCTTATCCCTACTTGGCCTTCTCTGACACCACCCCAGTCAGGGAATTGGAATCCCTTATTACAGCCTGGTGAGGGTGGAAATCTAGGCTCCCAATTTGGGCTTTGCTGGCATAAGTGGAGGTGAAGGCACAGTTTTTTCTGTGACGTTCAGCTGGAGTAGGTAGGTGTCCAAAATTGTGTTTCTTCCTTGGCCTTTTCTGGTGCTTTGGCTAAAGATGGCAGACTTTTGTTTGGACTTTTTTGTTTTTTTTTTGTTGTTGTTTTTGTTTGTGCTTGTTGACATTGTCTGGGTTGCTGTCTTCTTCAGCTACAACTCAGGGATCTGTGAGGCAAAAAGAACACCCAGGAAACTCACAGCCATGTCGTTCCTTGGGTCTTGAGTTCCCTAGCTGGTCTGCCTTCTTCTTTCCACCTTTCAAAGTCTTTTAATGTTTGTTTTATATATAATGTTCAGAGTTTTTAGTTGTACTTAATGGTAAAAATAGGGGGAAAGTGTGTCTACTCCATCTTCTTCGAAGAAAAAGTCCATTTTCTCCATTTAAAAAAAAAATATGAAACTACTGGATGCAGTGGCTTACACCTGTAATCCCAGCAACTCAGGAGGCTGAGGCAGGAGGATTGTTTGAGCCCAGGAGTTCAAGGCTGCAGTGAGCTATGATCGCCCCACTGCACTCTAGCCTGGGTGACAAGGTGAGATTCCATACACACACACACACACACACACACACACACACACACACACGGTATACATTTGCATTTTCCCAGTCTTAATGTGTGTCTAGCTTCCACTGGATATAAGAAAAGGAAAGGGATTTATAAATGATGGAAAATTTCATTGTTGTTTTATAAAAATTTTTAAAGGCATTTTACCCTTTATCTCATACTGTTTTGCATCATTTGAATATATTATCTTTTAAAAACTGCTAAATTCAAAATAAAATATTTATTTTTTATAGTATTAGAGGAATTTTAAAAGGAATAAAACACTCCCTAGACACAATTTTTCTCCCTGTTCCTTTCCAGCTTTTTCTAGACATTTTCCCATAGTATATATATATATGTATGTATGTGTGTACACACGTTAATACATACATGTTTATTTGTTTTTGCGCCACAATTTTACTTTGATAAGTAGTTTTCATGTTTATGAATAGTCTTGAGGTCACTTTTAAGTTGAAGCATCTTTAATTCTCTTAGCCATTTCCATATCTCTATTTAGTATGAGCATTATTGTACAGTCATCTTTTTTCTTCTTATGGATTATTTTATTGCAGTAAACTCATTCATATGCAATTATTCAAAGATTATGGACATTTTATGGCTTCTTTTTTTTTTTTTTTTTGTGGAGACAGAGTTTCCCTCTGTCATCCAGGCTGGAGCGCAATAGTGCAATTTCTGCTCACTGCAACTTCTGCCTCCTAGGTCCAAGAGATTCTCCTGCCTCAGCCTCCCAAGTAGCTGGGACTATTGGTATGTACCACCACACCTGGCTAATTTTTGTATTTTTAGTAGAGACAGGGTTTCGCCATGTTGACCAGGCTGGTCTCGAACTCCTGACCTCAGGTGATCCGCCCACCTCACCTCCCAAAGTGCTGGGATTACAGACGTGAGCCACCACACCTGACCATGGCTCTTGATCTGTACTGCCAAATTGATTTCTTGAAGAATATGATTACCAACTATAATCTGTGAAGCATGCTGTGCTAGGTTTCAGGGTACTCAAAACAAAATTTAAGATTGAGGGAATAAAAATAAAACCAGCATATTTGTGTTCATTCTCCTTGTCATCCACACTCTCTAACCATTGAAGGTGCATTCCCTCCTCTTGGTTTCTGTGGCTTTCACCTCCTCTGCTTGTTCCTTACAAGTTTTTAGGCTTCTGTCTAGGATGATCTGCCTCCTCTTACTTTCCCCTTTCTCCCTGGTTCGTCTTATCCAGTCCCAGTGTTTCTGCTCACGTTCTTCTGTGTCTGTATCCTCACCACAGACATCTCTGTAGTCAGTCTATAGCCACATTCCCACATGTTGGTCTACCATCCACTTGTCCATTTCCCAAGTCAGAAATCCAGGTCATGATGATTCCTTTTTCTCCCTTACCTGCCACATCCAATAAATGACAAACCTTATCAATACTGTCTTTTAAATATCTCCAGAGTCCATCATAGTTCTATTTATTGTTATTTATTACATGGATTATTACAACAGTCTCTCAAATGGTTTCCCTGCCACATGGCATCCAAATAATATTTCTAAAGCACCTTCTCTCTTTTGCTTCGGGGTTTTACATATCTTATTTATTAAATCATTTTGGCACACCTTTGCTTGTTCATGTTCTCATCTATACCAACACCCACCTTCCCCAACGTCCATACACACATGCAAGTACATACACACTCCTTCCTCCCTTTACATTTGTTTAGCTTGTGCCTACTCATCCATCAGGCCTTGTATTACTTACTACTCATTTCTCACTAAATTGTAAGCTCATTTCTTATCCTCATTCATCACTAAATTGTAAGCTCCTTGGGGCACAGATCATGTCCTGTTGAAGCCCTAGTGCCTGCCAAAGTGGCTAGTGCTTATTAAAATCATTATAACCTGTGTCTGCTCAATGCCATACTAAAAGTTGAAAAAGTATAAAACTCATTTAAACTGGCAGTTTGGCTGTAAATGAAAACCTGTGATGGGTCATCTCCCTGAATGTAAGTAAAAAATGTGACTCATCTGTGGGTTTTCTTTTATTTTTTATTTTTTGAGACACAGTCTCACTCTGTCACCCAGGCTGGAGTGCAGTGGCACAGTCTTGACTCACTGCAACCTCCACCTCCTGGGCTTAAGTGATTCTCATGTCTCAGCCTCCTGATGAGTAGCTGGGACTACAGGCATACACCACCACACCTGGCTAATTTTTGTACTTTTAGTAGAGACGGGGTTTCACCATGTTGGCCAGGCTCGTCTCCAGCTCCTGACATCAGGTGATCCGCCCATCTCGGCCTTCCAAAGTGCTGGGATTACAGGCATGAACCACCATGCCCGGCCGACTTATGTTTTTAAAGTTTATTTTTAAGAATAAGATGACTGTTGTGCTATAGAATTCAGGTTGAAAATCTTGTTTGCAACACTGTCTTGACTTGTAGCTTTTTTTTCCCGATTCTACTACTATAATAAGCATTTTGATAGATTTTATTCTTATATTTGCACCAAGTCCCAAATTAGGAGAAAGAAAGCAGAAGGAAATTCCAGAGGAGTCAGTAAAGGAGGGCAGTTTTCCAAGAGAGGGGCAGAAGGAGGAGGGCTCACAACAGAATCGAGATATGAAAGATGAAGAAAAAGAACAGCAGTTAACCATGAAGCCTGAGGAAATTGTGAGGCTTAGAGAAGAGCTGAGCCATATAAATCAGAGCCTTCTTCAGTCTCAGAGCTCTGGGGATAGTTCAGATGACAGTGGTGCCCAGGTAGGTGCTATAAACACATGCCCTGACTGGGTTCGTTTCCTCTGATTGGCTGTGGATATAAGCATCATTTTAAATACCATCATTCATATATATGTTTTTTTTTATTTTTTTAGGTACATAGTAGATGTGTGTATTTATGGAGTACATGAGATGTTTTAATACAGGTATACAATGCATAAAAACCACATATGGAGAATGGGGCATCCATCCCCTTAAGCATTTATCCTTTGTATTACAAACAATCCAGGTACACTCTTTGAGTTATCATATACATTTGTGAGCAATATTATAACCATGGCCTGAATAGTAGCAAAATAGCAAGTAAAATCTGAACTAAGTCCATCAGTTGATGCACTTTATTATAAAATGTTCATAAACTCCATCTAAGCTCAGCAGGAAAATTACCGATTGACTGTTGACATCTGCCCTAGCCAGACAGGATTTGGGGATGGTAGGATGCACCACATTTTCCATTTCTGGTATGTAGCTTACTAGACAGAGTACTTCATTTTAGTGAGGAAAATACGACAGACATTTTATTATTTTAATTATGGCTTTTGCTATTTTACTAGGGATCTGCCTGTAGGAGAAATAAAAGTAGTGACTATAGCCACATTTTGGTTCTTACACCTCATTTTACAGGTTCTCTCTTACACAAATTAAAATTTCCTTACATACACCTTTCCAGAAATTATTTTGAGATCCACAGAAGGGAGGCCTTTGTACTCATAAGTAAATAGAAGGCCGATAATATACATTTGAAAAGTGATTCAAGTATACGTTTAGAAAAAGAGTAGCAATAAAGGAAGTTAAAAAATATATTTGAAAGGATTCAGATACAGAGTTTGAAAACTAGACAAGTCACAGTAAATGGGGAAAATATTTACCTGAAAGGAGATTTAGATACACCTGTGAAAGGAAAAGGAGTCACTGAATTTGTTCAGAAGACCAAAGGGGAACATGACATCAAATATTTAAGAAGAGATTACTTTTACAGCTCCAGATGGACATTGGTCAGTGGACATTGGCCAGTGTGGGAGGCTTGAGCAGAAGCTGAACACTGTGATCACAAAGATTATCAAATATTTTCTTAGCCAGTAGTCTTCACTCTATTGCCACAATAGGAATGAACTTGCCATTGGGACCAGTATTTTATGAAGTTCATTTGTACTTAATGTTTATTTTATTAAAATAAAATGTTAAAAATTTTAAACAATAAAATATTTAAATAATTAAATAAAATATTTTATTTATATTAAATATATTAAATAAAATATTTTATTTATATTAAATATATTAAATAAAATATGTAAATAATAAAATATTTAAAATTTTAAAATATTAAAAGCTGATAAAATTAGGATAGTTAAGGCTAGTTCCAATTTGTTTTATTTTAATTCTTAAGGAATTTGTAATTCCTTAAGACGGAAAAGATGTTAGGCATCATCTGGTCTTATGTCTTTAATTTACAGATGAATAAATGAAGACTAAGAAAGGGTAATTGGCTTAATAGATCTGTTGACTGAGAAAAAAACAAAAGACCCCTGTGTACTTACCTTGCTCTTTTTTGTGGTTCCTAGTAACCTGATTGAGTGTTTATGCTCTGCAGTAACTTTCTACCAGGATTATATGGTGGGAAAAAAAATAGAGACTCTTGTTGGCTGCTTGTCTAGTAGCTAGCTGCTTCAACAGTTGACTTTCTTGAAAAATAATTTGCATTTCTACTCTGGCAGAGTGACTGAACTGGAAAATGTAGATGAGAAGAACTACTGTTCTGGTTTTTCCATCCTTCAAAAGAAGCTAAAACTTTTGGGCCTTTGTCCTCTTGGTAAAACTGGGGTGCATCTCTTGTATACAGTATCTCTGTTTTGGTATGTTAACCTATAGGCTGTTGATTATTAATTAATTGTTAAAAGCTGTTATATAATGGTTAAACAAGAAGGTAGAATGGTGATCAAGGCATTCCATGTTGTTTGCAGATGGAAAATGAAGACAGTTAAGGGAAAATTAGGAAGCATCAACAGTAATGGGAAACATTATTGAGTGCTTATTAAGTGCCAGACATTGTGCTAAGTGCTTGCATGTGTTATCTTTCTAACTCATCACCCCATCCAGCAGTAATCATTATTATCCATATCTTAAGATGAGGGAATTGAAGTATAGAAGATGAAGTAATCTTTCCAGGATCACCCATTGATAAGCAGTAGATTCAGGATTGAAACACAGGCGTGTCTAATTCCAAAGTGAGGGTTCTGCTACAATTGATTGGAGTACCAGAAGGAGACGGGGAGACTGGAAATAAGCTGGAAAACACACTTCAGGATATTATTCAGGAGAACTTCCCAAACCTAGCAAGACAGGCCAACGTGCAAATTCAGGAAATACAGAGAACACCATTAAGATACTCCATGAGAAGATCAACTCCAAGACACATAATCATCAGATTCTCCAAGGTTGAAATGAAGGAAAAACTGTTAAGAGCAGCCAGAAAGGCCAGGTCACCTACAAAGGGAAGCCTATCAGTTTAACAGTGGACCTCTCAGCAGAAACTCTACAAGCCAGAAGAGATTAGAGGCCAATATTCCACATTCTTTAAGAAAAGAATTTTCAACCCAGAATTTCATATCCAGCAAAACTAAGCGTCATAAGTGAAGGAGAAATAAAATCCTTTTCAGACAAGCAAATGCTGAGGGATTTCATTACCACCAGGCCTGCGCTGCAAGAGCTCCTGAAAGAAACACTAAATATGGAAAGGAAAAACCGGTACCAGCCACTGCAAAAACACACCAAAATATAAAGACCAATGACACTACGAAGAAACTGTATCAACTAGTGTGCAAAATAATCAAATAGCATCATGATAACAGGATAAGATTCACACATAACAATACTAACCTTAAATGTAAATGAGCTAAATGCCCCAATTAAAAGACACAGACTGGCAAATTGGATAAGGAGTCAAGACCCATTGGTGTGCTATGTTCAGGAGACCCATCTTATGTGCAAAGACACACACAGGCTCAAAATAAAGGGAGGGAGGAAAATATACAAAGCAAATGGAAAGCAAAAAAAAGCAGGGGTTGCAATCCTAGTCTCTGACAAAACAGACTTTAAACCAACGAAGATCAAAAAAGACAAAGAAGGGCATTACAAAATGGTAAAGGGAACAATTCAACAAGAAGAGCTAACTATTCTAAATATATATTCAACCAATACAGGAGCACCCAGAATCATAAAACAAGTTCTTAGAGACCTACAAAGAGACTTAGACTCCCACACAATAGTAGTGGGAGACTTTAACACCCCACTGTCAGTATTAGACAGATCGAGACAGAAAATTAACAAGGATATTCAGGACTTGAACTCTGCTCTGGATCTAATGGACCTAGTAGACGTCTACAGAACTCTGTACCCCAAATCAACAGAATATACATTCTTCTCAGTGCAACATGGCACTTATTCTAAAATCGACCACATAATTGGAAGTAAAACACTCCTCAGCAAATGCAGAAGGACTGAAATCATAACAAATGGTCTCTGAGACCACAGTGCAATCAAATTAGAACTCAGGATTAAGAAACTCACACAAAACCATGCAATTTCATGGAAATTGAACAACCTGCTCCTGAATGACTTCTTGGTAAATAATGGAATTAAAGCAGAAATCAAGAAGTTCTTTGAAACCAATGAGAACAAAGAGACAAGTTACCAGAATCTCTGGGACACAGCTAAAGCAGTGGTAAGAGGGAAATTTATACCACTAAATGCCCACAATAAGAAGGCTAGAAAGATCTCAAATCGACACCCTAACATCACAATTAAAAGAGCTAGAGAGGCAGAGCAAACTAATCCAAAAGCTAGCAGAAGATAAGAAATAACTAAGATCAAAGAAGAGTTGAAGGAGATAGAGACATGAAAAACTCTCTAAAAATCAATGAATCCTGGAGCTGTTTTTATTGTTGTTGTTGTTGTTTTTGTTGTTGAGTCAGAGTCTTGCTCCATCACCCAGGCTGGAGTGCAGTGGTGTGATCTTAGCTCACTGCAACCTCTGCCTCCTGGGTTCAAGTGATTCTCCTACCTCAGCCTCCCAAGTAGCTGGGATTACAGGCACGCACCACCATGCCTGGCTAATTTTTTGTATTTTTAGTAGAGACAGAGTTTCATCGTGCTGGCCAGGCTGGTCTCGAACACCTGACCTCATGATCCTCCCACCTTGGCCTCCCAAGTGCTGTTATTACAGGTGTGAGCCACTGCACCCGGCCCAGGAGCTGGTTTTTTGAAAAAATTAACAAAATAGACCACTAGCTAGACTAATAAAGAAGAAGGGAGATAAGCATCAAATAGACACAATAAAAATGACAAGAGGATATCACCATTGACTCTGCAGAAATACAAACTACCATCAGAGAATATTATAAACACCTCTATGCAAATAAACTAGAAAATCTAGAAGAAATGGATAAATTCCTGGTTGCATACACCCTACCAAGACTAAACCAGGAAGAAGTTGAATCCCTGAATAGACCAGTAACAAGCTCTGAAATTGAGGCAGTAATTAATAGCCTACCAACCAAAAAGAGCCCAGGACCAGACAGATTCACAGCTGAATTCTACCAGAAATACAAAAAGGAGCTGTTAGCATTCCTTCTGAAACTATTCCAAACAATTGAAAAGGAGGGACTCCTCCCTAACTCATTTTATTAAGCCAGCATCATTCTGATACCAAAACCATGAAGAGACACAACAAAAAAAGAAAACTTCAGGCCAATATCCCTGATGAACATCGATGCAAAAATCCTGAATAAAATACTGGCAAACCAAATCCAGCAGCACATCAAAAAACTTATCCACCACAATTAAGCTGGCTTCATCACTGGGATGCAAGGCTGGTTCAACATACACAAATGAATAAACATAATCCATCACATAAACGGAACCAAAGACAAAAACACATGGTTATCTCAATAGATGCAGAAAAGGCCTTTGATAAAATTCAACATCCCTTCATGTTAAAAACTCTAAATAACCTAGGTATTGATGGAACATATCTCAAAATAATAAAGAACTATTTATGACAAACTCATAGCCAATATCATATTGAATGGGCAAAAGCTGGAAGCATTCCCTTTGAAAACCAGTGCAAGACAAGGATGCCCTCTCTCACCATACCTATTCAATATAGTATTGGAAGTTCTGACCAGGGCAGTCAGGCAAAAGAAAGAAATAAAGGGTATTCAAATAGGAAGAGAGGAAGTCAAGTTGTCTCTGTAGATGACATGATTTTATATTTAGAAAAACCCATCATCTCAGCCCAAAAACTTCTTGAACTGATAAGCAACTTCAGCAAAGTCTCAGCATACAAAATCAATGTGCAAAAACCACAAGTATTCCTTTACACCAACAATAGGCAAGCAGAGAATCAAATCATGAATGAACTCCCACTCACAATTGCTACAAAGAGAATACCTAGGAATACAGCTAACAAGGGATGTGAAGGACCTCTTCAAGGAGAACTACAAACCACTGCTCAAGGAAATAGGAGAGGACACAAACAAATGGAAAAATGTTCCATCCTAACATCCTAATGGATAGGAAGAATCAATATCAGGAAAATGGCCATACTGACCAAAGTAATTTATAGATGCAATGCTATTCCCATCAAACTACCATGACATTCTTCACAGAATTAGAAAAAACTATTTTAAATTTCATATGGAATCAAAGAAGACCCCATATAGCCAAGACAATCCTAAGCAAAAAGAACAAAGCTGGAGGCATCACACTACCTGACTTCAAACTATACTACAAGGCTACATTAACCAAAACAGCATGGTAGTGGTACCAAAACAGACATATAGACCAATGGAGCAGAACAGAGACCTCAGAAATAACACCACACATCTACAACCATCTTATCTTCGACAAACCTGACAAAAACAAGCAATGGGGAAAGGCTCTCCTATTCAGTAAATGGTGCTGGGAAAACTGGCTAGCCATATGCAGAAAAATGAAACTGGACCCCTTCCTGACACCTTAAACAAAAATTAACTCAAGATGGATTAAAGACTTAAATGTAAAACTCAAAACCACAATAACCCTAGAAGAAAACCTAGGCAATACTATTCAGGACATAGCCATGGGCAAAGACTTCATGACAAAAACGCCAAAAGCAATTGCAACAAAAGCCAAAATTGACAAAATGAGATCTAATTAAACTAAAGAGCTTCTGCACAGCAAAAGAAACTATCATTAGAGTGAACAGGCAACCTAGAGAATGGGGGAAAAATTTTGCCATCTACCTATCTGACAAAGGTCTAATATCTAGAATCTACAAGGAACTTAAACATATTTACAAGAAAAAAACAACCCCATCAAAAAGTGGGTGAAGGATATGAACAGACACTTCTCAAAAGAAGACATTTACGTGGCCAACAAACATATGAAGAAAAGCTCAACATCACTGATCATCAGAGAAATGCAAATCAAAACCACAATGAGATACCATCTCATGCCAGTCAGAATGGCGATTATTAAAAAGTCAGGAAACAATAGATGCTGACGAGGCTGTGGAGAAATAGGAATGCTTTTACATTGTTGGTGGGAATGTAAATTAGTTCAACCATTGTGGAAGACAGCATGGTGATTCCTCAAGGATCTAGAACCAGAAATACAGTTTGACCCAGCAATCCCATTACTGGGTATATACCCAAAGAAATATAAATCATTCTACTGTAAAGACACATGCACACATATGTTTATTGCAGCACTATTTACAATAGCAAAGACATGGAACCAACTCAAATGCCCATCAGTGATAGATTGGATAAAGGAAATGTGGTATATATACACCATGGAATACTTTGCAGCCATAAAAAGGAATGATATCATGTCCTTTGCAGGGACATGGATGAAGCTGAAAGCCATCATCCTCAGCAAACTAACACAGGAACGGAAAACCAAACACTACATGTTCTCTCACTCATAAGTGGGAGTTGAACATTGAGAATACATCGACACAGAGAGGGGAACAACATACACCAGGGCCTGTTGGGGGTAGGGGGTGAGGGGAGGGAACTTAGAGGATGGGTCAATACGTGCAGCAAGCCACCATGGCACACGTATATCTATGTAACAAACCTGCACATTCTGACTATGTATCCTGGTTTTTTTTAGAAGAAATTTTTTTAAAAAGTGGCTGGGCGCGCTGGCTCACGCCTGTAATCCCAGCACTTTGGGAGGCCAAGGCGGGTGGATCACCTTCAGAAGTTGGAGACCAGCCTGACCAACATGGTGAAACCCCGTCTCTACTAAAAATACAAACATTAGCTGGGCATGGTGGCACGCACCTGTAATCCCAGCTACTCAAGAGGCTGAGGCAGGAGAATTGCTTGAACCCAGGAGGCGGAGGTTGTGGTGAGCTGAGATCGCACCACTGCACTCCAGCCTGGGCGACAAAGCGAGACTCCATCTCAAAAAAAAAAAAAGTGAGGCTTCTTCATAATTACATTATAACCCATTGAAGATTTTTTTTTCCTAGGGATCTTGCAGCTCTAAGAAAAGCATATTGTGTTTAGATTGCCTTTCTAGCTAAACCAAAATAGGAATTGAAGAGTTAACAGGACTTGAGGGCTTCTGTGTTACTTTAGGGACATAAGCAAGATAAAACTAAAATAATGACATGGGCTTTTTAGAAAGTTGTAGACAGGAGCATACTGGACCAGGACTAAGGAAACTCTAAGAATATCTTATCTATTGAATTGTATAAGATTGAATTCTTTATCTATTCAGCATACTACTTGTGCCTACCTTTGTAGAAAATCCAAATGACTATTCTCTTATTTCACTGAAGAAGCCTGATAGGAAAGTGTATTGCTGGTGTTTGATACATGTGCTTTTTTTACAGCTTTATTCAGGATTTTTGTTTTTTTTGAGACAGAGTCTCTGTCACTCAGGCTGAAGTGCAATGGCATGATCTTGGCTCACTGCAACCTCCACTTCCTGGGTTCAAGCAATTCTCATGCCTCAGCCTCCCAAGTAGCTGGGACTACAGGTGCGCACCATCACACCCAGCTAAGGGTTTCGCCATGTTGACCAGGCTGGTCTTGAACTCCTGACCTCCCAAAGTGCTAGCATTACAGGCGTGAGCCACCACGCCCAGCCTATTCAGGATTATTGACAAATGTTGTATGTTTGTGATGTACAACCTGATGTTTTGATTTATGTGTACATTGTGAAATGATTAAATCAAGCTAAGTTACATATGTATCATCTCACATACTTTTTTGTGGTGAGAACATTTAAGCTCTACTCTTTTAACAATTTTCAAGTATACAACACATTAAGTATAGTCACTATGTACATATCCAGAATTTATCCTGTCTATCTGAAACTTTGCACCCTTTGACCAGCATCTTCCCATTCCATGCCTCCCCTCCCCAGCCTCTCAACCACCATTCTACTTGCTGCTTCTGTGAGTTCAACTTTATGAGTTCAACTTTTTCAGAGTCCACGTATAAGTGAGATCATGCAGTATTTGTCTTTCTGCGCCTGGCTTATTTCACTTAGCATAATGCCCTCCAAGTTCATTCATGTTGTGACAAATGACAGGATTTCTGTCTTTTTAAAGGCTGAACAGTTTTGCATTGTATGTGTGTTTGTGTTGTGTGTGTATACTATATTTTCTTTTCCATTCATCCATTGATTGACACTTATGGAAAATGTTTCACATTTTTCTTGGCAAAGATTTTTTGGATGTGACTCTAAAAGCAAAAATAGACAAATGGGGTTGCGTCAAGTTAAAAAGCTTCTGCACAGCAAGGGAAACAATCAACAGAGTAAAAAGACAACCTACAGAATGGGCAAAAATATTTATGGATCATACGTCTGATAAGGGGTTAATACCCAAAATATATAAGAAACTCAAACAACTCAATAGCAAGAAAACAAATAATCCAATTTAAAAATAGGCAAAGGATGCAAATAGACATTCTCAAAAGAAGATGTGCAAAAGGCCAACAGGTATGTGAAAAAATGTTCAGCGTCGTGAATTATTAGGGAAATGCAAATTAAAACCACAATGAAATATCACCTCACACCTATTAGAATGGCTTTTATCAAAAAGACAAAAGGTAAGTGTTGGCAAGGATGTGGAGAAAATAGAACACTTCGACACTGTGGGTGGGAATGTAAATTAGTACAACCAATATGGAAAACAGTATGGAGGTTCCTCAAAAAATTAAAAATAGAGCTACCCATATGATCTAGCAATTCCGCTTCCAGGTATATATCCAAGGGATATGAAACCAGTATGTCAAAGAGATATCTGCAGAAGTGATGTGTGTGTGTGTGTGTACACAATGTAATACTATTCATCCTTGAAAGAATGTGTTTTATGGGAGTGTGTTTATGGGAGAAGAATCATCGGGAAATAAAAGAAAGTGATGAGGAAGGCTAGAAACTTAAGGTCTCTTACTAAATTTCCTCTTTCTTTTTGCCAACAGACACCACACAGACACACACACACACACACACATTCACACTCTACTTCTTAACATATGGACTCTTTGAACTTCCCATTTTAAATGTGTTTTACCCTAAAATTGTCTGTGCTTCTATCATTGATATGAAAAATAAGGTAAGTTGTCTGTGCCTAACTGCTTTTGTTAACATAATTTTATTGTTATTTTCACTCTAATATAACATGTATTATATGAACATGTATCAACTATCCATAAATGTAAAAGAGTAGTTTGCTGTAGATAAGCTAACTCCAAAAACATTTACATGTGAATAATCACATTCTGACAATTCCGGTTCTGACAACTTGAACCCATGTTTTACCAATATTCTTTCCAATTGTCTGTGTTTCTCTTTTAAAATGTTTGCTTTAGCATCCATCATCTGGAGAAAAACTAAAATACAACCAGCAAGGGGAAGTACAACAACTTCACCAGAATTTGCACCGGCTCCAGATTCTATGCAACTCAGCTGAAAATGAGCTTCGATATGAACGAGGGCAGAACTTGGACTTAAAGCAACATAATAGCTTACTTCAGGAAGAAAACATTAAGGTAACTCTTGTGGGCAAATGCTTTATGGAAGGGTTTCAGTTGGCCCTGGGAATAAACGAATCTAAGTTCCTCTACTTGATAATTCATGATAGGATCCACAAATATGTGGACAATGTGAGCTATCTGGTAACTTCCTCCTTTAACTTTTCCCTGCTAAGTAAGAATGTGTGTATTATCAACCTGTAAATAGAAAAAGGCATTAAATTACATAATCTTCTGAAAACACTATCTAAAATTTTTAGTACTTACTAAACTTCAGTGACCCGAGCCCTAAACCCTGGTTGTCCTGCCCTGTGTATCACTAGACTTATTTATCCCTATTAGATGTATCCATTATTATTGGTTCAGTCAGATCTCAACTGCACCAAGGTACAATTCGTGGGAGAACAAAGTTGTTCTTCCTAATACAACAGCATGAAATAGTTAAGGCAACATCCCCCAAAAGCTTGTTTAAAAATAATCTATGTAGAACTGCCATACACAGATTCAACTAAATTTTATGGACCACATAAATGTTTAAAATTAACCTCCGTGTAAAATAGTACTTCCTCTTAATTATGGTTCAATTCTGTAAATATACATTAAGGACTTAGTTTCTATAAGCCTCTATTGAAGGTTCTAAAATTCAACATTCAATATTCATATGCAATCTTGTAGACACACTGAGAGTTTAATGGTAGGCACAAAAATCCTTATCCCCATGGTGCAGGGGTCAGCAAACTTTGGCATGTAGGTCAAATTCTGTCTGCCTTCTGTTTTTATAAATAAAGTTTTATTGGCAGCCATATCTGTCTGTTTATATATTATGACTGCTTTTGTGCTACAGCAACAGATTTGATAGTTGTGATGAAACCATATGACCCACAAAGTCTAAAATATTTACTACCTGGCCCTTTATGAGAAAAGTTTGCCCACACCTGGTATAGCAGGATAAAATGATCTTATTTGAAAAGTGACATAAACATGGATAAGAAAGGTCCCTACTTTTCAAGAGCTCACAGTCTAGTAGGGGAGATATAGAGGAAAACAAATATCCGTTTATCCCAAACTTCAAGGAAGGCCTTCTAAGGGAGTTCTCGTATTCCGGGATTATTTGAATAAACCTCTTCCCTGTCCTCACCCTTCATGAGTTTTTGAAGACTGATCATATTCCTTCAAGCCTTTGTAGTTTTAAATTAAATTCTAAATCTTTATCACATGTTCTTATAAGACAGTCTTTCACTTTCCCTTCAAGGACATTTCTTAGATCATTTTAACTCTCCAACTCGGGACATATTCTAACAATACTACATATTTCTTAAGGAACAATGGCCAGAACTACACAGATTATAATGCCTTACATATGATTGGTACCCTATAAATATTTATTGGATTAATGAACAGTCTTTCAGGGATGGATAAATGATAGCTTGGTAACAAGAGAAGATTTTTATTTTTCACTGTTTGTAAAGAGCATGCAGTAAATTTAAAAAAAAAGAGAGAGAGAATTTTTTTTGTCTATTTTAATCTCCATGGTGAGATAAATTATTGGCCATTTAGAAATAAGACATCAGCCTCTTGATTAGCTCCTTTGGCCAGGCACCTATGAAAGTTATATATGATGAGTATCCTTTATTGAGAGTTTGTCCACTTTATCTCTTTTTGTTTGTTTGTTTCTGAGATGGAGTCTCGCTCTGTCACCCATGCTGAAGTGCAGTGGCATGATCTCTGCTCACTGCAACCTCCACCTCCCAGGTTCAAGAGATTCTCCTGCCTCAGCTTCCTGAGTTGCTGGGATTATAGGCGCATGTCACCACGCCCAGCTAATTTTTGTATTTTTAGTAGAGGCAGGGTTTCACCATGTTGGCCAGGCTGATCTCGAACTCCTGACCTCAGGTGATCCTTCCGGCTTAGCTTCCCAAAGTGCTGGGATTACAGGTGTGAGCCACCGGGCACTGCCTGTCTACTTTATCTCTTACGAACAGCCTCACAACCCTAAAGGGTCAGCACTTTATGGATGAGGAAACTGTTCAAGATTGCAAAGCTAACAAATTATAGAGTCAGAACTTGTCAAGTTTGTTTCTCTCTTTCCTTTATAGACATCTTGCCATATTACACCCCTCCTCAATTTGGGTCATTTTGGAACCTCAGCTTTACAAACTTAGGACTCACTTTTAAAAATCCACTCAAGGCCAGGTGCAGTGGCTGACACCTATAATCGTAGCACTTTGTGGGGCTGAGGTGAGCAGATCACTTAAAGTGCTCACGAGTTTGAGACCAGCCTGGCTAACATGGCGAAACCCCATCTCTACTAAAAGTCCAAAAAAAAAAAAAAAGAGTTAGCCGGGCATGGTAGCACACGCCTGTAGTCCCAGCTACTCGGGAGGCTGAGGCATGAGAATTGCTTGAATCCAGGAGGCAGAGGTTGCAGTGAGCCATGATCGGGCCACTGCAATCCAGTCTGGGCGACAGAGTGAGAATCTGTCTCAAAAAAAAAAAAAAAAAATCCATTCAAATTATCAAACTTGAGTATCTAGCTAATGTTAGGCATACTTATGAGACTAAGAAACAAAAACACATGCTCACTTTAGCAGCACATATACTAAAACTGGAATGATACAGAGAAGATTAGCATGGCCCCTGTGCAAGGATGACACGCAAATTTGTGAAGCGTTCCGTATTTTTTAAACTAAAGAGTTTCCGCACAGCAAAAGAAACTATCATCAGAATGAACAGGGAACCTACAGAATGGGAGAAAATTTTTGCAATCTGTCCATCTGGCAAAGGGCTAATATCCAGAATCTACAAGGAACTTAAACACATTTAGAAGAAAAAAACAACCCCATCAAAAAGTGGGTGAAGGATATGAACAGACGCTTCTCAAAAGAAGACATTTATGCAGCCAGCAAACATATGAAAAAAAGCTCATCATCGCTGGTCATTAGAGAAATGCAAATCAAAACCACAATGAGATACCATCTCATGCCAGTTAGAATGGCGATCATTAAAAAGTCAGGAAACAACAGATGCTGGCGAGGATGTGGTGAAATAGGAACGCTTTTACACTGTTGGTGGGAGTGTAAACTAGTTCAACCATTGTGGCAGACAGTGTGGCTATTCCTGAGGATCTAGAACCAGAAATACAATTTGACCCAGCAATCCCATTACTGGCTATACAGCCAAAGGATTATAAATCATTCTACTATAAAGACACATGCACATGTATGTTTATTGCAGCACTATTCACAATAGCAAAGACTTGGAACCAACCCAAATGCCCATCAATGATAGACTGGATAAAGAAAATGTGGCACATATACACCGTGGAATAATATGCAGCCATAAAAAAGAATGAGTTCATGTCCTTTGCAGGGACATGGATGAAGCTGGAAACCATCATTCTCAGCAAACTAAAACAGGAACAGAAAACCAAACACTGCGTGTTCTCACTCATAAGTGGGAGCTGAACAATGAGAACACATGGACACAGGGAGCGGAACATTACACACCAGGGCCTGTCAGTGGGTGGGGGACAAGGGGAGGGATAGCATTAGGAGAAATACCCAATGTAGATGACAGGTTGATGGGTGCAGCAAACTACCGTGGCACATGTATACCTATGTAACAAACCTGCGTGTTCTGCACATGTATCCCAGAACTTAAAGTATAATTTAAAACTAAAATAAATTAATTATTTAAAAATTTAAAAATAAATAAAAATAGTGGCTTGGTGCAGTGGCTCAAGCCTACAATCCTAGGGCTTTGGGAGGCCAAGGCAGGAGGATTGCTTGAGCCCAGGGATTTGAAGCTGCAGTGAGCTATGATCACACCACTGCACTCCAGCCTGGGTAATAGAGTGAGGCCCTGTCTCAAAAAAAAAATTAAATAAACATTAAAATATCACTTTTTCTTTAAAAAAAAGAAAAAGAAACCAAAATACTAACTTATTGCTTTTAAATCATTTTGTTATAAAATATAACACTTAGAAAATGCATAAAACATACAGTTTACCTAGTAGTCATAAAGTAAATAGACAACTAAACACTACCCAGGAGAAGAAATAGAACAATGCCAGCACACTAGTGGCCCCTGCACACCTTGTCCCCATCATAATCCCATCACCTTACCACCCAAAATTAGTAGTAACTGCTAATTTTGGTAATAACTCTCTTGCTTTACTTTATAGTTTTATCAACTATTTATGAATCTCATACAATATAGTTGTTTTCCCTATTTTTCAAAATTATATTTCAAAAATATAATCAGTATTTATACCTTGTGTCTGCCTTATGATAACTTTGTCTGCAAGATTCATTCCTGTTATAGTGTATAGCCATTATTTATTCATTTTCTTTACAATATAGTATTCTATTGTAAGAAAATGCCATACTTTATTTATTTTTTCTGTGGCTTATGGACATTTTACGTGTTTCCAGCTTGGGGATGTTAAAAAGAATGTTGTAGGCTTGCAGAGCCTCAGGCAGATTGCTGCTTTGTCACCACCAGTACCAAGACGCTGATGTAGATCCTCTTCTTGGTGCTCGACTGTCCCAACTTGAAGCTGAAGAAGCTGCCTTGGATGCATAGGTCATTGGCCATAACAGTGTTTGCCCCAGTGTTGTCTTATTTCATCATTACCAGCATCGCCAAAACCTTAAGTGTTGACTCTTTGATCACAGGCCCAAGAGGCCTTTACCTTTCTTGGCCTGTGGAGTAAATAGACAATATATTATGAAAGGACTTGTATGTACCCTTTCTGTTTACAATGAGATGTTTAGGTTTCTTAATTTTGAACAAATTCAATTTACCAAATATTCCAGAACACTTGATTTCTTCTTTTTCTTTGATTTGTTTCTTATCTATTCATTGTCTGTGTCTTACTTTTTTCATAGTAAGATTGTTCTTGAAAAATGAAACTTCTAGGCTTTCTAAAAGGCTGGAGTGCCTTTTTAGAAGAAGTCAACAGCTAATAGATTTGTTCTTATCATTGAAATTTCAAAAGTTATACCAACCCTCCAAAATAAAATGAGAAAATGAAAAAAAAAAATGAACCAGAAGGTGAGCTGGTTTAGAATGGCAAGGTGGGAAATGGGTTTTTACTAGAAAAATAGGAAGTTTATTAAAACTTGATTGAGAATTTCTTTTTGGTAATATCAATGAGATAAGCGTATTACATTTTTTCCTGTTGACCTACATTGATCCACCAATGATATCAAGGCATTTGCTCTTAGGGTTTAATTTCTTTACTTCTACATACACTCATTTCATTGTGTTTAACAAAGCGTTTGACCATTTTTATGTGTCCACTAACATTTTTGGAAATGGCATTTCTGGTCTTCAAAAATTAACGAAAAATGAGGAAATGAGGTTTCATAAGCTAAGCACTCTACACACTTGAGCAGCTTTTATTGAAAGAACTTTGCCTTTGAACAGAGGGTTTAACAGCACATTATTTCAGATATGTTCAGTCAATGAATTTCAGATTCTTTCTTGAGTAGCAAGATATATGAATAGAACTGAGTAAGGTTTCTACTTTTTAAAGAGTGCTGCAATGAACACTCATGCACATGTATCCTGATGTCCATAAGTACACATTCCTCTAGGAAGAGATTGGGAGTGGAATTATTTTATCATAGAATATGTATTACTTCAACTCCTTCTAAAGTCTTCCACCAACAGTGTCTGAAGGTTCCCATTGCTCTACATCCTCACCAACTCTTGGAACTGTCAGACGTTAAAATTTTTGCAAACCTAGTATACGTGTATAGCAGTAGTTCCTTGTGGTTTTAGTGTGCATTTGCCTGTTTGCAAACAAGGTTGAGCAGCTTTTTATACATTTAATTGGCATTTGAATTTCTGTTTTGTGAAGTGCTTGTTCAAGATTTTGTTCATATTTATTTGGGGTTTCTGTCATTTTAATTTTTTCATTAATTTATAGAAGTTTTTTAAATACATGAACCCTTTATCAGGTATGTATTATAAACATCGACTCTGTGGCTTGCATTTTCATTCTCCTTATATATCTTTTGATGAATCAAAGTTTTTAATTTTAATATTCATTATTTTTCATTATAACTAGTGATTTTTGGGGTCTGATTTAATATCTTACTACTTCAAAGTCATAAAGCTATTCTACATTAACATTTATTTATGTATTTATGTATTTGCTTATTTATTTTTGAGATGGAGTCTCACTCTGTCACACAGCCTGGAGTACAGTGGCATGATCTTGGCCCACTGCAACATCTGCCTCCTGGGTTCAAGCAGTTCTTCTGCCTCGGCCTCCCGAATAGCTGGGATTACAGGCACACACCACCATGCCTGGCTAATTTTTTTGTACTTTTAGTAGATACAGGGTTTCACCATATTGGCCTGGCTGGCCTCGAACTCCTGACCTCAGGTGATCTGCCCACCTCAGCCTCCCAAAGTGTGGGATTACAGGCGTGAGCCACCGTGCCCAGCCTATTGTGGCATATTTCTGAGATCCCTATTCTGTTCCATTATTCTATTTGTCTGCCCTTGTGCCAATACTATGCTATCATGATTATTTTAGCTTTATATAAATATTAACATTTGATAGAACAAATCTTTTCACCTTGTTCTTCTTTTCTGGGATATCTGGGCTATTCCTGGCCTTTGGGGTTCCTATATAAGTTTTATAATCAGTTTGTTAAGCTACACACAAATACTCACATGAACTCACATAGAACCCATGAATATTGACACACAATCTTTTGGGATTTCAGTTGGAATTACATTGAATCTATAGGTCAATTTGGGCAGAATTTAAATCTTTGCAATATTGAATCCTCTAATTTAAGAAGAGAGTATGTGTATTTAGGTTTTTAATTTCTCTCAATATTTAAATTTTCTTATATATCTTTTGTTAGACATATTCACAGGTGCTGATATTTTCCATACTATTATAAATGGTAACTTTAAAAATGTTCATTTTCTAATTATTTCCCAATATATAGAAAATATATAATCATTTTCTAATAAAAACTTTCCCATACTTTTTTATTCTTACAATGTATGTATATGTTATTTTGGATTTTCTATGCAAGTAATCATATCATCTAAAGACAATTTGCTTTCTTCCTTTCCATATGTTAAACCTTTCATTCTTTTTTCTTGTTCTGTTTACTGGCTACCACAGTGCTGAATAGAACTGGTGACAGTAGGCATCCTTTTCTAATTCCCAGTCTCAAAGGAAAAGCTCTCAAATTTCACCATTTAGTATGTTTTTATAGCTTTTTAAAAATAGATATTTTATCCAAATGTACTTTAGAAAGAAAGAAAAATAAATAAAAATATTTATTACATTAAGGAAATTGCTTTCTAGCATTAGTTTGTTCAATGTTTTATGACAAATACATGTTGAATTTCATAAATTTTTTTCTGAATATTTTGAGAAGGTTTTTTAAAAATTTTAATCTGTTAATATGCTGAATTACTTTGACTGATTTTCTAATGTTAATCCAATTTTGCATTCCTGGGATAAACCTAACTTCATCATAAATTATCATTCTTTTCCTACAATGCTGGATTTGGCTTGCTAATATGTCTTTGGGATGTTTGCAACTTTGCTCAAAAGTGAGACTAGTCTGTCATTTACTTCCTTGCAATGCCCTTGTCAGATTTTGATATCAAGGTTATCCTAGCCTCTTAAAATAAAAATGGGTAATATACCCTCTTTTTCTGTCTTCTAGAAGAGTTTGTATTAAGTTACAATGATTTCTTCTTAAATTATTGCAAAAAACTCATCCCTAAAGCCTTCTGATTTTGCTTTCTTTTGGGTAGGTTTTCAATTTCTAGTTCCATTTCTTTAATAGTTATGAGAAGTCAAGTTCTTCTTTTTTTTGCATCAACTTTGTTATATTTTATTTTTCTAAAGTTTCCATTTCATTTAAATTTTTTAAAGTTTTACAGAAATTTATTAATCTTGTCTTCTTTTTAAAATGTATATATTTTAACAAAGGTAGCTTTTGAAAAAAAGAAGAAAAGATATATAATGATGGTCATTTCACTTTTATAATATTAGTTACCTTTGCCTTGTTGCTTTTTCTTTGATCAGTCTCACTAGAAGTTTATTCATTTTATTAGACTGTTTAAAGAACCAAATTTTAGCTTGTTGATCCACTCTAATGTATTCTTTTTAGAGAAATAATAAATACACATATTTCACAGTTTAGAGTAAATATAGTATAGAGTACTGGATTAGAATCAGAAAATCTATATTCAGACCTTGATTCTATCATCTGGCAACTATTTGAGATTCAGTTTTTTATCTCTAAAATGGGCTAAAATACCAATCCCAGCCACTTCATAGATGTGAAAGCCTAACAAATGTAAAGTAGTAATATTAGCATATGCCTCAGCTCTGTATTTCAAATGCAGTAGATATTCTAAAAGCAATTATTGAATATCAACACTTAACTGTTGTTAGGTCTTTCCTATGTGTCTGGCTCTATTCTTGAGGCTTTAATTGCTTTGTCTCATTTAATGCAGCCTCACAACTATCCTATGAGGTAAGTAGTTATTATCCCCATATTACAGATGAAGAAACTGATGCTCAAAGTGGTTGAACACAATTAAATTTTAGATTCATTTTATATAATCTGATTGGTTAATATAGAGAAAGCACAGATGAAGGACATTATAGCTATCATCCCTGTTAATTCAGTTGAAAAGCTTTGAGACCAGGGAATTCTATTTACCATTAAAACAAAGTAAATTCTCTCTCACCACTTTTGTCTATGAGCCTTCCCTGCCCAGTGTATACATTCACTACGTTCTGATACTTTTTAGAATATCATTCATTTACTTGCTCAGTAAATAATTGTTTAATCACCTACTCTCTGGTTCTTTGATAGGCCTTGGTATTAAGACATGAATTAAAAACATAGTCTTGGCTGGGTGCGGTGGCTCACACCCGTAATCCCAGCACTTTGGGAGGCCGAGGCGGGCAGATCACAAGGTTAGGAGATCGAGACCATTCTGGCTAACTTGGTGAAAGCCTGTCTCTACTAAAAGTACAAAAAAATTAGCTGGGCATGGTGGCGGGTGCCTGTAGTCCCAGCTACTCAGGAGGCTGAGGCAGGAGAATGGCGTGAACCCGGGAGGCAGAGCTTGCAGTGAGCAGAGATTGTGCTACTGCACTCCAGCCTGGGCGACAGAGAGAGACCCTGTCTCAAAAAAAAAGAAGCAAACAAACAAAAAAACATAGTCTCTGCTTTCTTGGAATTTAAAGTGGGGAAAGGGGATATAAACAGGTATATAAATGCATACTTAATTATAAATCATGGTATGTTTGATGAAGGAAACAAATGTGGTACAGTGATGAGTAAGGACATTTCAGATTAAATGATTCTGAAAATTGCCCCCTGCAAAGTGACATTTAAGCTAAGACCTGCAGAATAGGCAGGCAACCATACAATGAGAAGGGAAAAGGGAAAGCATTTCTGGCAGAGGGAAGTGTGGAAAAAATTTGGTGTATTGGAAACTCTTAATACCAACCAGTGTGACAGGAGTTACAGTGGGAGAAGGAGAAATAACAAGATAGTTTTAAAGAGATAGACAAGGGCCAGAGTGTACAAAACCAGGCAAGCTGGTGGGATCTGGAGTGAGGGACCACTGAAAGATTCTAAGCAGGGGTGTCAAGTAGTTCAATTTATGTTTTTAAAAGAAAATTTGGCCACAGCATTAGAGGATAGATTAGAAAAGAGTAAAAATGGAAGTGGTAGGACCAGTGCAGAGGCAGTTGCTGTAGCCCAGGCTAGAGATGATGCCCCAGACTAGAGTGGTGGCAAAAAAAATGACACAAATGGATTAATGCAAGTTGTATTGTGGGGATAGAATGACAGCATGTGCTAAATGATTGGAATTGGTTCATAATGGAAAAGGAAGACTCAGGGATTACTGACCTGCACAAAAGTTTGGATGGTGGCATTATTTACTGAAATTGGGAAGACAGAGAAAAAAAGACTTTGGAGATACAGGCAGAATCAAGGAGTTTCATTTTGGCAAGTATTGGCATAAAATGGCATTTCAAATTATAGAAATGGATAGCAAATCATCTACTCTCTAGGCCTAGAAGTGTCCAATAATACTCACATGTTGGGTAGCATTAGAAGAGTCTACAAAGAAGACCAAGAAAGAACAGCAGAGAGCTAAGTGAAAACCAGCAAAGTTTGGTGTCACAGAATGCTACTGAGAAGTCACTTGTCCATTGGATTTATTTTGGCAATGAAGAGGTCAGTTAGTACCCTTGGCAGAAAGTTTCACTGGAGTAGTGGGGATGAAAGCCAGTTTGGACTAGATTGAAGAAAGGATGGAAAATGTTTAGACCATGCATATATAGAAACTCAGGAAAATTCCTTTGTCTAACTGCCATCTGTCTACACTTTGGAAACTCTTACATGGCAGCTCTAAAGAGGTACTCAGCCATGTGACATTGGTATTTGTTGGCTTTTAGGGGACTATACTCCTTTGAAAGCTGCTTATTCTAGTTCACATTCATTCCACACTTATTTGTATTACTCTTACTTATTCTCTACCTCTAGATAAAGATTGAACTAAAGCATGCCCAACAGAAGTTATTAGACAGCACAAAGATGTGCTCTTCACTCACGGCAGAGTACAAGCACTGTCAGCAGAAAATCAAGGAACTGGAGTTGGAAGTACTTAAACACACTCAGAGCATTAAATCACAGAACAACCTACAGGAAAAGCTGGTTCAGGAGAAATCTAAAGTTGCTGATGCAGAGGAAAAGGTAATTATCCTCATGCTTAATAAACAGCATACACTGAATACCACTACTGAAATCTTATTTCCCTGAGGATTTTAAGAAATAAATATGATGCAGACTTGATAGAATTCTAAGATTTTTTTTCTCTCCCATGTTTTCTTCTGTTTTGATTTCACCTGTTCCTACAATTTTAGGAATTCTTGTGTATTTGTAAAAACTTCATGGGCTTAAAAAGGTCAGTTTTATTAAAGCGATAACATGAACTTAAAGAACTGACTGATCCCATGTGGCCTTTGTTTTATATTTTCACATTTGAGAAGGCGTATTCTCTCATTTGGATTGGCTGTTAATGTAAATGTTGTTTTAATTTTGTTTTTTTCATTGACAAACAATTGTACGTGTTCATGGGGTACATAGTGATGTTTATTTTTATTTATTTATTTATTTATTTTTGAGAGGGAGTCTCGCTCTGTCACCCAGGCTGGAGGGCAGTGGTGCGATCTCGGCTTACTACAAGCTCCACCTCCCAGGTTCACGCCATTCTCCTGCCTCAGCCTCCCAAGTAGCTGGGACTACAGGCGTCCACCACCACGCCCGGCTAATTTTTTGTATTTTTAGTAGAGATGGGGTTTCACCGTGTTAGCCAGGGTGGTCTTGATCTTCTGACCTCGTGATCCACCCGCCTCGGCCTCCCAAAGTGCTGGGATTACAGGCATGAGCCACCGCGCCTGGCCCATAGTGATGTTTCAATAGATATAATGTATAGTGATCAGATCAGGGTAATTATCATATTCATCACATCAAACATATTTTGTAATTTTGTAGGGGGATTTGTGTTGTGAAATGAACCATTTTGAAATATTGTCCCTTCATTTTAGATTGCCCGACACTAGGTGGCAGTAGTATGTAACAGTTGTACATTTTGATGTGCAAGTTTGAGAGTTAAATTCGACAAAAAAAATTTCATCAAACCATATAATATGAAGCAAACATCAAAAAGTAGATGACAGCAATCTGAATTAAACTAAAAAAATCTAATGTTGAGTTAAAGAAACCAGAACAAAAGAGTTCTTACTATACAATTCTATGTATAGTATGAAGTTCAAGAATAGATAAAACTAAGCTATGGAAGTAAGATAGTGGTTATTCTTGTGACAGGTATTAACTGAAGGGGGCACTAGGGAATCCTCTGTGGTGCTGCAAGTATTCTATATCTTGGTCGGGGAAGTAGATACACAAGTCAGATTTCATTGAGTACACTTAAGACATGTATGTTATTCACCATATGTATATATGTAGGTTACTTTACCATATGGATGTTATAATTCCATTAAAAAGTAATTGGTAAAATTGGTAAAGATTGGCAAGATTTTAAAACTTAGACAATACTAAATATTAGTGAGGATTTGGTGCAACAAGAACTCATATATATTAACTTCACTTGGAAGAGTTAACTAGTATAAATGTTTTAAAGATGTGTGCATCATACAACTTAACACTTCTACTAGGCATAAGAAAAACTGTTACATGCATGTATGTATCAGGAAACAGGAATATAGTCATGTTCATAATATCATTGTTCCGAATAACAGAAAACTAGAAACAACCCAAATGTCCCCTGGCAAAAGATCAAAAAAATAAATTGTATATGTATATGGTAGTATTACTGGTAATCTGAGTTCTTTCCCCCACTTTGTATCAGTTGCAAAGAAAGAGCATCCAGGCTACTCTGCCTATGGGGTAGCCCTGCTGTGTCTATGGAACAGCCATTTCCCTAGAATTAACTTTTTTTGTTTTTGTTTTTGAGACAGAGTCTCGCTCTGTCACCAGACTGGAGTGCAGTGGCGCTATCTCGGCTCACTGCAGCCTCTGCCTCCCAGATTCAAGCGATTCTCCTGCCTCAGCCTCCTGAGTAACTGGGACTACAGGTGCACACCACCATGCCCAGCTAATTTTTGTACTTTTTAGTAGAGACGGGGTTTCACCATGTTGGCCGGGATGGTCTTGATCTCTTGACCTCGTGATCCACCCACCTCAGCCTCCCAAAGTGCTGGGATTACAGGCGTGAGCCGCCCTGGCTGAATTAACTTATTTTTAAGAAAGGAAAGGAGAGGCGAGGCGAGGCAAGTGGCCAGGTGAGGTGAATGGCCAGGCGCAGTGGCTCACACCTGTAATCCCAGCACTTTGGGAGGCCAAGGTGGGTGGATCACCTGAGGTCAGGAGTTCGAGACCAGCCTGAACAACATGGTGAAACCCCATCTCTACTAATAATACAGAAATTAGCCAGGTGTGGTGGCACGTGCCTTTAATCCCAGCTACTCAGGAGACTGAGGCAGGAGAACTGTTTGAACCCGGGAGGTGGAGGTTGCAGTGAGCTGAGATCACACCATTGCACTCCAGCCTGGGTGACAAGAGCGAAACTCTGTCTCAAAAAGAGAGAGAGAGAGAAAGAGAGAGAGAAGCAAGGAAGAAAGGAAGGAAGGGAGGAAGGGAGGAAGGAAGGAAGGGACTATTAGCATGGTGGCTCATACCTGTAATCCCAGCACTTTGGGAGGATGAGATGGGAGCATCACTTGAACCCAAAGTTCAAGACCAGCCTGAGCAACATAGTGAGACCCTATCTCTACAAAAATAAAAAAGTTAGCTGGGCATAGTAGCACATGCATGTAGTACCAGCTACTCTGGAGGCTAAGGCAGGAGGATCACCTGGGCAATATAGCAACAGCACATCTCAAAAAAAAAAAACCTCTCATATATTAAAAAGGAACAGCAAGGATGCGATTAACACAAAATTCAGGATATTGGTTTTCTCTGGTGGAGAGGGATGAGGGATAATCAAAGAGGGTCACACAATGGGCTTCAAGTATTGGAAATGTTCCCTTTCTTAAATTGTGTGGCAGGTTCAAAAGTTTGGATGTATCCTTGACAGAGAAGCCAATGAGGTGATGCTTTTGTCTGTGGAATTAGTACTGAATTCCTTAAGTAAGAATTCTCCCTAGACAGAACTAAATAGAACAGCTCCAAGGAACTTGAGCTGGCCTCAGATGGCTGGCTGCCTACTACCATTCCCCTTGAATCATTCTGCATCTTCTTCTCTCTCATGCTGTGTGGGCTATGCAGAGACCTAGGTGCAGGGGCTTGGGATTGATGCAGAAAGCCCCTCTCTTAGAAAACGGGTGACACCCACTGGCATTCACTGAATATTTGTGGGGAATGTGATGCCAAGCCATTGTAAAAGATTCCTTGTTGGGTCAGAAATATATTAGAGGGATAATAGCTACCCTGCCGAAATCTATTCATTCAATAAATATTTATTGAGCACCTACTATGTACGAGGCACAATTTAAGGTGACACAAGAGTTTATAAAAATAAGTAAACAAGTGTAAAGGAAATTTATCTTTAAAAAATGTGGGGGTTTTTTGCTGCTACATGAAAAAGGCAAGAAAAAAATGTTTTTAAATGACACTTTAAATCTGTCATATAAACTCTAAAATATAACAGTCTCTCTTTCAAATTTGTAAATCATATTTTTAGTTCTCCCAGAGCATTAAAAAACCTATTATTGATGCTAAGCAATATGCTAATAGGTGCTTGGTTTATAAGAGACTTCTATTTTGTTTTGCAGTGTTATTCATGAATCTAGCCACACTGTGGAGAAACTAGGTGCACTCACAATGCTGTTGGGAGTATAAATTGGTCTAATACCTGTGGAGGCAGTTTGGCATTATCTATCAAACAAACAAATACTCAGCTTCCTGAGTAGCTGGGACTACAGGTACTCACCACCACGCCCGGCTAATTTTTGTATTTTTTTGTAAATATGGGGTTTTACCATGTTGCCCAGGCTGGTCTCGAACTCCTGAGGCTCAAGCGATTCACCCAGCTCAGCCTCCCACAGTTCTGGGATTACAGGCGTGAGCCAGCATGTCTGGCCTGTAGCTTCTTTTATATACACACATTGAATTATATGAATGCATTACATACTGCAAAAATTAAACAATTTATTTTAAAATTAAATCTAGCTACTCTTTTTACTTCAGGTCAGATTAATATGTTAGCACTGCTATGTTTGCTATTTATATGTTATTCCCCTAATTTGAAAAAAGGTCACACTCTTCTTAATGCTTTACTTGTAAATGTTTTTTCATTCAAGATTTTGGACCTGCAGCGGAAATTAGAACATGCTCATAAAGTCTGTCTCACAGACACTTGTATTTCAGAGAAGCAGCAGCTAGAGGAAAAGATAAAAGAAGCAACACAAAATGAAGCTAAAGTAAAGCAACAATATCAAGAAGAACAACAGAAGAGGTAAGAGGAGCAGAGATCTCAGTTTCCTGTGGGTTTAGCCATGACTGAGTTAATCAGCAATATCAATTTTTTCTAACAGAATATCAGAGAGTATTTCTGCTCTGTCCCCACTGAAGTAAACTCAGCCACACACAATTCCTGATGTATTGCACTTACCACACTGTATTCTAATTGTTTATTTTCTAGTTTACCTCTGGCGCTAGAGTGTGAGATTTTTAAAGGCAGAGATTATTTCTTCTGGTTCTGGGGCACACCTAGTGGTAACAGTAAATATTCTTGACTGACTTGCCTATGAAATACTATGGAATTTGCTCTGACATGTAGTCTGACAAAATTCAAACTACAATGAAGTTGATATTCTGTACGAGGGGACTTCAGAGAGTTTGTGGAAAAATTGAATTGAAAGATAAAATAAAAAATATATTGGCCAGGTGCAGTGGCTCACACCTGTAATCCCAGCACTCCGGGATGCCGAGGTAGGAGGATCACTTGAGCCTAGGAGTTTGAGACCAGCCTGGGCAGCATAGTGAGTCTTTGTCTATACCAAAAAAAAAAAAAAAAAAAAATGATCCAGGCATGACAGTGGACTCCTTTAGTCCCAGCTACTCAGGAGGCTGAGGTAGGAGGATCACTTGAGCCCAGGAGTTTGAGGCTGCAGTAAGCCATGATTGAAACACTGCACTCTGGACTGGGTGGCAGAATGAGACCCTGTCTCAAAAAACAACTTTATTTCTCAACATAAGCTCCATCAAGGTCAAGGCACTTTTGTAAGTGATGAAGCACACCATTTAGTCCATCCCTAGAGAACTGAGTGAGAATCCTGGGAGTTTAACCATATCATTGCAGTCTTTTGCACATTATTAACCAAAGAGAAATGGGTGCCCTTTAAATATTTTTTAAGATTGGGAAACAAAAAGAAATCAGAAGGAGCCAAATCAGGACTGTAAGGTGGATGCCTAATAATTCCCCATCAAAACTCTTGGAAAATTGCCCTTGTTTGATAAGGGGAATGAGCAGGAGCATTGTCATGGTAGAGAAGGAATCTGGTGAAGCTTTCCCAGGGATTTTTTAAAATAAAGCTTTGGCTACCTTTCTCAAAACACTCTCATAATAAACAGGTTATCATTTGGCTTTCTAGAAAGTCAATAAGCAAAATCCTTTGAGCATCACAAAAAACTGTTGGCATGACCTCTGCTCTTGACTGGTCCACTTTTGCTGTGACTGGGCCACTTCCTCCTCCTCTTGGTAGCCATTTCTTTGATTATGCTTTGTCTTCAGTATCATATTGGTAAAGCCATGTTTCTTCTCCTGTTACAATTCTTCAAAGAAGTGCTTCAGGATCTTCCTCCCACTTGTGTAAAATTCCTATTGAAAGCTTTGCTCCTGTCTGTAGCTAATCTGAATGCAACAGTTTTGGCACCCATCAAGTGGAAAGTTTGCTAAACTTTAATTTCTCTGTCAGAATTGTGGTAAGCTGAATCAATTGAGATGTCTATGATATTGGCTATTGTTTCTGCTGCTAATTATCAGTCTTCAATTAGGGCACAAAAAAATTATTTTTTTTCTTTGTAAATTGGTGTGGATGGTCTGCCACTGTGGCCCTCATCTTCAACATCATCTCATCCCTTCTTAAAATGACTTATCCATTAGTAAACTGCTGATTTCTTTGGGCTGTTGTCTCTTTAAACTTTTCATTAAAGCATCAATGACTTCAGCATTCTTCCACCTTAGTTTCACCATAAATTTGATGTTTGTTCTTGCTTAGTGTCCTTATGTCTAAAGTGGGAATTGTAATGCCAGTTCTATACATCTTTTGTGAAGATTTGCTAAGAAGAAATATGTATGCACTATTTAAACTAAGTGTAGGAAAATAAAATATATAGGGAAATTCTTCTACCGAAAGGGGACCCTATAGTGTATATTGTTTCATAATCTGGAAGAAAATAACCCTGATTTAAATAGTTAGATTGTAACCTACTTTTTCACTTAAAATATTACGATCTGTTTATCTGACATTACATTTTTTTCTAGAATATTATTTTAATGATATGTCACATTTTATTTAATAAATCCTTTATTGTTGAACATTTAGATTTTTCCCAGTTTCTTCTATTTCAGTGACATAATATATATCCTGACACATAATAAGCACTTCTACCAGGAAATAGAATCAGTAGGAATATATATTTAATAAAAGCCTTATTACAGGGACTTGGTCTTATGCAATTATGGGAACTGGTTATGCAGTCTGTATGGCGTCATCTTTGCATCTTATGCTAGAGCTTGAAGTCTGCAGGGCAAACAATCATGAAATGAAGTTGAATGTAAAGTGGAAGAGCAACAAGGTGAAAACCATGAAGATGGACTGGAAGCCATGTCAGTTCTTGCTGCCTCTAACCTTGATAAAGTGTAGGTATCCTACAGGAAAAACTGGCACCCTTCATCAAGGAGCTAAATAGACATCTGGCCCAGGAGATGGAAAAGGTGAAGGAGGATTCAAGGGAAGGTGGAGCAGTTGTAGGCCTGGCTGTTGCGTCATGCCAAGGTGAGCAGCAGATATCTAGCAGTGTTTATAAACTATAAAAATGCCTGCTCCAACCTTCCACCTGGAAAAAACAAAATGT